>NC_000015.10:29337480-29640510 GCF_000001405.40 Homo sapiens | reverse complement strand
TTTATTTTTTGTATTTGTAGAGATGGGGTTTCACCATGTTGCCCAGGCTAGTCTCAAACTTCTGAGCTCAGACCATCCACCCACCTCAGCCTTCCAAAGTGCTGGGATTACAAGCTTATACCACTGTACCTGGCCTAGATTTTTTCTTTTATTACTAATTCAATCTCTTTTCTATGACTATTTATATCTTCTATGTTTCCCTAGAATCAGTTTTGGAGTTTGTGTCTTTCTAGGAATTTGTCCATTTCACCTAAGTCATCTAATTTGTTGGCATACAGATGTCCATAGTATTTCCTCACAATTCTTTTTTATTTCTGTAAGTTGGTGGCAATGGCTTCTCATTCATTTCTGATTTTAGTAATTTGATTTCTCTCTCTTTTCTGTCAGTCAGCCTAGGTAAAGGTTGGCCAACTTTGTTGATCTTTTACAAGAACCAACTTCTGGCTGGGCGTGGTGGCTCACACCTGTAATCACAGCACTTTGGGAGGCCAAGGCGGGCAGACTGCCTGACGTCAGGAGTTCATGACCAGCCTGGCCAACGTGGTGAAACCCCATCTCTACTAAAAATACAAAAATTAGCTGGGCGTGGTGGTGCGCACCTGTAATCCCAGCTACTCAGGAGGCTGAGGCAGGAGAATCGCTTGAACCTGGGAGGTAGAGGTTGCAGTGAGCCGAGATTATGCCATTGCACTCCAGCCTGGGTGACAAGAGTGAGACTTCGTCTCAAAAAAAAAAAAAAAAAGCAAACAAAAACCAACTTTTGATTTTGTTGATTTTCTCTATTGTTTTTCTAATTGTTATTTCATTAAATTCCTCTCTAATTCTTCTTATTTCCTTTCTTATGCTTGCTTTGGGTTTAGCTTGCTGTTCTTTCACAGTGTCTTACTGTGGAAGGTTAAGTTGTTGATTTGAGATCTTTTTTCTTTGTTATTATAAGTATTTACAATTATAAATTTATCTGTAAGAACTGCTCTAGCTGCCTCCCGTAAGTCTATGTCTCACTCTTTACTTTTAGTTTGTACAGCCAGCATTTGACTTATTTTTTATTGTGATAAAATATATGTAACATAAAATTTACCATTTTAATTGTTACGTCTGACTTTTGCATAAATGCTTCAATCACAAACTTTCGGCAGAACTTTTAGGACAAGAAACAGAGAGACAAACCGACAGATAATTATGATAAGTATGGCAAATGACAATTTTGTGTAACAGAGAGACTTTCAGATTGAGTCAAGACTCGGCCAGTTTTTTTCTGGACAGCATTGGTCTCCACGACCCAACATGCATTTGAACAAGAAGTGCAGACTATAAATGGAATAGGCAGAAATTTAGAGAGCCGTGGGACTCTGCAGATGCTCAGTAGCTTATTTACTCCTCCACGACAAAGATTTCTTTCAAAAGAGAGTTAATAGATAAGTTACAAATCAAGGTTGAAAACTCAACAAATCACTTTAGCATCCCAACAAAGTCTCACACTGAGTCATGCATTGGAAACTGCTGACCAGGATTCAGGTTATAACTCCACAAACAAGAAAGGCATTATTGCTGTTGAGTGACTCACCACAAAAAGCAGCAGAGCCCCTGACCGTGGGCTCAGCCCTTTGAGCTGAGGGCTCACACTCCTCAGATTGGGCTGTCCACTGCTCCAGACAAGGAGAATCGACAAGGCAATCTTAGTGGAATCTCCAGAATTGTTAAAGGAAAGGCAATGAATGCCACAGTGATAGAAAAATAGAACACTGGATTTATTTACTTGCTAGGCAACAGCCACGCCCGGCTAATTTTTAAACTTTTGTAGAGATGGGGTCTTGCTATGTTACCTAGGCTAGTCTCAAACTCCTGGCCTGAAGGGATCCTCCTGCTTCAGCCTCCTAAACTGCTGGGATTACAGGTGTGAACCACCACACCCAGCCCTTTGTTTTTTATTAATTGCACAGAAATCCTTTCTATTCTCACTAAAACTTTTTAAAACAATGTTTTTAGTGAGCACAATGTGACTGAATAAGCTTCATTATGTTCTTAAACCTTGATTCAGCACTCTGAGATGCAGAAGGTAAAACAGTGGTTCTCAGCTGGCAGGGTTTTGTCTGCCACCACTCTGGGGACATTTGGCAATGTCTGGAGATGGTTTTGGTTATGACTTGCAGGGACTATGCCCTTGGAATCCTGTGGATAGAGACCAGTGGTGTTCAGGATAAACCCCCACCACCAAGGATCACTGGGCTGGAAACATCAGCAGTGCCGAGGTGGAGAAGCCCTTAGCTGGAAGAGCTGGCCCTGCAGCAGGCACTCTGGGCTGCCTGGCCCATAGCCACTGTTTTTTGCTGGCAGAGCCTCGCCATAGAAACTGACAAGGCCAGATTCCTTTTGATTTCCCTTTCCCCTTCCTTCCTTGCAGAAAGGACTGAGCCAATTCTGATCAGCAGGCAGCAGCCATTACCCTCTGAAGGTCAACGCAGTTAGGTGCAGTGACAGACACACTTGGAGGTGCCACAGCCTCCTGCGTGTCCTTGTACTCCATGTCCATTTGGTCTTCTTCACTGTGGGGCATCCTCCTGGCCAACAATAACTCCGACCATCTTCAGGTGCTTGGCTGAAGAAATAGCTTGCTGTAGATGTCTCCTCTGCTTTCATGGACCAGCGTTGGCAGTGCGACGAGCTTGATTTCTCAGACCAGCTAGTTGGTGACTCCTCCGCTCTGCACACTTCCCTCTCATACCTTCTCTTCTCTAGCTCCTCCTGCAACTGGCAAGGTCTCGTTCCCGTAATAGATCTCTCATCCCATGACCCATTCTGGTTCTGCCCACCTGAGGAACCCTGGAGGATGCCCCTGAATATTACCATCTGCAGTGGGCAGTGTTCTCTCTGTCCCTTGAGGTTATGAAATTTCCATCTTGTTCAACTTCAGAGAAGTAGAGTATGTTCTAGCCCAGGAAGGACACTCACTCTCTCACTCACTCTGATTTTGGCAGGTTCTAAATCTGTCATAACCTCACACATCCAGTTATTCATGGACAAGGGAACATGAGCTCAATCTGACTTCTGCTTTTGGAGAGAAAGTGGGTGACCTGATGTGTTTCTGAGAAATGAGTCTAGGGAGGTGTGTGCCCCACTCTCTGCTCACTGCATATGTCCCCATTGCAAGCACATTTGTACCCCAGTGCTCATCTTTACCTTTATGATGTCCTCCCAGGTGAGAAATCACCCAAGTGGTCATTGCCACCCCCTACTATTTCAGTGTTTGGGGTTTTGGAAATGATTTACTGACATTGTATCAGAGCATAGTAACATTTAATCAGGGGCTGGCTTTCTCAAGGACAAATATTTTCTGACATCAGTTCCTAAGCAGAAGAGGCCAACAGCATCTGAGGATCCCTTTGTTTGGGTTTCTGGCAGTTACCTCCCTTCCCAGGGTGAACAGTGACTCTGCTGTATGAGGATTTACTTATCTTCCTGTCCTGTGTTTTTGACATTCTGAACAAAGTTTCTGGGGAGTAAACTTTATGTTTAAACCATGTTTATGTTAAGCTTTATCTGTTCAAAAATCAAGTATATATAGTTGATCATAAAATAATGACATTATAGAAAATGTGAACAAATATAGAAATGTTTTTGGTGGAACATAAGTCACTCTAAATCTCTCAACCCAGAAATACTGCTGTCACCATCTTGAGCATTTCAGTCTCATCTCTGGAATATATTTAGCTATATTCATGTCTTACAAAATTAGGGTCAAATTACATATACTGAGGAGGCAGCAAACTTTAAAAATAAAATAACCCCTGACTCACAGACTGAGGGAATAATATAATTTGAATTTGTGAGAGAGAAAAAATTATGTTGGTGTCAGGGTTGTTTTTCAGATAATTCTGAGATGGTGGCAGGAGCGTCGTATCAGGGTCTTGCTTCTCTAAAGTCCTGGATGTGGTGATGGACTACTGGCATAATATTGCTGTGTAGCAGACAACTTCACAATTTCAGTGGCTTGTAGCAACCAATGTTCATTCTTCATGCACAGCTGTGCAGGCCACTGGGCTCAGCTGCACTGGGCTCTAAGCTGCAGGGCGGCCTCTGATGTGCCCCACGGGTTCCTCCTCCTTTGATCAGCAGCACCTGGACGTGTTCTCATGGTGAAGGGCCAGAGCCCAGGAGCTGAGCCAACTGTACGCACAAGCACATTCCAGGACTTTGCCCACACCTCAACTGCTAACGTTCCATTGGCCAAAGCAACAGTTGCGACGTGAGGAAACGCCCCTCGTCCACAGCAGGCATGAGGGGAGGAGAAAATCATCCCAATGGCCACACGCGACGAGATTGCTTTTCCATCCCCGTGAAGAGCTACAGCTTTGGTGAGAGTTGCAGGAGCTGGTTTAGGCTTGGAATGAGCTGCAAAGAGGGCCTGCTTTAGCACCAGGCAGAGTTTCTCTTTCTTTCTGTCCTTGAAGACTGAACCAGCTCCTCTTTTTCTGTGTCTGTATCTCTGGCTCCTGCACAGGGGGATTTGGCTCGCCATGAGAAGGAGACATTTGTTGTCAAATAGATTTATGTTCTGGAGGGCTTTTTCTTCCAGAGCAGCCTTACCTCATCAGAATGTGGAAGGGACCTGGCTCAAGAGGTCCCAGTATCGACGACAGCAGCCAATATTTTAGACAAATCTTTTCCTTGCCTCAGCAGTGGAGGCTCCATCCTGATTTTATAAGACAGGAGCAGGTCTGCAATTAAAGCCCATAAATCACAGGTGGCTGGAGCAGACACCTCTGTTTTGATTCCTGGATAAGCTGTGGTCTCACATCATCAACAGCGCATGGCTGGGGCTTGAATGATCAGTCTCAGATGACCTGAACTCACAGGGAGAGGCCTACACGGGGTCTGTTTCCGTGGACCCCCTAGGTGTGCTGTGGCTGCACCCTGGGGAGCCTTCTCTCGCTATTCCTTGGCAGGAGAATGGGTCATCGTGGCCTAGTCCTGCCACACTTCCGAGCTCCTCTGTGTCCTCTGTGTCCCCTGTCCCATGCACGGGGTGCACATCCCGCCCTACAGTGCAGGACTCCTGAGCACACTATGGACGAGGCTGGGTGTCTCAGGCTCATGGGAGACCCAGCATGGCCCCTGTGATATTGTGAACCCCGTTTCCTGGCACATGACTCTTGAAATCCTTAGCAACTACACAGTGATGTCTTTTTGCACATGAATGAACTGACTGCTGGCTGGCAGCACCTAGGAAGGTTGGGGCTGGTTACGAGCAACACCTAGGCAGGATTAGAGGGTTAGGACTTTCAGCCCAACCCCCCAACGTGGAGGTTGAGTTGATCACCAATGGCCAGTGGTTTAATCAGTCATGAAGCTTCCATAAAAACCCTAAGGAGGCCGGGTGCGGTGGCTCATGCCTGTAATACCAGCACTTTGGGAGGCCGAGGCGGGCAGATCATGAGGTCAGGAGATTGAGACCATCCTGGCTAACACGGTGAAACCCCGTCTCTACTAAAAATACAAAGAATAGCCGGGTGTGGTGGCAGGCGCCTGTAGTCCCAGCTACTCGGGAGGCTGGATGGCAGGAGCTTTTGGATGGCTGAACACGGGGAGCTTCTTGGAGGGTGGTCCCTGGGGAGGGCGTAGAAGCTTCGTGCTCCCTCTTCCATGCCTCACCCTGTGCATCTCTTCATTTGTGTCCTTTGTGATCAGCCACTAAAGGTAAGTTAAGTGTTCCCCTGAGTTATGTGAGCTGCTCCAGCAAATTAATCAAACCAAAAGAGGAGCCATGGGGACCCCAACTTGAAGCCAGTCAGGCAGGAGTTCTGGAGGCCCCGGACTTGTTGCTGGTATCTAGCGGGGCTGGGAAGGGGGGTAGTCTTGGGCACAGAGCCCTCACCCTCTGGGATCTGATACTCTCTCCAGGTAGACAGTATTGGAACTGAATTGGGGGATACCCAGCTGGTGTCCACTGCAGAACCGATTGCTTGTTTATTTTTGGGGAGAAATCCCTGCACATTTGGCCATAGAAGTCTTCTGTGTTGATTTTTGTGGGGTGAGAGTAGAAAAAGCATTTTGGGTTTTATGGGAGTTTTTTTCTACTTTTACAGCCCCAAACAGGAGTGGGGGTTGTAGGGAAGAGGTGGGCGGAGCCTACTGCAAGTTGCAGGGCTATATCCAAGCTCTGCTGGGAGGGGATCGTGTGCACTTGTCCTGGGAGGGGGTCCTGGCACAGGAGCCAGCACCAAAGGGTGACAGTTCTTACCCTTACCCCACAGGGCAAGTGGGGTAAAGACATGCTCTAAGCTTGTCTGGCAAACCGGCTAATCCTCCTGCACACCGAACCTTAGGGTCTCCGCCACCCTCCCCTACAGCAGGCACTTGGCATCTGGTGCACATGAAGGGGCATCTGAAGACCTCGTCTCCAGGGCATCCCCAGCCACCACACCAGAGGTGCCAGGTGTGGCCAGCTTGGTGTGGCTGCCAGTGGAAAGTAACAGCCCCACCACTGGCAGAACCCAGGTAAGACCCCGAGCAGTGAGCCCCTCATGAAACCCCCACCCCGTTTTTTCTTTTTCTTTTTTTTGAGATGAAGTCTCCACCCAGGCTGGAGTGCAGAGGCACGATCTCGACTCACTGCAACCTTCGCCTCCCGGGTTCAAGCGATTCTCTCGCCTCAGCCTCCCGAGTAGCTGGGATTACAGGCACCCGTCACCACGCCCAGTGAATTCTTGTATTTTTAGTAGAGACAGTTTCACCATTTTGGCCAGGCTGGTGTTGAACTCCCGAGCTCAGGTGATCCTCCCACATCGGCCTCCCAAAGTGCTGGGATTACAGGCGTGAGCCACCGTGCCCGGCCCCCTCACCCCATTTCACAAAACTTAAGTGTGTGGACACTAAAATAGTTTCCTTCTGACATTTCTGATTGCAAAATTGTGCATGAACTGATTGAAGCTGATCTTTTCCCTCCCCACCCTTCTATTTTTGTCCCTCCTTTCCTGGTTCAGCTGGGCCCTTTTAAAAACACTGAAGGCTCCACTCCATGTCATACCAAATACATTTCAATGCCCGCCCCCCCCAACATCAAATGCAATTTTATATTCCTACATGTAAATTGAATTACAATGGATTATTTGACATAAAATACATCTTATAGATCTATGGATGTTAATGTTGATTTTCTTTTCTTTCAAAAGTTGGAATCAATATTTCCTCCAACCCCTCCCTCTCCCTGAAGCCTCGGGGACCTTGGAAAGCTGGTACATGTGCTTATTCAGCCTTTTGGGCAATTCAGTGGGACCTGACACATGTTGTCATCCTGCCCTGGAGAAGGCTGACAGTTGGTGGTGCCAGTCTCTGCACTTTCACAGAATCCTGGGGCACACTGAAGGCAGTTTCTGAAGAACTTACTCCCACGGGAGTTTGGAGTGGAAATGTTCCTCCAACTAAAAGTTTACTCATTCAGCAATCACAATTCATTCATGCTGGATGCAATCCTAATGCCAACGTTTGTTTCCTTCCTGACATCGCACCTGAATCAAGGTCAGGCCAGACCTCTGAAGCCTCATCCTCATGCAACTTGTCTCACAGTGGAGAGTGGCTGGTCTCTCTGCATTACCGTCCAAAATCACCTGTACCCCCTGCAAGACTGGGCTTCCAGGAAGAAACCAGGTGGGAAACCTGATGTAAAACCAACAGGTAGAGGCAGCAGAGGGAGGATCCAGCCACGGGCTGAGACTTGCCAGGGACCTTTGCGGCTTGCTCTTGGGACCTGCCCAGGCTGGAGTGCAGTGGTGGGATCTCGGCTCACTGCAACCTCTGCCTCCTGGGTTGAAGCAATTCTCCCTGCTTCAGCCTTGTGAGTAGCTGGGATTACAGGTGCCTACCACCATGCCTAGCTAATTTTTGCATTTTTTTTAGTAGAAACAGAGTTTTGCCATGTTGACCAGGCTGGTCTTGAACTCCTGATGTGAGGTGATCCACCTGCCTCAGCTTCCCAAAGTGTTGGGATTACAGGCATGAGCCACCGTGCCTGGCCTCTGTTAACCTGATTCTTTATCATTTTAGTAAACAGGTTATAAGACATTTCTGTATTTGAAAATAAAAGAAACATTGACTCCAACATTCTGAGGAAAAAAATCCAGGAGTTTCTAGCTACAAAATAAAAGACAGCATAAAAAAGCAGCTGGCTTTCTGGTCCTAGACAAGTAGATTCACTTCCCTCTGCTCCTTTTTGTTAAGTAAAACTAAAAACCCTGGAAATAATTTAATGGATAATCATAAGGACCCTTGGAAAAGTAAAAAGAGGCAGGCAGCCTGGTTCGAGAACTCAAGACTTGAGGACTGAGGTGGTGGCGACACTCTGGGTTTTCTTTTTATCTTTGCTATATTCTGGACTGGGTGCTAGAGAAGCCTGCAATCCAGAACCACCATAAGGCACAGATGGAAAATAAAGCTTGAAGAAAAACCTTATTTATCTAGCAGAGACAGGGAAATGGGCAGCCCACAGGACGGAAGTCCTTTTTGATAATATCCACTTTACCTCCAGCTAAGTGCACACCTTAGCAACTCCAGCACTGCAGTGAAGTCTCAAAGGAGAGTCTAGACTCCTATGCCCCGCCCAGCAGCAGCAGGCAGCCTGGGCTGGTGCCATCAGCAGAGGCCAGGGAGGGGGTGTGGACTCCCACTCCCATCCACCAGGGCCAGGTGGCAGCTGTTGGCAGCAAGTTGTTGGCAGCTGTTGGCAGCAAGTTCCTTCCCTACTGGCATGGTGTCCACAGAGATGGAGTGGGGAGTCTGGACTTCTGTCCCCACCCCCAGCTAGACATGGGGAAGAGGATCTCAGATAGGAAAAAGCTGGAGAAAATGATTCTTTAAGCCCTGCCTAGAAGGTCTGGCGCAGACAGCTGATCAACCCAAAGGTAAAAACTGACCAGTTCAACACATCAAAAGATTAGAACTGGACCAGTGTGAAAGTTTCACACATGCAGATGTACATACGCATTGCAGAGTGCCCCGCAGGTGGCACACTAACAAACTTGACTACAGTAGCACTACAGGGGCTCTGAAAACTCAGTCGTCATTGGACCCGCAGCCTAAGGGACTTGCATCCTAAGTCTAAACGGGGAAACTGCCTGCTAAAATGGAAACTTTAAAGAAGACAGACCCTGAGTCTTCTAACATAGTACCCAAAGTCTCCAAGATACAATCAAAGACCGCTTGTCATGCCAGGAACCCAGAAAATAACTTGAATGGCCACAGACCACAAACAAAAGCACACATGAAGATGATTCAGCAGTTGAAATTTGCTGATGAAGATTTCAAAGCCGCCATCACAAAAAGTTTCAACAAGCAATTACAAATACTCCTGAAACAAGTAAACATAGAAAGTCTCAGCAAAGAAATAGAAGATGTAAAAAAGGAACTAAATGAAAATCATAGAACTAAAAATACAGGAACTGAAAGAAACAGTTTGCTGAATGAGCTCCGTACTAGCTTAGAGATGACGGAGAATAAAATTAGTGAATGTGAGAATAGAGAAATAAAATTTACTCAATCTAAATAATACAGGCTTATGCCTGTAATGCCACCATTTTGAGAGGCCGAGGCGGGGGATCACCTGAAGTGAGGAGTTCGAGATCAGCCTGGCCAACATGGTGAAATCCCGTCTGTACTAAAAATACAAAAATTAGCGTGGTGGTGAGCACCTGTAATCCCAACTACTCGGGAGGCTGAGGCAGGAGAATCACTTGAACCCGGGAGGTGGAGGTAGCAGTGAGCTGAGATCATGCCACTGCACTCCAGCCTGGGTGACAGAGCAAGACTGTGTCTCAAAAACTAAGTAAATAAATAAATAGAGAAAATAGCCTGGGGGAAAAAAATGAACAAAGTCTCATAACCTGCAGGACAATGACAAAAGAACTAGCGTTTATGTCATCAGAGTTCCAGGATAGGAGAAAATTTGTGAAGCTGAAAAGGCGCCAGAAGAAATAATGGCTGAAAATTCCCCAACTTTGGTGCAAGGCATAAACTTAGATTCAAAAAGCTAAGTGAATCTCAAACAGAATAAAACCAAAAGAATCCACATCAAGATACATTATAATAAAACTTCTGAAAACTGAAGACAAAAATCCCCAAAAAACACAATTGAAAGCAGCTAGAAAGAAACGATGAATTAGTTACAGGGGAACAATGATTTGAATGACAGAATGTTCATCATCTGAAACCATGGAGACCAGGAGGAAGTAGCCCAGCATTTTTCAAGGGCTGAAAAATAAAGAATTATAAACCCTATGTCCTAAAACTAGTGAAAGTACCATTTATTTCTGAAGGATAAAGACATTCGCAGACAAAGGAATAGAATTTGTTGCCATCAGATTTACTCTTTTTAAAAATTTTATTTATTTATTTATTTTAATTTTTGAGACAGGGTCTCATTGTGTCACCCGGGCCGGAGTGCGGTGGCATGCTCTCGGCTCACTGCACCCTCCGCCTCCTGGGTTCAAGCGTTCTGCTGCCTCAGCCTCCCGAGTAGCTGGGATTACAGGTGTGCACTACCATGCCCCGCCAATTTTTGTATTTTTAGTAGAGATGGGGTTTCACCATGTTGGCCAGGCTGGTCTCGAATTCCTGGCCCCAAGTGATCCACCTGCTTTGGCCTCCTGAAGTGCTGGGATTACAGGCATGAGCCACCATGCCCAGCCAAATCTACTTTTAAAGAACAGCTAAAGAAACAAAATGCAAGTGATAGCAGATGGAGATGACAGAAAGAGGAAAGGAAATACAGAATGAAAGAAAAAAACAATAGAATAAGTAAAAAGGGCAAACGTAATAGACTATCCTTCTCCTTATGCAATTATATTTGATGGTTAAAACAAACATTATAATGCCATCTGGTATGGTACTCAGTGTATATAGAAGTACTTAAAACGATATTTAAAAATTGGAGAGGGCAAAGGGAAATAAAGGGAAGTAAAGTTTCTACACTTGACTATGGTAAATGTCAATACTAGTAGACTGCGATATGCTTCATATATTTTGGTATACCTAGAGCAAACACTAAGAAAATTATTCAAATGAATAAAAAACATTATGAACAAATCAAAATGAAATTCTAAATAACATTCAGGTAATCCACAAGAAATCAAGAAGAGGTACACAAAGGAACAAGAACTGGAGACAACACACAGGAGATCAATAATAAAATGGTAGACTTGAGCCCTAATCGATTAATAATTATTTTTAATATAAATGATCTCTGTAAAATATAATTAGTGACGAACTGAAAAACAGAGATTGGAAGAATGGATTAAAAAATGACCCATCTATGTGATGCACCTAAGAAACTCACTATAATGACATAAGTAGATTGAATATAAAAGGATGGAAAAGATATGCCATGCCAACTGGAGTGGCTTCATAACAGATATAGTAGACTTCCAAGAGAAAATTACCAGGGACATTACATAATGATAAAAAGATGCAACCTGGCCGGGCATAGTGGATTACACATCTAATCCCAGCACTCTGGGAGGCCGAGGCGGGTAGAGCACTTGAGGTCAGGAGTTCAAGACCAGCCTGGCCAACACGGTGAAATGCTGTCTCTACTAAAATTACAAAAATTAGCCGGGTGTGTTGGCGCCCACTTGTAATCCCAGCTACTTGGGAGGCTGAGGCAGGAGAATCACTCAAACCCAGGAGGTAGAGGTTGCAGTGAGTCAAGATGGTGCCACTGCACTCCAGCCTGGATGACAGAGTGAGGATCTGTCTTAAATAAATAAATAAAGATGCAACCATCCAAAAACACACAGTGATCTTAAATGTGCATGTACCAAACACCAAAGGACAGAACATCAAAATGCATGAAGTAAAAACAGAACTGAAAAAAGAACTAGACGATTCCCCAATTATGGTTGGGTACTTGAATTCCCCTCTGTCAGCAATTGATAGAAATATTAGATAGAAAATCAGCAAAGATACAGATGAACTGAACATCACCATCAATCAACATGATCTAATGGACATCGATAGAATATTCTAAGTGACAACAGCATAGTATACATTCTTTTCAAGCACCGTGGAACATTTAAGATAGATGAAAACCTGGATCATAAAAAACAAACCTTCACAAATGTAAAGAGAGTAAGATCACATAGAATAATTTCCTGAATATATAAAGAACTCCTACAACTCAACAACAATAGTAACAAACCACAAGCAACTCAATTTAAAAATGGGCAAAGGACATGAATAGACATTTCTCCAAAGGAGCTGTACAAATGGCCAATAAACACATCAAAGATGTTAAACATTATTACTAGAGAAATGCAGATCAAAATGTAATATTACTTCATACCCATTAGGATGACTTATTATCCTCCCAAATTGAAAATGACAAGTGTTGGTGAGGATGTGAAGAAATTTAACCCTTGTGCACTGCTGGTAGGAATGTAAAATGATGCAGTCACTGTGGAAAACAGTTTGAGTTGTGCAAAAAGTTAAACATAGAATTACCTTACAATCCAGTCATCTAACTTCTGGGTATATACTTACACGGAATGGAAAGCAGAAATATAGGTAGTTGTTCATTGCTGTTCACAGCAGCATTATTCACAATAGGTGAAAAGAACCCAAGAGCCCACCAATGGATGGATGAATAAATGAAATATGGCACATACATACGATGAACTGAATTATTATCCAGTCTTAAAAAAGAAGGAAATTTTGACATATGCTACCACATGTGATGAACCTTGAAAACATGTGCAAAGTGAAATAAGCCAGACTCAAAAAGGCAAAGTGTATGATTTCACTTGTATGAAGCACCTAGGACTGGCAAATGTATAGACAGACAGTAGAATAGAGGTTACCAGGAACTAGCAAAACGGGGAATAAGGACTTACCATTTAATGGATAGAGTTTCAGTTTGAGATAATGAAAAAAATTCTGGAGATGGATACTGGTAATGGTAACATGACTTTTTTTTTTTTTTTTTTTTAGATGGAGTCTTGCTCTGTCACCAGGCTGGAGTGCAGTGGTGAGATCTTGGCTCACTGCAACCTCCGCCTCTCAGGTTCAAGCAATTCTCCTGCCTCAGCCTCCCGAGTAGCTGGGACTACAGGCATGCACCACCATGGCTGGCTAATTTTTGTATTTTTAGTAGAGACGAAGTTTCACCATGTTGCCCAGGATGGTCTTGATGTCTTGACCTCGTGATCCACCCACCTCGGCCTCCCAAAGTGCTGGGATTACAGGCGTGAGCCACCACGCCTGGCCTAACATGACATTTTGAATGCACTAATACCACTGAATTGTATACTTTAAAATGGCTTAAAAAGTCAGTTAGAAAAATAAAAGTGCCCATAGCTGCATGAAACGAAAACACATCACATCGAAATTTGTGACATGCAGCTAAAGCACTGCACAGAGGGAAATTTACAGCACCAAATGCTTATATTAGGAAAGAAGAAAGATCCTAAGGTCAAAAATTA
This sequence comes from Homo sapiens, assembly GCF_000001405.40. Taxonomy (NCBI): domain Eukaryota; kingdom Metazoa; phylum Chordata; class Mammalia; order Primates; family Hominidae; genus Homo; species Homo sapiens. The sequence continues at coordinate 29,627,047 of NC_000015.10, read as the reverse complement.
AGCACCCACCCCAGGAAACCAGGAAAAGAAGGAAAAAATAACAAAGAGAAGAGCAGAAATCAAAGAAAAAGCTGGCTCTTTGAAAATATCAGTAAAAATGACAAAATTATCTCAAGACTGGCAACAATAAAGACAGTTTATTTTTATTTGTTTTTTTATTGTATTTGTTTTATTTGTCTTTATCATTTTATGATAAAAACCCTCAGCAAACTAGGTATGAAGGGGAACCTCCTAAACTTGAGTAAGATCATCTACAGAAAATCCTACAGTTGACATCATCTCAATGGTGAAAGCTCACGTTTTTCTTGTAAGATATGGAACAAGATAAGGATGTGTCCTGTCAAGTTTTCAGTCAGTAAAATAAGGCAAGAAAAGAAAATAAAAAGCATACAGCTCAAAAAGGAAGAAATAAAACTGTCCATATTTTCAGATGACCTGATTAGGTAAAAAATGCTAAGTAAGATACTGTATTAGTCTGTTCTCCTGCTGCTAATAAAGACATACTCAAGATTGGGTAATTTATAATGGAAAGAGGTTTAATGAACTCACAGTTCCACATGGCTGGGAGGCCTCGCAATTGTGGCAGAAGGCAAATGAGCAAAGTCACATCCTACATGGAGGCAGGCAAGAGAGCTTGTGCAGGGGAGCTCCCATTTATAAAACCGTCAAATCTCATGAGACTTATTCACTACCACAAGAACAGTATGGGGGAAACCGCCCCCATGATTCAATTGTCTCCACTTGGCCCTGCCTTTGACATGTCGGGATTATTACAATTCAAGGTGAGATTTGGGTGGGGACACAGCCAAACCCTATCAGAAATCTAGGAAAACTCCTAGAGCTAAGTGAGTATAGCAAAGTTTGAAGATACAAGATCAACACAGAAAAATCAATTGTATTTTTATGTACTAGCAACAACATGAAGAAACCATTCTAAGTTTGGGAGGCCGAGGTGGGTTGATCATATAGGTCACGAGTTCAAGACCAGCCTGGCCAACATGGCGAAACCCTGTCTCTACTAAAATACAAAAAAATTAGCCAAGTGTGGTGGCACATGCCTGTAATTCCAGCTACTTAGGAGGCTGAGGCAGGAGAATCACTTGAACGAGGGAGGCGGAGGTTGCAGTGAGTGGAGATCATGCCACTGCACTCCAGCCTGGGCACAGAGCAAAAAATAAAATAAAAAAGAAAAGAAAAAAATTGTTTTTTAAATAGCTAAAATATAAAAATAGGCATAACATGAAATCTTGGCAAGGATGTTGAGAAACTGGAATTCTCACACATAGCTAGTGGAAGTGTGAAAATGGTATAACCACTCTGGAAAATAAGTTTCTTTAAAAACTAGGCATGTACAACCAGGTGTGGAGGCTCATGCCTGTAATCCCAGCACTTTGGGAGGCTGAGGTGGGTGGATCACTTGAGGTCAGAGTTCAAGACCAGCCTGGCCGACATGGTGAAACCCTGTCTCCACTAAAAATACAAAAATTAGCCAGGTGTGGTGGCAAGTACATGTAGTCTTAGCTACTCGGGAGGCTGAGGCAGGAGAACTACTTGAGCCTGGGAGGCGGAGGTTGCAGTGAGCCGAGATGGTGCCACTGCACTCCAGCCTGAGCGACAGAGCCAGACTTCATCTCAAAAAGAGAACAACAAACTAGGCATGTACTAACAATACAACCCAGTAGTGAAATGGAAAGTTATATTCACACACAAACTTGTACACTCACAGCGATTTTATTCATAATAACCAAACAGTGGAAACAACCCAAATGTCCTTCAAAGGGTGAAGAGTTGAACAAACTGGTTCATCCATAAAAGAAAATATTACTCAGCAATGAAAACTATTGATGCATGCAGTAGCTTGGATGGATATTAAGGGCATTCATTTTACTTAGTAAAAACAGCCAATTTGAAATGGTTTTTTTAAAAAATATTGTACAAGTTCATTTCAAAACATCCTCAAAATGACAAAACTATAGAGATAGAGAACAGGTTAGTGGTTGCTGTTAGGGACGGGTGGGTGGATGGGTGAGCCTGGATAGGATGGGTATGAGATAGTTCCCCAGAGATGATAGAATGGTTCCGTATCCTGATCCTGACATTACATAAATCTACACATAGGGTAAAATTGCATAAAACTATACACACACACACACACACACACACACACACACACACAAATTAATGCAGGGTAAAAATAAGTGAAAACTGAGTAAGGTTGCAGTGTAATGTAGCAGTGTTAATTTCTTGGTCCTTGGCTCTCATGTTGCAATAGAGTTATAAAAGATGTCACCACTGGAGGAAGTAAGGTGAGGGAGGGCTCAACAAACTCTATTTCTTATTTTTACAAGTCCCTGTGGGTCTCCAATTATTTTGAAATAAATAGTTTTGTAAAAGCCAGCACTGATGCTGGTTCTTCTCCTTTAATATAGAATTTCTTAAATTCTGTAGTTAGAGCTCATGCAGTTCTCCAAAATAACATCACTGAACGACAGCTAAATCATGTGCTGTACTGGTTGGAGACAGAGTGGCATTTACATAAATCCAGCATTTGTAGAGAGACATAACCCTGATCAGATGGAGACATATTGCTTTAAACATAGCACAGGATCAAGAAAATGCATCCTTACACTACTCACACATTCGGTTAAGGGCCAGAAAACCGAGCTAGATGAACATTTTCTAGAAACTATATTGTACGTGTGTGTGTGTGTGTGCGCACGTGCATGTGTGCGCGTTATTGGGAGACAGAAGGAAAGAGATAAATCATTTTGATTTTCTGGTATCACAAAGTTAGAAAAGGTTGAAGTTAAATTTGGTCGTAAGAAATGAGAGAATGGATATTGTGTGAATCGTAGAATAACTATCATAGGATATAGACTAAGAAGACACAGAGTGCACGAAAACGTGGATAAACCAAGTCGAAAGTACCAGTGGGCAAAGGGAACTTATATCCTGGATATTTCATGGTTACAATTACCTTTATAACTAGAGGCCAAAAGAAGGGACTGGAAGCCTGGTGCGGTGGCTCACGCCTATAATCCCAGCACTTTGGGAGGCCGAGGCAGGTGGATCACCTGAGGTCAGGAGTTCAAGACCAGCCTGACCAACCAACATGATGAAACCGTCTCTACTAAAAATACAAAACTTAGCTGGGCGTAGTGGTGGGCGCCTGTAATCCCAGCTACTTGGGAGGCTGAGGCAGGAGAATCACTTGAACCCAGGAGGAGGGAGAGGGTGAGTTGAGGGTCTGGTGGAGATACCTTACCCTCCCTCCTTCCTGTCCCTGCAGGCTCATGCATGTGCCCCAACCCAGTAGTGACTTTTTTTCTCCTATTATCTGATTGCCTCCTTTTAGCACCTTCTTGATTTAAAAACAAAACCAGTGTGACACCTTCTGACATTGTGGTGTCCTCAACATCCTATCTGGAACTGGAGCTTTCATGAGTTCTGTATTGTTCTGATGGCGTTGACATCTCTGCCACCAGAGCCCAAGCTGCATGTAGTAAAGTCTTCAGCCTCTAAACCCAGATTGCCTGGGTTCAAACCTCATTTTTCACGTTTACTTGCTGCATGACCTTGAGCAAAACCTAACTCTGTGTCTAAACCCCAGTTCCCCTGCTGGAAAATGGTGCTAACTACAGTGTTAATGTCCTCAGCTTTGTGAGGATGAAGCTGAGTAAATTACAATTAGCTATGGTAACATCTGAAACTTTGGCTGCCTGTAGCTTGGGCACCATGGCCTTGGAAACCTGAACTTGAGCCCACTCAGGACATGGGGGTGCCAAGCTTTTCCTCGCTCAGAGGCTGGCTCTGCAAGACCATGTGTGTGTTTCAGCGTTGAGAAACATTGTCAGGGGAAGACGGCCCCAGGAGCTACCGAAAAACATTGATCCACTCTTTTTATTGTGTTTCAGAAAGGAATTCTTCATTCTTCACCTTCTCCCATAACTCTTTGTCCAAAGATAATTTAACAAAGTATAAAGGAGCATTATAGCTTTTGCTGTAAAATTTAACTGCTACACTAGGAACTCAAACATCATCGTAAAACCACTGATGATGATGTTTGGGGTGGAAGTGTTCGCAGATGGTCACCCAGCTTCCCAAAGGAAGTTCTCAGCTTCAGAGTTCAGGGGCATTGCATATCACTATGACAAGCCTCAGCCTCACACCGCTCTCTGCCATCTGGAAGGACTCGTTCATCTCCACGGCCACCTCGCCAGCCTCTGGTGCTGACTTGGCAGAACTAATGAGAACAGTGAATGCCTGGCTACACAATTAGGACAAAATAAAACACATGCCGGGGTTTAAGTAAACTTCCATTTTCCTTTTCACAGAAGCAAACCTTGAAACAATTGGAGAGGAGAGGCTTGAGGTCAGGGCATCCCCTCTCACCTGCTCCAGTTGACCAAAGAGGACCAACAGGTCTCGGCTGTTGGAGTTTATTCTCAATAACACCTTCTCCTTGGTAGTTTCAACATTTCTCCTTAGGTTTTTTATAAAAGTTATGGTGAAAAACACATATAATAAAATTTACCATTTTGGCTGGGCGTGGTGGCTCACGCCTGTAATCTTAGCACTTTGGGAGGCCGAGGCCAGCAGGTCACTTGAGGTCAGGAGTTCAAAACCAGCCTGGTCAACATGGTGAAACCCTGTCTCTACTAAAAATACAAAAAAATTAGCCGGGCGTGGTCATGGGCACCTGTAATCCCAGCTACTTGGGAGGCTGAAGCAGGAGAATTGCTTGAACCTGGGAGGCAGAGGTTGCAGTAAGCCGAGATCATGCCATTGCCCCCAGCCTGGGCAACAGAGCTAGACTCCATCTCAAAATAAAATAAAATAAAATAAAATAAACTATTTTAACCATTTTAAGTGTACAGTTAGTAGTGTTAAATACATTCACAGTGTTGTGCAGCCATCCCCATCATCTATCTCCAGGACTCTTTTCATCTTGCAAAACTGAAACTGTGTCCCCATCCCCTCCCCACTGCATGGCCCCTGGCAACCACCATGTTACTTTCTGTCTTTGTGAATTTGATGAGTCTAGGCACCTCATATAAGTGGAATAACGCGGTATTTGTTCTTTTGTGATTAGCTCATTTCACTTAGTAGAAATGTTGTCCTCAATACTATTCCATTGTATGAATCCACCACATTTTGTTTATGTACTTGTCTGTGGATGGATGCTTGGCTTGCTTCCACTTTTTGGTTAATGTGAATGATAGTGCTTCGAACGCAGTGTACAAATATCACTTCAAGACCCTGCTTTCTTTGGCATGTATACTCAACAGTGGAATTTTTGGATCATATGGTAATTCTATTTTTAAGTTTTTGAGGAACTGCCATCCTGTTTTACATAGTGCCTGCACTATTTTACATTCCTACCAACAGTGCACAAGGGTTCCGATTTTTCCACATCCTCACCAATACTTATTTTCTGGGTTTTTTTTTTTTTTTTTTTTGATAGTGGCCATCCTAATGGTGCGAGCTGCCCCCTTACTTTTTTTTTTTTTTTTTTTTTTTTTTTTGAGACAGAGTCTCACTCTGTCACCCAGGCTGGAGTGCAGTGGCACGATCTCGGCTCACTGCAAGCTCCGCCTCCTGGGTTCACGCCATTCTCCTGCCTCAGCCTCCCGAGTAGCTGGGACTACAGGCGCCCGCCACCACGCCTGGCTAATATTTTTGTATTTTTAGTAGAGACAGGTTTCACCATGTTAGCCAGGATGGTCTCGATCTCCTGACCTCGTGATCCACCTGTCTCGGCCTCCCATAGTGCTGGGATTACAGGCGTGAGCCACTGTGCCCCGCCTATTTTTTTTATTTTTAGTAGAGACGGGGTTTCACCGTGTTAGCCAGGATGGTCTTGATCTCCTGACCTTGTGATCCGCCTGCCTCGGCCTCCCAAAGTGCTGGGATTACAGGCATGAGCCACTGCGCCTGGCCGCCCCCTTACATTTTAAGCAGGAGCAACTACTGCCAGCGCCATTTCTCAAATGCAGTAATGGTGGTGCCTAAGGCAAGACCTGGGAGAGCAGCACGATGAGACCCTGAGAGTCCACCCGGCTCCTCCCACATGCCTGGGATAATCGATACTGTCTGCTTCCAGAGGTCAGGCTGCATCTTTTGCATGTCTTTATTCTCAGCTTCTAACAAGAAACATCCAATAAATGAACTGATCAAATGAGAGGGATTTGTTCTTCCTTTCTCTCCATTTCCTGCCCTTTTCCCCACCTCTCAGTAAGATGAACCCTCTGTCTGCCCAAGCAAAGCCTCTGGGACAGGGGACAGTGGCTCAGAAACAGCCAGGCAGTTTCCATGAACTCCTTCTTCCCACTTATTTCTTTGGCCTCATCAGTCAGTGTGGAAAAGAGCCTAGCAAAACCATTATTTTTCCTTTTCATTTATTTATTTTAGAGACATGGTCTCACTCTGTCGCCCAGGCTGGAGTGCAGTGGTGTGATCATACTTCATCGGAGCCTGGAACTCCTGAGCTCAAATGATCCTCCTGCCTCAGCCTCCCAAGTAGCTGGGACTATAGGTGTGAGCCACTGCACCTGGCCCAGACCCATTCTTGAGATTTGCAAGGTGGAGGGGAAAACAGCAGCCACCTTGCTCAGAATGTCAGTGCAGGCACCACAAGCTTCACAGCCCAGGTGCACTGTCCCTGACCTGCCGGCCCACCTCCTGGGCATGGGAGAGCAACCCGGCCTGCAGCAACCACTTCCCCCCGGTTTCTCCCAATTCCCTGTCTGCTGGGCCAGGTAGTTCATGCTCAGCTCCATGGCAAAGGCACCAGCTTCTCCTGCAATTCACCTGACAGGTGCTTCCCAGAGGTAGGGAGAAGCCCAGGAGGGCTCCAAACTCATTCTCCAGGGTGAGCTTGTCCTTTTCCTCACTTTGTGTCATCTGTCCTTCCTCACAGCTGACCAGGCACAGAAGCAAAAAACGTACATAAACTCTAACCAGTTCCCACATTTGCATGAGATCAAATTCCTATAATAAACCCCCACATTCTATATCATCCCATTGGTTCTGCTTCTGAGGCTTCACAGACACAGAACCACTCACTGGGACTGAGATGCGGGAAAGCTGGAATGGATCCTCCAGTTAGAGTCTGAGGGTGAGATTCAGGGAGCAAACTGTGAGTCATGGGAGGACAGGGCTCACAGAGGCCATGAGAGATGGCCCAGAAACCAGAAAAGCCACCTGAGGCAGAGACAGGAGAACCTCCAGGCACGTGGCCAGGAGTGGGAGGATGAGCCTGGTGATGAGATCAGGGGATGGCCAGGAGGGTGGGTGTCAGGAAATCCGTAGCCTCTACCCTGCACCTGCATGGGACAAGAGAGTGAAGCTCCAAGAGCACCGACCTCTTCTTTCCTGAGCAGTCAGAGTTCCATTTGTCCACTACTGCAATGAGACAGGTGACACTTTGTCTTTCACAGGCACTTTTCAGTACTGTGTCTGTCCCTCTAGAGGCACTGGATAAGCGTGTAGGCACTGGAGTTGATAGGCCTGGGTTTGTGTGTGTCCCAGCTACACCATGACCAGCCATGGGATATTTAGCGAGTTATTTAACCCTCAGTGTTTCAGTTTCCCCATCTGTAAGTAAGGATGTCTATCTCATGAGGTTGTTGTGACTTATTTATTTATTTATTTTTGAGATGGAGTCTCGCTCTGTCACCCAGGCTGGGAGTGCAGTGACACAACCTAGGCTCACTGCAACCTCCGCCTCCTGGGTTCAAGCAATTTTCCTGCCTCAGCCTCCCAAGTAGCTGGGATTACAGGCGCCAGCGACCACACCTGGCCAATTTTTTGTATTTTTAGTAGAGATGGGGTTTCACCGTGTTAGCCAGGATGGTCTTGATCTCCTGACCTTGTGATCCACCTGTCTTGGCCTTCCAAAGTGCTGGGATTACAGGCGTGAGCCACCGCGCCCAGCCATGCATGCAAAACAGCTAGCACATGCCTGACACACAAAGAGTACTCAGAAAGGGTGATTTCGCTTCAAAACTCAAATGGGCCCCTGCCGGGTGGCTCTGCACTGGGAGTGTGGTCCTCCTCCACTCCAGCCGCAGCCAGGGGAATCTTCCAGCTCTTGTCTGCTTAGGCTCTGTCTCCTGCATGTAACTTTCTTCCTTTGGTTTCTCCAGGGGTTGTCTTAGCGTCTTCTGTGCTTTCTCACCAAGGGTGTTTTGGCCCTTTCTTGAGAGCCAGGCTGAGTCACCCTCCTGTGTGTCTCTCCTAAGTCTGTGGGTGCTGCCACCCTGGGGTGGGAGGGCCATGTGACCAGATCAGTCTCCTTCAGGGCACACTGCTGGCAGCCACCACCCATCAGGGCAGCCTCTGGGGACCTGTTTTCTAGATTGCATTTCAGAGAAGAATGATATTGATCATCATTATCAGAGAACATATGCTTATCTTACCTAGGACATGTCTGTAATTTTTGTAAGAAGAACATAGCAACAAAGGTTTTCGCATTGATTTCTGTGTTTCTCTGTTCTATTAGTGGCTGGCAACCTGCTGAGAACTTCAGATTCACAAGAGGCTCACGGGAGGGAAAGCAGATTTAGGACCCTTCAAAGTGCGTTTCCTGGATCATCTGTGAAAACATTTTTTTTTTTTTTTTTTGAGACAGAGTCTCACACTGTCGCCTGAACTGGAGTGCAATGGCGTGATCTCAGCTCACTGCAACCTCCGCCTCCCGGGTTCAATCGATTCTCCTGTTTTAGCCTCCCAAATAGCTGGGATTACAGGGGTCTGCCACCACGCCCAGCTAATTTTTTGTATTTTTAGTAGAGACGGGGTTTCACTATGTTGGTCAGGCTGGTCTCGAACTCCTGACCTTGTGATCTGCCCGACTCGGCCTCCCAAAGTGCTGGAATTACAGGCGTGAGCTACCACGCCCGGCCTCTGTGAAAACATTTTTAAGCCTATGGACACTATAGACATGGCTACAGACAGATGAACTAGCCATTATTTCTAAGACTCTAAGAAAGAGATAGGCAGCCCACGAAAATTAGGAAACAGAAACAGAGGTGGGAGTGGAGGAAGCCCAACCTTGGTCAGGAACTAACCAGCTAGTTAGAGAGTCCAGAGCAGGACATGAGACCAAGAGGATGAGGAAAAGGGCTGTGGAAATCAAGATGCCAGGCTGCCTGGTCCTAACCTTCTGCCCGAGAGGGCTGAGACACAGGCCCTCTGTCAGGCTGCCCTGGGCCTCAGGCTCAGCGGGCATCCCCGTCACCCACCACCTTGTGCAGCCATCGGGATGAGACCCTGCAGAGCTCTCTGAGAGATGCCACATAAGAGCGCCTCCTGCCCAATGTCCACCCACTGATCTGAAATTCTGCTTTTGGTGACAAGTAGGGCTTGGTGCTTTGAATATCTTCCCCCAAAGCCTCATCTTTTAACCTAAGTTGCACCTGTGTTGATGAATGCTGATGGCGTAGGTTGATGGATTCCATCATGTTTCTTAATATCGCAGCTGAAGACATGAAATAATGAGTTGCAGCAGCTAATGTCACAGGTCAACTTGACTGGATTAAGGGATGCCCAGATGGCCTGTAGAGCAGTCTTTCTGGGTGTGTGTGAGGGTGTTTCTGAAAGGGATTGGCATTTGAATCCATTGACTAAGTAAAGATCACCCTCACCAATGTGGGTGGGCATATCCCATCCACTGAGAAGCCAGACAAAACAAAAAAGGAGGAGGCAAAGGGAATTCTCTCTCTCTCTTTTCTGGATCTGGGACCTGCATTTTCTCCAGCCCTTGGACGTGTGCATTCCTGGTGCTCAGGCCTTTGGACTCCAGGACTTACACCATAAGCTCCCCAGGTTCTCTGGCCTTTGGGCTCAGGCTGCAGTACACCCCTGGCTTTCCCGGGCCTCCAGCCTGCAGACAGCCTGCCGTGGGACTTCCCAGCCTCCATAATCACATGAGCCAGTTCCTATAATAAATCTTATCTTATTTATTTATTTATTTTTATTATAATTTGAGAGGGCGTCTCACTCAGTTGCCCAGACTGGAGTGCAGTGGCATGATCTCGGCTCACTGCAACCTCCGCCTCCCAGGTTCAAGTGATTCTCTTGCCTCAGCCTCCGGAGTAGCTGAGATTACAGGCATGTGCCACCACACCTGGCTAATTTTTGTATTTTTAGTAGAGATGGGCCAGGCTGGTCTGAAACTCCTGACCTCAAGTGATCTGCCTGCCTCAGCCTCCCAAAGTGCTGGGTTTACAGGTGTGAGGCACCATGCCCAGCCCCTAAATTTCCTCTTATTTATCTCTGTATAGCCTATTGAGTGTGTTTCTCTGGAGAATCCTGACTAATATAAAAGTTGAGTCATAGGAAGCAAAATACTTGTCTGTAAAGGGGAAATGAGATCCAATGTATTTTAAAAGTTTCCTTTCCCTTTTTGTTATACTTAAAGCAGTATGAAAAAAGGAAAAGGTAAACAATCAAAAATTCAACCAATCAGATCATCAAGTCATACACCTTAAATATATGCAATGCAGAAAACACAGCCAGGTTAACATTTTGTGAAGCAAATTTAAAAGCTTCCATAAAAGCTTCTAAAGAGACACTCTGTGAGTGTGACTGTCTCACAGAGCAGGGGAATTGGAAAAAAATCCACCTCTGAGTGTGGAGTGGTGAGCCCTCTGACAGCCATCAGCCCTGACCGGGTCTGTCTCAGCCCCTTCAAGTGGTGTCAGAGGACTTGTCTTCTCACACTGCAGGCTAACTCTGCCACATCCTGGTAAAAAGAAGTCTGACCAAGGGGTCATCGTCCCCTTGGTTTGTCCAAAGGTCTGCCTTAAAAGGAGCTTTTTATAAAGGGTAAGGGAAATGCTCTGTTGCACAAAGGATTTATTCCAAATTGAGGGTAATACATCAAGAATGACTTTTGTCTGCTCTGATGTTTGCAAAACTGCTGTATATTTGCATTGTTCAGGGTACATTGTCTAGCAACAACATATGTGTGATCCTCCAACAGACACTGTTACCTGCATGCTCCAGGTTAGCCTGGGCGATGGCAGCTGCTCTGTGAACCGGGGTGGGGGCTGCTGTCCCACCAGGTCCTCTGGTGCCATGGCATGTGCATGAGGGCCCTCTCTCAGGAGTGCCCACACTTTGAGCTTCTAGGCTCTTAACAAAGGTGGTATTGGACGCTGCTTCCCTGTATCATCCCTGCCGGGTAGGGAAGAAAGACAATCTGCACAGTGGATTTTTTTCCAATTCCCATTTAATTTTGGCTCTTGGGACAATGTCATCTTTTCATTATGAGGAAAAAGCAGCAAGTTCAACCCAAAATAGAAATCTGAAGTGTAGGGTAGGACAAAACCAAGAGCAGGGGAAAAAAGGGAATAGCAAAAGGAAGAGATGAGATGTTGCCCCATCCCCTCTCATCTTGGGAATGACTCAAACATTTAGGTGGGGGAACACACCTTCCCACATATGTCAGGGATGTTACACCTTTTAAGGGGTAAGACAAATTGGGAATGGAGAGGGCATTTCTAGAGGCTAAGGGACCCAGGCAGATCTCTCCCTCTTAATCTCCTTTTCTGATTAGGGAAAAGGAAGGGATCCAAAATGTGAGAGGGGGCCAGGCGTTGTGGCTCACGTCTAATCCCAGCACTTTGGGAGGCAGAGGTGGGCGGATCACCTGAGGTCAGGAGTTCGAGACCAGACTGGCCAACATGGTGAAAACCCAGCTCCATTAAAAATACAAGAATTAGCCCAGCATGGTGGTGTGTGCCTGTGATCCCAGCTACTCAGGAAGCTGAGGCAGCAGAATCGCTTGAACCCGGAAGGCAGAGGTTGCAGTGAGCTGAGATCGCACCATTACACTCCAGCCTGGGCAATGGAGGGAGACTCCGTCTCAAAAAAAAAAAAAAGAAAAAAAAATTTGTGAGAGAAGAGGAGTGGTGGGAGAAGGAAAGACCTCTCTTGGTGAAGCGGGGCGACTCCTCCAAAGGAAACTGAAAATGGGATAATGCTGTTACCACCTCCCCTGAACCTGAGAATTGGAGCACAGAAATACCTGGGAATTATGGCTTTATGAGCCTGGATTTCCCTCTCCAAAACCGTTCTAGAATGGAAAATCCCATCCTCTTCCTTGCAGTAACTTCTTTCTTTTTTTTTATTGTTACTTAAAAAAAAAATAGAGACGTGGTCTTGCTATGTTGCCCAGGCTGGTTTCAAACATCTAAGCTCAAGCAATCTTCCAGCCTCAGCCTCTCAAAGTGCTGGGATGACTGGCGTGAGCCACCATGCCCAGCCCCTTGCAGTAACTTCTTCCTGCCACCTTCTACCTTCCCAGTGCTGGCTACTACGTGGACATAGGATGGTGCACATTATCTGGGTTTTCAGCACCCGGTTGGTTCTAAATGGGATCTGAATGGGACCCAGCTTCCTGGAGAATTATTTTGAAAACAGAGGGACATATTAATTGGGCAGATGGGAGGAGGGTACCAGAAGGAAATACACGGTTACCCAGATCGGCAGAAATCTAGGTTTCCTGGAGTGGAAAGAGAGAGGAGACATTCAGCAGACAAATATTTATTGAGCACTTACTATGTACCAGGCACTGCTCTAGACCCTCCCTCTCCCCAGATAAACAAGGTAAAGGCAGCAAACACGACTACTGAGGGAGAAGAAAGGGGCAGCCAAGGAAGAAGGCTGAAGGAATTGAGATGCCAGAGGTGATGGGAGCTCTGCCTTAGGCCTCCCACTGGGCTTCCTCACTGAGTCCTCTCCCTCTTCTGCGGCGGCGTCCTAGACTGTCGATGTTCAGAGATGAAGTCATTCATGTTGTTCTCGGCCTCAGCGAACTCCATCTCGTTCATGCCCTCCCCTGCATACCAGTGGAGGACAGCCTTCCCGCACAATACAGCAGGGAACTGCCCTGAGAGGCCATGGAGAGCTTCTGGGTGGCCGCGCTGTTGCCGACGAACGTGACCGCCATCTTGTGGCCATGAGGAAGGATGTCCCACATGGCTGTCTTGACCGTTGTTAGCATCCATTCCATGAAATAGCTGCTGGCGACTCTTGTTCTGCACACTGAGCATCTGCTCATTGACTTCCTTCATGAATGGATGGATATTCATGGAAGAAGGCAGTCCTGGTGGGGCAGCCATCATGTTCTTGGCATCAAAGACCTGCTGGGTGAGTTTGGGCATGGTGAGAGCCCTATACAGCTGGCTTCCACAACTGGTGAGAGGGGCAAAGGTAGCCATGAAGAACTGGAGGCGTGGGAAGGACACTGTATTGACTGCTAGCTTGCAGAGGTCCGAATTGAGCTGGTGAGGGAAGCAGAGGAAGGTGGTGACCCCACGCATGTTAGCTGAGACAGGTGGGTCAGGTCCTCATAGTTTTGTGTGGTCAGCTCGAGGGTGCGGAAGCGAATATTATAAGGAGCCTCAATGTCTGTGCCGCAGGTCTCATCAGTGTTCTCTACCAGTGGATGGATGGGGAGGGGGCACTGCAGGGCTCAGCCACAGTGCCAAACACTTTGAGTGAGGGCATTACACTGGAGGTGTTCATGATGTGGTCAGGATCCTCTTCTCGGATCTTGCTGTGGAGGAGGGTGCCCATTCCAGAGCCTGTGCCCTCACCCAGTGAGTGGGTCAGCTGGAAGCCCTGAAGGCAGTCACAGCTCTCAGCTTCCTTCTGCACATATCCAGGAATGAATCAACCAGCTCAGCTCCACTGTGTACTGCTGCCTGCCCCAAACTGACCGAAAACAAAGTGGTCTGGTCTGCAGATCTAAGCAAAAGTGCTCACTACCCGATGCGCTAGAAGCCAACGCTATGACACTGGGTTTTTCAGAAAAGAAACGCTTTTTATTGCAGGTCTATCAACAAGGAGATAGCATTCTAGCTCAAATCGGTCTCCCTGTGCTGGGCATAAGGCTGTACTTTTGTTAGAAAAGGTTCAGGGAGTGAAAAGGGTGGTCTGCAAAGTCCTTGGGCATGGACAATTATCTCTTCCTGCCTTTTTATGGGGCCCACGTGCAAATTCTGGGGGAGTTAGGATGAAACATGCAGAGGAAATTCAGGTCGTAGCATCACCAGTCTCGTTCTGCGTATACTCCAGTGGGCCGTATTGGTTTCAACTGATTTCAGCCTGTTTTGTTACCTTATAGTTGGAGGGAATTTCAGCAAGCTGTTTCTTTTCTTATCTGCCATCCTGCAGGCTTAAGAATTTCTGTGAGTCACTGGTTTCTTTAACTCTTTGGGGCATGGTTTCAAAAGGATCTGAGCAGAGTCCATGATCCCAGGTTCTGGATCCACCAGGATAGTGGGAGGAACATATTTGTCCCCAGTGCCTTCACTGTGGCACACCAAGATGTGGTCCAGCTACAGATCGTGGTCCCTGGGCAGGTACTGGTAGGTCCATGCTATGACCATCACTGATAACTTCCCAGAATTTGGCACTGATCTGACTGCCACAGTGTCCTGTCTGGATGTGCACAATTTCCTCCATGGTTAACATTTAATTTTTTTGCCCACCTCAAGGATATATGGAGCAAGAACATATGTCTTTTTTTTTTTTTTCTCTGCTGGTAGCAGGCTGAAGGTGTGCCAGAGGCTGGAGGAATAAGATTTGAATGTGGTGGTGGGAAGGTTCTAAGAGGGGCCACGCTGGGATGTTGCAACAAGAAATTCCAGCCCAGAACCAAACTCACGCCGTCATCTCCTCTCTAGCTGAGCGTCACAGACCAGTGAGAGTAGCTTCTCCCTGGGGGCCAGCTTCAAGGAAATGCCTGGAATTTCATTAGAGCTGAGGAACCCACAAAACATCCTTATAGCAGAGCTTCTTGTAATGAAAGAGGGAAGGACAAAGCCCAGTATTCTGACTGTGGAATGCACGTGAGGAAGACAGCAAAAAATGTCAGAAGGCAAGGACAATGGTCAACAATGCAAAGCAAAAGGCCCTATCTACTGACTCCGAAGGAGGAAAAACATCACAGAGATGCAGAAAAGCTGGTATCTGATTAAAAATTCCACAGAGTTGCCACGTTTGTAAAATAGGAATGCAATCTTCTCTTTTACACATATTTTGGGAATTTGATTGCCCAGATAAAATTAGAGAACAGAAGTCATCAATCCAAGCTTGAAGGAGTGGAGGTGCAGCGAAGGCAGACAGAACGCACAGGCAGAAATGGCAGCCTTGGTTTAAAGGCAACGAAATAAGCTAAGAAAATGCCTGTTAGTTGCTCAAAGAAGCTTCCTGAATGATGCGATTCCTGTACCAGAGAAGGGCATGAAGTGAGGGCTTCATTCATTCACCGAACAAACTCTTATGAAGAGTCAGAAGGCTTGGGAGGTTTGGGAGGAGCAGAAAACATCAAACCCCGAGATAAAGCCACTTGAGATGACACTGGAAGGAAAATCGGGAATTGGATGGGGAAGAAGAGAGGAGCCAGCATGCTGGGATATTGGTGGTGTGGTCAGGGACAGCAGATAAAGTGGCTGGGAAGGGCAGAGGGGTAAGGCTGGGAAGCAGTAGAGAAGCTTGAGACATAAGTTAAGGGTGCACGTGGAGGGTCTTGACTCCCAGGCCAGGAGCGTGGACTCTATCCATTAGACGCTAGGGGATGATGGGAAAATCTGTGTCAAGGAGCAGAAAAAATTACATTTACAAAGTGTTTTTCTTTTTTAAGAGTTTTTTTTTTAATGAGTTTTAATATGCCTCTGTCTGTCCGACTAAAAGAGTTTCCCCACCAGGTTTCTTTCCCCAAGCTCTCTAAGAAAGGCTGGGTCATTTCCCTGCTGACTCTTTGGGCTTTTGTGATGCAAAGACCAGGGAAGGGGGAAGGGTGGAGTGAGAAGTGTCTCAGAGTCCGGGGCTAGGGACTGGGGGAGTTTAGACAAGAAAGCACAGAAGAAGCCCCAGGAAGTGATGGGAGTAGGAGACAGACAAAGAGGGTGTTTGAGAAATGTTTCTATAGGCAAAGTATCTCCTGCATGGGACTAAAGAGACATAAAGGACGGGAGCAATTTTTGAAAATACAAGTGGATGCTAGACTGCGTTTCTTTGAACATCACATCAGCCTGAGACCAGCCCACATGAATCATGGCTTCAAAGGGGTGACAGGTTAATCTGGCAGCAGAACTTATGGAGGATGATCAGAAAGAGTAGAAGAAATATAGAGGTGAAGGGATCATTGGAATAGACTTGGACTTGGGGACTGAATCACTGCAGAGGGATAAAGAAGGAGGAAGAGTCCCAGGTTTCAGTGCAGAATAGTCACATAGGGGATGGGAGATGAGACTCAGCTTGGATGCCTTCACCTCTTTGTAGAGGTTGTCCAGAGCACCGTGTTGAAAAACATTACGAGGTCAATCTGGGAAAATGTTATGGCCAAATGGAGATCTTTGCCATGAGCTGCGGAGCTAGCTCTGCCTTTATTGACCCTGAACTTAGGGAATAACAGCATTGTTGACGGCATTGATGGCTTAAGGACATCAGCATGGAAGCTGGGTTTCTGGAAGAGAGAATGAACTTGGCTGAAACTGAAGCAATGCACACCGCTTTTGCTATTTGTTTTTGTTTTGTTTTTTTCTTTTTTTCCACCATCGATGCATTTTAAAGTTCCCAGATTTGTACTCCAGTACCAACAGGAATGAAGCATCGCAGTGTACCCCTGAAGCAGCCTCATCTGTTTACAGAAAACCTTGGGTGCCTTCTGAAGAGGAGGTTGTAGACTGACTCTCAGAAATGGCATATGACCAAATGGACAGCTGACATCTAAGTATTTATCCTGGACAGCTGTTCTCCCTGTGCTCTGCACTGAAATTTACCCTGAAGTTTTTCTAGGTGTAGACAAAGATTGGATGGTACGTTTTACGAAGTGTTACTCAATTGTGAGTATGAAGAGCAATCATTTAATTCTCAAAGTTGCTCAAACAACAAAGGCATCTCCACTCTGAACTGTGAGCTCCAACAGGGCTAGGACCTCTGCTATATCCCCAGGCCCCAGTAGAGTCTGTAGTACACTAGGCAACACCTGATTGCTAACTGCAGGAATGAATCAGTGTCTTTTTTTGTTTCCTCTTTCTTCTGCTCAAGGAGCCCCAAAGTTGTGCTTAACAGTATTTAAGTACATTGTTCTCAATAGAAGTCTACCTGGGCTGTGGGCCAGAACAAATTTTATTACTATTGTGGCAAATACATTTTCTAACTCAAATTAGCAAATATTTTTGAGCACCTACTGTGTTCATATCCTTATTGAACTATTCCACCTCTAGAAATGTATCCTACAGATGTACCTGCTCATATGCACTTGTGTAAAGGGTATGACTTGGTCCATTTTGTGCTGCAATGACTGAATATCACAGATTGGGTAATATATAATAAACAGATTATTATTATTATAGATTGAGTATTAATTAGTAATAATTGGGTAACAATAATAATTAATATTATAGATTGGGCAATCTATAATAAACAGATGACTGGTGCACAGTTCTGGGAACTGTGTATGGGGTGAGGGCCTTCTTGATCAGTCATAACATGGCAGAAGGGCAAAGAGAGGTGAGAGAGAGATGAACGGGGGTGAATCCACTCCCACAATAACAGTATTAATCCATTCATGAGGGCAGAGCCCTCATGGCCTAATCACCTCTTAGAGGTCCCACCTCTTAATACTGTTACAATGGTAATTAAATTTCAACATGAGTTTGGGAGGGGGCAAACATTCAAACAATAATAGGGCACATTGATTGTGATAGCAAAATTCAGAAACAACCCACATATCCATCAATAGGGGACTGGTTAGATAAATACAGTGCCCCTGTTATAAAGAATAAACCAGATTCTAGGCAAAGGGGTCCAAGTTTTCAGTTTTTCCAAGTCCCCATGCAGACACACAGAAACTAGGCAGCAAAACCCACAACCCAAGGAAAATATTTATGACAAAACTAGGTGACAAATTATTCCCACTAACCTAGCATATATAAATGGCCAACAGCCTCAAGAGTTGCATGGTATCTGGGTTTGAGGGGCTGAAAGAAGTTAGAAAGCAAGGGGGTGAGGCATGATAGACCTGAGAACAGAAGAACCCCAGATATACCAGTATTCACTAGAAAGTATTGTGGGCCAATTCGAGACGAGCAGGTGGAGCTGAAGAGTTGCCTCTCTAGTGCGAGGTAGTTCAGGTGCCCACAGTAAGAAGGCAGGAGGAGGCCAGGCACGGTGGCTCAAGCCTGTAATCCCAGCACTTTAGGAGGCCGAGGCGGGCGCATCACGAGGTCAGGAGATCGAGACCATCCTGGCTAACAGGGTGAAACCCTGTCTCTACTAAAAATACAAAAAAATTAGCCAGGTGTGGTGGCAGGTGCCTGTAGTCCCAGCTACTCGGGAGGCTGAGTCAGGAGAATGGGCGAACCTGGGAGGCGAACCTGGGAGGCGGAGCTTGCAGTGAGCCGAGATGGCGCCACTGCACTCCAGCCTGGGTAACAGAGCGAGACTCTGTCTCAAAAAATAATAATAATAAATAAATAATAATAATAATAATAATAATAATAAAGAAGGCAGGAGGAGGCAGGAGGAGGCAGGAGCAGTCGAGCCCCTAGGAATTCCCAAGACTGATCAGGAAGGGCTCCACACTCAGGAGAAAGCGCTGGGAGAGGAATCAAAATTGAGCAAGACAAGGATGAAAGAAAGGAAGGAGCAGTTTCCATCTGCATTGGGGGAAAGAAACAGCCAGCAAATCCCTGAAAGCAGGTGGCTCTATTTTTGAACACAGAAGTAGGAGCCCTGTGAAGTTTGAAAAGCATTCCTTAACATGGCCTTTGTGATGATTAGTACTGAGTGTCAACTTGATTGGATTGAAGGATGCAAAGTATTGATCCTGGGTGTGTCTGTGAGGTGTTGCCAAAGGAGATTAACATTTGAGTCAGTGGGCTTGGAGAGGTAGACCCACCCTTAATCTGGTGGGCACAATCTAATCAGCTGCCAGCAAATATAAAGCAGGCAGAAAAACGTGAAAAGGCAAGACTGGCCTAGTCTCCCAGCCTACATCTTTCTTCCATGCTGGATGCTTCCTGCCCTCAAACATCAGACTCCAAGTTCTTCAGTTTTGGGACTCGGACCGGCTCTCCTTGTTCCTCAGGCTTGCAGACGGCCTATTGTGGGACCTTGTGACCATATAATTTAATACTTAATAAACTCCCCTTTCTCTGTCTATCTATCTATATCTATCTATCTGTCTGTCTGTCTGTCTATCTATCTATCTATCTATCTATCTATCCCTCTATTCTATTAGTTCTGTCCCCCTAGGGAACCCTGACTTGTTCTAAAAGTTTAGGAAAACTTGATTTCACATGAAAAAACGAGCACTAGAAGAGTATCAAGTTCAATCCTATGCAAAGTAATTTTAAAAACTAGAGAGAATAAAGAATAGGGTAACACTGTAACTGACAAGTCATGGCAGAGAGACATAGTCATAAAACAGCAAGCTTCTGTTTGATCTATTTCAGAAAAAGACATTAAGTACATGATAGACATGGCAGAACAGCATCAATCAGAATTAGAGAAACTTGGAAATGAAGTGACAACTCAGGAAAAAAGTAGAACTAAAAATAATTATTCTGTAAGGTAGACTAATTATTATGAATCCATGGATTTAAATACATTTGATGGATGTCAATACCTGTGTTCCTGGAAGGAACACAAAAGTAAACAAATACAAGGGTAATGCCTCGAGAGACATAAAAGGTGAAATAAGACAAAAAAAAAAAAAAAGAAATGAAGAGAGAAGGATTTAAGAGAAAGTAGTGAACATTGAAGGCTATTGTACATATGAATAATAGGTTTTCCTCATGAAGAAAACCAAAGCAAGAGAACAGAGGAAGTACTAAGAGCTATAATCCAAGAAAACTTCCTTGAAATAAAAGATTTGATAATGTATATTGAAATGTGAATGCGGTGGCTCATGCCTGTAATCTCAGCACTTTGGGAGGCTGAGGTGAGCAGATCACTTGAGGCCAGGAATTCGAGAACAGCCTGGCCAACATGGTGAAATCTCATTTCTATAATAATACAAAAATTAGCTGGGTGTGGTGGCTTGCACCTGTAATCCCAGCTACTCAGGAAGCTGGGGCACTAGAATTGCTTGAACCCGGGAGGCAGAGGTTGCAGTTAGCTGAGGTTGTACCACTGTACTCACTCCAGCCTGGGTGACAGAGCAAGAACCTGTCTCAAAAAAGAAAGAAAGAAAGAAAGAAAAGGTTCAATGCACACTTGAGAATATCGGCCCAGGATGACTGCTGTCAAGATATATCCTACTGAAATTATTAGTACTTAAGAAAAAAAAAATCATTTGAACCTCTAGAGAAATTCTTTGGACATCTTGAAAAAGTCTTATGTGACTTATAAGGAAAAGAAAAATAGACTATTACCAGGATTTTTTGAGAAAAATGCTTTATACCAAAGGAGAATGGATTAGCATATTTAACATACTCAAGGAAAGACAGTATAAGCCAAAAATGTTATACCCAGAAAAACTGACCCTTAAGTGTAAAGGGCATAGCAAATTGCTACCAACATGCAATTTGGGAGGCTGAGGCGGGTGGATCACAAGGTCAGGAGATCAAGACCATCCTGGCTAACATGGTGAAACCCCGTCTCTACTAAAAATACAGAAAATTAGCCAGGTGTGGTGGCGCGCGCTTGTAGTCCCACCTACTCTGGAGGCTGAGGCAGGATAATCACTTGAACCCAGGAGGTGGAGGTTGCAGTGAGCCGAGATTGAGCCACTGCACTCCAGTCTGGGTGACAGAGTGAGACCCCATCTAAAAAAAAAAAAAAAGAAGGAAAAGAAAAGAAAAAGACAGACATGGGAAATTCGACTAGCCCAGATTTGTCAACGATAAGTTGTAAAGAAATGAAATGGATGGAGGAGGAACCATATAGATTAAAAGAGACTTAAAAGACCTAGCACACATTTTTTAGAATAGGTAGGACTAAAGTATAAGGTCTAGGGGAGCAAATTTGGGTGATAAAGCTATAAAAATAAAAATGAAAACAAGTCAGATTAATGTCACTTATGGTGGGAGGGAGAAGACAGGGATTAGGTAGGGAATATGGAGGTGCTTCTGGGGTGGCTGGCAAAGTTCTATTTCTTATCCTAGGTAGTATTTACCTTCAAATAATTCATTAAGCCATATATTTTATTTTGCAGTTTTCTGAATCCATATTTTATTTTTTTCTTTTGATATGGTGTCTCACTCTGTCACCCAAGCTGGAGTGCAATGGTGCTCTCGGCTCACTGCAACCTCTGCCTCCCAGGTTCAAGCAATTCTCCTACCTCAGCCTCCCGAGTAGCTGGGATTATAGGCACCCCCCCATCATGCCCAGCTAGTTTTTGTATTTTTGTAGAGACAGGGTTTCACCATGTTGGCCAGGCTGGTCTTGAACTCCTGACCTCAGGTGATCTGCCTGCCTTGGTCTCCCAAAGTGCTGGGATTACAGGCATGTGCTACCATGCCCTGCCCTGAATCCACATTTTATTTAAAATAAAATGACTTTTAAAAAATGAGTCAGATTTAGAGATACAGATGTGGATCAATTTCCAAAGTATATGGTTAAGTGAAATAAGACAAACTCAGAAGAGTGTGAATAGCATGCCACTGACATTTACACATAGAGGAGGTATTTGTGTATGCATAGACTGTCCTGGGAGGACACACAAGGAATTCAAAGCAAGTTCAGAGGGTGGGAGGCCAATTGACTTTCGATATATACCTTTGAACTTCCACTGGGCCTATGATTATCTCTCAAAAGAATAATCAATCAACTATATTTTAGAAAAAGTAATATTCTCAAAGAGCCTGACAATCTCTTTGCTCCAGTTTTACATTTGCCATTTGCCATACCACATTTTGGTCCATCATTTGTTCATTGGGGAGGATACACAGGCTGGTGGATGGGTGGGCCAGGAAACAGAGCAGCTTCAGCAGCATTTGAGCTTCACATAAACTGCAAAGCTTTGTCTCAGTTTAAACGTTATCTATCTGTACATTTCTAAGCTGAGAGTGTTTGAGGTTAGCCTGCCTTTGAATACTCCTATAAATACCACGGTTTGTGTCACCTGTGCATGTCACTGTGTGTAGACCCCAGAGCACCACCTGCAGGTGCCCACCTTTCTCACCTGCCCTTACTCGTGATGCCGGTAAGGGCTCTTCCACCCTTTGGGGGCCAAGTCACATCATCTTCACGGGACAGCACTACTGAGCTTGAGGCACTCAGTTCTCCTTCCTAATCAGCTTCCTTAGAGTGGACTTGATTTCATAGGGAATAAAAGATTTTCTTTTTTTCCTAGGGAAATAGCTCTCTGTTGAGATACTTTGCCAAGAGAAATAAAACAATATTTTGGTTAAGTTCCACGTTGAATTTCAAAATAAAATATTCAAAATCTGCTGAGCAGTTTACTCCTTTTCAATGTATTTTTGTTATTGCTAGATATTATAATTCCTTGGGTGAGATGTATAATGACTTCAGGGATTTATAATTACCTTGAAAGTAAATTGAGAATTACTTGGTATAATATGTTATGAATAAGATGGTATCTACGTAGAAATTAAACTGTCTTAACAGTTTATTTTATCACTTTCAAAAATTATTGTCATACAAATTCTTTTTTTCTGCTCATTTTCAGAGAATGAGCATTTTTAAGTTTTAAAAGACTCCATCAAATTACCATCACCGAAGATTGTACCAATTTCTATTCTCGACCACAATGTGGAATATGATCCACTGGATGTTATTTGGTCTAAAAAATTCTTGTGGCCATCTGATAGGCAGAAATGTCATTGCCACTTTAATTTGCATTGCCTTGGTTACTAAGTAGACTGATGATCTTTTTATTCATTATCGGTATTTCTTCGTTTTGTGAAATTCCCACTCACTTTCTTTATCCAGTTTTCTATCGAGTTTCCTCATGGACTCCTTTGCATATTAGGGATAGTGACCGTTTCCCTCGTCATAAATGTTGCAACTGTCTCCTTTCCCTCTTTTTTTCATCTAAATTCTTGGTGAGAAATCTACCATATAGATATATTTAATTCATATGTTGTCAAATGTGTCCTTCAAATTAAAATTGGAGTTTCAGGCCAGGCATGTTGGCTCATGCCTATAATCGGAGTACTTTGGGAGGCCAAGGCAGGCGGATCACCTGAGGTCACGAGTTCAAGACCAGCCTGGCCAACATAGTGAAACCCCATCTCTCCTAAAAATACGAAAGTTAGCCAGGCGTGGTGGTGCTTGCCTATAATCCCAGCTACTCGGGAGGCTGAGGCAGGAGAATCGCTTGAACCCGGGCGGCGGAGGTTGCAGTGAGCCAAGATCATGCCATTGCACTCTGGCCTGGATGACAGAGCGAGGCTCTGTCTCAAATAAATAAATAAATTAATTAATTAAATAAAATGAAATTGGAGTTTCACACCATTTTTTGGAGGGGCTTTGCTGTCTGCTTCTCAGTGCTTCCCAGGGTTCTCTCTTGCCCCCGAAGAGCACTCACTGACACCCAGGCCCTGTGGGAGAGCCCCCTTGCTCAGGAGTCATCTTTGCAGGTTCTTTTCTGTTTCTATCACCTCGTCTGGTGGACCTCACACTTGAGCAAGAGGCAGACTCCTCCAGAGGGCTTGAGAAAACCCCAACTGTTCAGAAATCTCAGAGCTTCTGATTCAGGAAGTCTACAGTGGGCCTGAGAATTCGTGTTCTAACAAGTTCCCTGCAGATGCTGCTGATGCTGCTGTTCTGGGACCACACATGGACCACCTGCCTCAAACACTGGTTTGACATCTTGACCTCTCTGGAAGCTATGCCTTTGTTCCCATCTCCCTTGCTTCCACCCAGGGCCAGGTCACATCACATCTCTTCTGGCATCCTTTCACAGCTTCTTCCCCCACATCCTTTGTGACTCTTCTGCCATCCACTCACCACACTGCAGCCAGAGGGATTTCAACAGGGGCTCATGGCACTCCCTTCCAGCTCTTCCCCTTTCGTCATTGGGCCATCTCGTGATTCTCTTCACATCTTTCTGCCCTCTGTGCTCTCCTGCATATGGGCTTTTGGTAGCTACGAAATGCCAGGTTCTTTCTTGCCCCAGGGTCTTTGCACATGCACGTTCTCTTGGCCTGGAAAACCTTCCTTTGCAGTGATATTGGTCATTTTAGTGAGATCACTTTGGCTGTTAGGCTGGTGTGTGGATCAGATCACTTAGCTCTGAATGAATGCAGCTGACAGCCAGCATTCTCTGTCAGAATGGCTTTGTGTTTTGGCTCATTAAGGAGCTCCCAGGAACACTGAAAGAGGGAATATATCTCTAATAAAAATACAAAAATTAGCCGGGCATGTTGGTGCATGCCTGTAATCCCAGCTACTCAGGAGGCTGAGGCATGAGAATTGCATGAATCCAGGAGGTGGAGGTTGCAATGAGCTGAGATCGCGCCACTGCACTCCAGACTGGGCAACAAAGCAAGACTCCATCTCAAAAAATAATAAAATAATATAAATAATAAAATAATAAACTAAAACAGTTTTTTCATCTTGAATATGACTAAGACACAATAGTTGTTAGAATTCTGATTATATCCTTACCATAGGTAGAGATTTTGCTTAAAATACATTTTTTTAAAAGAGAGAGTGTCTGAAAAATCATACTCAATTAGTTCCAGACCCAGACCAAGAATTGAAGTCTCTTGACTTTCAATACTGTGTTACATCTACACAGTTCTTTCTCTGGTGAAGAAAATAAAATTCAGTAAATATTTATCGAGTATTTTTTCATACACAAGGTACTGTAGTAGGTGCTTGGGGTGAGCATGGGGAATATGTGCAGATGACTTCTTGAGTCATGGGTCCTGCCCTCATGGGGCTTACACTGGACTTGTGAAGACAGAATACAAATACAGGCAGGCTTTGCTTCTCGTGGTTCTGATTAAGCATGAAACGAACTCATTTACCATGGTTTCATTAAATAACTCAGTCTTCCAACAACACGGTTCAAATTACAGTTACCATGGCATATTAACTGTGAGTCATTGCATGGAGCACAAATGGGGCTGCTAGCTCTTCAGTCCACAAATCACTATGTAAGTAACAGATGCGCACCACAGTCAGTTACCAATCATGACCTTTATTCCAACACCTGCAGTGCTTGGTGACCAATCGCAGCAAGTTCTTTCAAAATCTGCAGTGATTGGTCATTGTGCATATGTCATTCAATTGCACTGCCAGCAAAGTGTGTAGTTGTGCTGCCTCGGTGATTCTCAGTGATAAACCCAGGTGGCATTTTATAAAAACAGATAATTAGAAGGTCAAATTGGCCAACAAAGATGAAAGTACACAAAAGAAACAAAAAGTGTTAAAGATGGAAGTGAAATTTGAATGGGATGTAAATGGAGTTATAGAAGAAATAGCTGACCATGTGGAGTTATGGAAGACATAGCTGATCATGTGAATGTTGACCCTGCCACCTTCGGAGAAACTCTAGATATACAGCCAGAAGGACTTATTGACAATAAACTTACAGACATAAATGAGGGAAAAGGTCATGACAAAAAGAATGAAGAAGATACCCCAGAGGAAGTAACTCTAGAAAAAAAAAAAAAAGGTGGTGGTGGGGAAACACTTTAAGTTAATGGAACTCTCAGATATATTTTATGACATTGAAAGCACAAAGGGGAAAATGTTGGAAGTGATGCAAACTTAGAAAGGAGTATGCCAATTCACCAAGGCATAATCAAATATCAGTTTTACTGTTCCTTTTCATTTTCCTATTGTTTATAACTGCCAGTAAGAGAGATTTTAATGTTTTTACAAGCATTAGAACGTATCATTGAAAAATCAGGCCGGGCGCGGTGGCTCACGCCTGTAATCCCAGCACTTTGGGAGGCCGAGGCAGGCGGATCACGAGGTCAGGAGATCGAGACCATCCTGGCTAACACGGTGAAACCCCGTCTCTACTGAAAATACAAAAAATTAGCCGGGCGTGGTGGCGGGCACCTGTAATCCCAGCTACTTGGGAGGCTGAGGCAGGAGAATGGCGTGAACCCGGGAGGCGGAGCTTGCAGTGAGCAGAGATCGCGCCACTGCACTCCAGCCTGGGCAAAAGAGCGAGACTCTGTCTCAAAAAAAAAAAAAGAAAGAAAAATCATATTTTCCCCATTGATTATTAATATTTCTTTGCGTGGTTTCAGATTGCATGGTGATTTTTACAGTTCCACAGTACCATGCAAAGTGAATACTACCTGTATATGAATAATTAAGTCATAAGCTGGGTGTGGTGGCTCATGCCTGTAGTCTCAGCTACTTGAAAGGCTGAGGTGGGAGGATCACTTGAGGCCAGGAGTTTGAGACTGGCCCCGGCAATATAGCAAGACCCTGTCCCTACAAAAGAATCAAATAAATTATAGGTCATACAATAAGACATCATGATATGATAGAACAGGTTTCAAAGCAACATGTGACTCATTGCCAGTTAATTTTTATAGATAGTAATTTCCCTAAGAGGTCAAGGGAGAGAGAGATCATCATCATCACATCTATGATGATGAGATGACGATGATGATGATTGATGATGATGATGATGATGATGATGATGATGGTGGGAGAGAACTGGGATGGGCTTTGGAGTTTCCAATTTGGATAGACCCAGTGAAAGAAAAGTGGCATTCTAGGAAAGTGGGCAGATGCCCCTAGCAGCCCATATAATATTGAGCAGATGCTCATAGCAGCCCATATAATATTATTGCCATGAATGATGTCAGTAAGGCAGACTACTTGACTCTGGAATTTCCAGCATCTTTTTTTTTTGACAAATTGTTTTATATCAAAGTGTGTGCCTAAAAAGTGTTTCTCAAGCCATGCATGCTCAGATTACAAAGACTGTGGAATGAAGCACAGAAAATTTGGCTCAACAAACTGAATTGTGCCATGGGCACCTTCTGTCACCAGCCGTATAGAGGCTACCCTCACCTTTACTCTGAGTGAAACATCGCCTCTCAGGTGTTAAGAAGCCTTCCGTAAGTTATCTCCAGCAATAATATTAATCACTTATTTTATGGCTTTACAGTTTATTTGTGGTTTTAATAAAAAAAACATAGAGACAGCTAGGAAGGTA
The DNA here is from genome assembly GCF_000001405.40 of Homo sapiens. NCBI lineage: Eukaryota > Metazoa > Chordata > Mammalia > Primates > Hominidae > Homo > Homo sapiens. The sequence goes on along the minus strand of NC_000015.10, from coordinate 29,599,923 downwards.
GGGAGCTGAGGCACCTGGAGAGCTGGTGCTTTGCCTAAAGGGCAGGGCTGCTGCTCGGCTCTTGGAAATGTAGGGACTGTATTGTGAGATCCATTAAAGTTTTTAAAGGAAGCCATAAATCTTGGCTTAATATGAAGTTTTTGAACTTGAAAAAGTTGACTCAAACTTTTAAAACATATATCATCTTGCAGGGTAAATGGCCTGCCCCTGTGCCTGATCTGGCTGCCAGTTTGTAACTGCTTTGTAAGACAATGGTGCTGTCTTACACACAGTGTTCATCTAATTTGGACAAAGTAGGGATTATAATGCGATTGTTATGACCAGTTTCCACATGAGGAAATAGGCTTATGGAGCTTAAGTAACTTGTCCAAGGAAGCACTGGTGTTAGGTAGTGGACCCAGGAACCTGATGCCTAACTTGATCCTTTTTCTCCTCTATATCAGCTTCTTAAAGTTTGCTCTATCAACTGTGAGAATCAAATGAAAACCTCAACCACCAGCCCTCAGAAGGTCCTGGACCAAGGGAGTTCTAGGGAACTGGGAAGCAGAACCTCATGGTCTGTCTCTTTAGAGCATCACCATTGTGATCAATTTGAATCTATCTCCATCCTTATTAGTCTAAATGAATAGATGGTCAATACAGCCTTCAAGTAATCCTGCATCATTATTATTTCTCTTACTTAAGCTTTCTGTGCATGCTCAGCAGCAATACATTTGAACCTATCTTCCCTGACATGTCCTGTGATGCACGTTGCCTATTAAGTTCATAGTCACATGATTTAACATCCAGTAGAGCTGAGAATATGGTTTAAAAATCCTCTTAAAAATGATGGACTTGCTATCAACATGTTCTAAAAGGATGAACATTCCCTGCATGGAGATGGGATGAGGAAGTACCCTTGGACTGGGTCAAGATTTTAGGTCACTTTGGCCAGGCGCCGTGGCTCATGCCTGTAATCCCAGCACTTTGGGAGGCCGAGGCGGGCGGATCACGAGGTCAGGAGACCGAGACCATCCTGGCTAACACGGTGAAACCCCGTCTCTACTAAAAATACAAAAAATTAGCTGGGCGCGGTGGCGGGCGCCTGTAGTCCCAGCTACTCCGGAGGCTGAGGCAGGAGAACAGCGTGAACCTGAGAGGTGAAGCTTGCAGTGAGCCAAGATCACGCCACTGCACTCCAGCCTGGGCGACAAAGCGAGACTCCGTCTCAAAAAAAGAAAAAAAGAAAGAAAGAAAAAAAAGATTTTAGGTCACTTCAACAATGGATGAATGGAAGCCTCAAAATTTGTTACCATACATTTAGTAGTTTTAGTTTGAAAATTTTAAAACAGATATAATCTTAGTGATAAAATATCTTACCAGTGCAATGATAAAATATCTCATCAGTGCAATGATGAAATAGCTTTAAACCATGTCATGACCTGATGAACACCTCAAGCAAAACTAGCTGCAAAATGTTCTCTTAAATAACTGACTAAATAAAATTTCTGAATCAATATTATTATTACTGTTAAGCCAGTTAAATAATGGGCATTGGCCCAAAATGATGATTTTAGAATACTTAATCTGTAGTTAAACATAATTTGTTACTAGAGAATTGCAAATCACCACAATAATGACATACCCCCACACATCTACTAGAATGGCGGACATCCAAAAACCAACAATACCAACTGCTGGAGGGGATGTGGAGCAACAGGAATGTTCATTTATTGGTGGGAATGCAAAAATGGTACAGCCACTTTGGAAGAGAATTTGCGCTTTCTTACAAAACTAAACCTAGTCTTTTTCTTTTTTTTTTGAGACAGGGGTCTCACTCTGTTGCCCCGGCTAGAGTGCGTGGTGTGATCTTACCTCACTGCAACCTCTGCCTCCCAGGCTCAAGAGATCCCCCATCCTCAGCCTCCTTAGTATCTGGGACTACACGGTGCATGCCATGAGGCCTGGCTAATCTTTGTATATTTTGGAAACACAGGGTTTCATCATGTTGCCCAGGCTGGTCTTGAACTCCTGGGCTCAAGCAATCCACACTCCTCGGCCTCCCAAAATGCTGGGATTACAGACATGAGCCACTGTGCCCAGCCTAAACATAGTCTTACTATCAGAGTCAACAATCACACTCAGGTGATTTGAAACTGAACTGATTTGGAAGCGTATGTCCCTACATAAACCAGCATGCCAATGTTTATAGCAGCTCTATTCATAATGGTCCAAAATTAGAAGCAACCAATATATCCTTCAATAGGTGAATGGATGAACAAACTATGGTACATTCACACAATAGAATATTATTCAGCAACTAGAACTGAGCTATCAAGCCCAACAAAGTTATGGATGAATCTTTTTTTTTTTTTTGAGACAGAGTTTCGCTCTTGTTGCCCAGGCTAGAGTGCAATGGCGCAATCTCGGCTCACAGCAACCTCCGCCTCCCGGGTTCAAGCGATTCTCCTGCCTCAGCCTCCTGAGTAGCTGGGATTACAGGCGTTCACTACCAGGCCTGGCTAATTTTGTATTTTTAGTAGAGATGGGGTTTCTCCATGTTGGCCAGGCTGGTCTCGAACTCCTGACCTCAGCTGATCCACCTGCCTCAGCCTCCCAAAGTGCTGGGATTACAGGCATGAGCCACCGCGCCTGACTCTAGTTATGGATGAATCTTAAATGCATATTGCTAAATGAAATAAACTAGTCTGAAAAAGCAATATACTGTATGAGTCCAACTATATGACATTCTGGAAAAAGCAAGCGACAGAGACAATAAACAGATCAGTGTTTGCCAAGAGGTTAGAAGTTGGGGGGATGATTGAATAGGTGAAGCACAGGGATTTTTTTTTTTTTTTGTATGAGTGATACTATAATGGCATATACAAGGATTTGGCAAAACCCTATGGGGGATTTCTATGAACTTTACAGTGCAGAGAGCAAACCCTAATCAGGTAAATTTAAAAAAAATTAGGAGCCGAGTGCGGTGGCTCACATCTGTAATCCCAGCACTTTGGGAGGCTGAGATGAGAGGATCATTTGAGTTCAGGAGTTCAAGACCAGCCTAGTTAGCATGGCGAAAGCCTGTCTCTACTAAAAAATACAAAAATTAGCTGGGCATGGCAGCGGGCGCCTGTAATCCCAGCTACTCGGGAAGCTGAGGCAGGGAGAATGGCTTGAACCCAGGAAACAGAGGTTGCAGTGAGCTGAGATCATACCACTGCACTCCAGCCTGAATAACAGAGCAAGAATCTGTCTAAAAAAAAATAAAAAAATAAAAATAATTAGGATGTTGGGGAACCCAGAATGAGAGGCAGAATGCGACAAAAGGATCTAAATGTACCACAAATGTATGGAACAATGTTGTTGAAGGAGATGAGGAATAAAGTGCTGGCTTAGGTATCTTTGGAAATGAATGACTAAAGGCACAGGAACTCTACATACACACTCTATTCTAGCTGATAAAGTTGTGCCCCCTAGGGATATGAGCTAACAATTCTGAAACCACCGTACACGTATACTGGGATTAAAGAATTAACTAAAGTAAGCAAATAATGGAAGCTAGGCTCCTCACTGCAGGCATGGGAGATTCCAGATAAAGAGAGGAGTCTGGAAGGATCTATGTGGTAATGGATTAGAGGTGAAGCATTCAGTAGGAACTCATGCTTCTCAATATAGATGCAGATGGTTACACACAGCATTATATATATGCAGAGGTATATCTATAAATGGTTACATATAGAATTATAGATACAGACAGTTACATTAAAAGTAACAGCAAAACCGCAATTACTTTTGCACAAACCTAATATATTTTGCTCTTCTGCCAACTGAGCAGGCCTACAAGCAATGAAGCAATGACTCCCCAGTAGCAATGAGCATACCTACTGCTCAGAGCTTGGTTTCTAATACCATTTTCAGTGGAAGGAACCAGGGCTTTTTTGAGAAAGGCTGAACCTAGGACTCAGGTTGGAAATATACAGGATAAGCCGGGAGCATCTTTTAGTGCCAGAAAATAACGAAGTGCTCACAAAATAAATTCCCATAAAGAAAGGGTTATGTTAAAGGGACACATAGGCCAACTGAAAGAGCCCCCAAAGTCCAAAGCTAGAACAATTTGAACACCAAAAAAAGGAGGCTATAACCCAAAACATAAATATCCATGAGACCATATTTATATAAATAAATATATGTCCAAAATGTCCTTCAGTAGGTGAATGAAGGATAGATTAATTTATATAAATAAACAGTCCAGTAAATAAGTAAAGACACAGTGAAGAAGAGACAAACCCGAGCAGAAGAACTTCAATCTGTGTAGCTGCTCTTAAGAAGGTGAAGCATAGATAAGACTTTAGATAAGGAATGCCTGAGAAGCTGACACACCACGAGGAGCTGTAGGAGACGCGACAACTAATTATACTGTGGACGTGTGTTCTGGATGGGATCCCAAAAAGAACATTAGGGAGAAAAACAGGAATTCTGGACAAAGTATGGACTCCAGTGAATAATAATGTGTCAGTATTGTTTCATTGATTGTGACAAATCTACCAGATTAAGGTAAGATGTTAATAATAATAGGGGAAAATGGGTATGGAACATTTGGGAGCTCTATGCTACTTCAGTAATTATTCTGTAATTCTATAGCTACCCTAAAACACAAAAGCTTATTTTATTTTATTTTATTTTATTTTTGAGACGGAGTTTCACTCTGCCGCCCAGGCTGGAGCGTAGTGGCGCGAACTCAGCTCACTGCAACCTCCGCCTCCCAGGTTCAAGAGATTCTCCTGCCTCAGTTCCCTCCCCGCTGGGTTTACAGGTGTGTGCCATCACACCTGGCTAATTTTAAATTTTTTTTTTTTTTTTTTTTTTTTTTTTTTGAGACGGAGTCTGACTCTGTCGCCCAGTCTGGAGTGCAGTGGCGTGATCTCGGCTCACTCCAAGCTCCGCCTCCTGGGTTCACGCCATTCTCCTGCCTCAGCCTCCCCAGTAGCTGGGGCTACACGTGCCTGCCACCACGCCCGGCTAATGATTTTTGTATTTTTAGTAGAGACGGGGTTTCACCGTGTTAGCCAGGATGATCTCGATCTCCTGACCTCGTGATCCGCCCGCCTCGGCCTCCCAAAGTGACTAATTTTTAAATTTTTAGTAGAGAGGGGGCTTCACCTCATTGGTCATGCTTGTCTCGAATTCCTGACCTCAAGTGATTTGCCCACCTTGGCCTCCCAAAGTGCTGGGATTACAGGCGTGAGCTACTGTGCCCAGCCCCCACAAAAGTTTATTTTTTAAAAAGCAAATCAGATTGCATTATCCTCTGCTTAAAGCCCTTTCAGTCATTCACTCATTCAAAAAATTCATGAGTGACTCCTATGTTCTGGCCACCGTGTACATTGCTGAGGATTTAATCATGAGCAACGAAAACATCGATTCTTATAGTTTAATAGGGGAGATTAGATCTATTGCACCTCTGGAGAAGAGGTTCAAGGAGCTGGCAGAGCCTGTACAGGGACCTGACCAGGTTAGGAGCACAGGGGAGGCTGCTCCCAGGTGAGAGTTGGGAGGCATGTCGGGGAGGAAGCTCCTACACGCTAGGAAACTTGTAAAAGCCAAGGTGGTTACTGAAGAACAGCGGGAGGTGAGGCTGCCAGGATTGGCAGGGCCCATTAGGGGAACTAATAGACCTTATTCAGGATCCTGGCTTGTCCCAAGAGTGATGAGAACCACAACTTATCCTCCCTATCTGTTTCAGTCATATGAGTCTAGAGATACAGCCTGTTGCGCTCATAGCTGCATCCTCACCACCTAGCAGAAGGTCAGGAAGAAATTTTTATTTCCTTTTTTTTTAAACCTTTTTGGAAAACGATTATAGATTCACTAGAAGTTGCAAAAAAAATGTGCAGGAAGGTCCTCTGTACCCTTCATCCAGTTTCCCCCACCATAACATCTTGTATAACTATAGTACAATATCAAAACTGAGACATTAACATTGATACAATCCATAGAGCTTATTGAGATTTCAGCAGTTTCATAGTACTTACTTGTGTGTATATAGTTCTATGCAATTCTGCCACATTTGCAGATTTATGTAACCACCACAATCAAGATACTGTTACATCACTGCAAGCCACACTCACCACACCCTTCCATAACAGCCATTATTATGATTCCCTGGCAACCATCAGTCTGTGCCCCTTCTATATACATTATATTGATAATTGACATGCACAGAGTGACCTGACGCAATGTGAAAAGCATTCTCTGTTTTTGATGCATAAAGTAGATTGGAGGAGGCAAGGACAAATATAAGAATATCAGCCAAGGGAAGAAATGATAGTCAAAGGGTGAACATTGCTGAGTGAGCAAGCTGGAAGCCATGGACAGGGCATGGGCTGTTTGTGGATTTGCTATTTTGGAGGAGAACAGCTTCTGGTGAAGACAAAATCCTAGGTATGCCTATGGGAGGGGGCAGCTGAGATGGAGTGGACTGGGACATACAGAGGAGGAGTCAAGAGGCTGTCACTGGTGGGGGAGTTGTCACGGGGATGTTGAAGTTACTCAGGGTGATGCAGGCTTGAGTGGAGAAGCTATCAGGAATGAATGAGGGCATACCAGCCACAAAGAGCAGAGAATAGAAGAGTGGATTTTGCCCTGACATTAGCTTGTTAACTGGCACAGGAGGTGAGCCAAGTGACACAGTGGGAGAGTACGTTATAGCTAAACGGCAGGCTGTAACTATACATATAGTTATATGACATAGTTGTAGAAACATAGACACAAGGAACAAACGGAAGGAAAGTTCTAGAGCAGTGCTAGTAAGTAACAGATCTGGACTGCAGAGAGATTTGCTATGGTTCAAATGTGTCCCTCTGTCTTAGTCTATTTGTGTTGCTGTAATGAATATCTGAGGCTGGGGAATTTCTAAAGAAAAGAGGTTTATTATTCGGCTCATGGTTCTGCAGGCTGTTACAAGAAGCATGGTGCCAGCATCTGCTTCTGGTAAGGGCCTCAGGGAGCTTCCACTCATGGTGTAAGGTGAAGGGGAGCTGCTGTGTGCAGAGATTGCAGAGATCACATAACAAGAGAGGAAGCAAGAGAGAAGGGAGATGCCCATTCTTTTGAACATCCAGCTTTTGCAGCAACAAAGTAGAGTGAGAATTCACTCACTTCTTCCCCACCCCCACCAGGGACAGCATTAATCTATTCATGAGGGATCCATCCTCACAACCCAAACACCTCCCGTGAGAACCCAGCTTCAACACTGAGGATCAAATTTCAATGTGAGGTTTGAAGAGGTGAAACATCCAAACTATAGCACCCCCAAGAAGCATGTGTTGTAAACAGAATCCCCAGTGCAACAGTGTTAACAGGTGGGAACTTTAAGAGGGAATTAGGCCCTGAGGGCTCCGCCCCCCGCAAATGGATTAACTTTATCATGGGAGTGAGCTTGAATTTGGCCTTCTTGCTTTCTCTCACTCTCTCATCATCCACCATAGGATGACATGGTAAGAAGGCCCTCATCAGATGTCAGCCCCTCAGTCTTGGACTTCCCAGCTTCCAGAGCCATGAGCCAATACGTTTCTTTATAAGTTATTCAGTTTCAGGTATTCTGTTATAGCAACACAAAACAAAGACAGGCCCCTTGTCTCCTTCCCTGAACCTAGACCTATAGGAATTTCATGAGCATGACTTGCCTGATTTTGGCACAGATGAGAGATGGGTTGGAAAGATCAGACCTGGCTTGAGGAAGCCCTTGCCATGCCTGGGTGCCAGCAGAACCAGGGGGCAGAGAGAGCAAGGATGGTGTATCCATCTGTGAAGGCAGCCGTAACAAAGTACCCCAAACTGGGTGGTTTAACAACAGAAATTTGTCACTTCACAGTTGTGGAAGCTAGAAGTCCAAGATCAAGGTGTCAGGAGGGCCACGCTTTCTCTGAAATTTGTTGGGGAGAATCCTTCCTTCCTCTTCTAGTTTCTGTGTTTGCCAGCCATCCTTGGCATTGCTTGGCTTGAAGATACACACTTGGTTTGTAGAAACATCTGTGTTTTCTCTCTTCTTCTTCTTCTTCTTCTTCTTCTTCTTCTTCTTCTTCTTCTTCTTCTTCTTCTTCTTCTTCTCTTTTGAGATGGGGTCTCACTCTGTCACCTAGGCTGGAGTGCAATGGTGTGATCGATGCTTGAATTCCTGGGTTTCAAATGATCCTCCCACCTCAGCCTCCTGAGTAGCTGGGACTACAGGTGTGCACCACCATGCCTGGCTGTATTTTTTTATTTTTTGCAGAGATGGGGTCTCCCTCTCAAAGTGCTGGGATTGCAGGTGTGAACCACCGCACCCAGCCTTCTCTTTTTATGAGGATACCAGTCATTTTGGATTAGGGCTCACTGTAGTGACCTCATTTTAACCTGATTCTATCTGCAAAGATCCTATTTCAAAATAAAGACACATTCACAGTTACTGGAGATTTGGATTTCAACGTACCTTTTAGGAGACATAATTCAACCCATAACAGGTAGCAGGTAGGATGGGGGTCACTGCCCTACATATGGGGTCTGCTTATCCATGAAATAAGTCACTCCTTTTGGGGAAGAAGCAAGTGAGGAGTCGAGAAGCCCGAGCTGTGTGTTCTGATACTGCCCCTTCCAGGGCATGAAGACGGGAAATAAGTTTTCCCTTAACAATAATCTTCTAAAATTGAGTGAGTTCTTTAAAAGAAAATGCAAAACTAATTAGGCATTGATCTCAAGAAAATTAATTATTTAGAAGGAATTGATTTGCCACAGCATCTCCCAGAAGAGACAAGTTTTCTCAAATCTTTTGGTACATTACAGTGTTTTTTTAAATATTTCAGGAAAAAAAGGATGTTTTTAGATAGAAAGAAATGAGAAATTGTATTTAATAATGTTTGACAGAAGATTGGCAAAAGAACAACTGACAGCAATGTTTGAAGGTTTAATTAATGTGTAAGATGAATGCAGAAAGTATTAATAGCTACTAGTTTACACAGCAGTTTGTTAAACTTCTGAAGAGAATCACATTATAGATCCCCTGGGGCATTATTTGCATATTAACAGGAAGTTATGTTAGAACATTTATAAAGCACAGGCTTCTTATCAGTGTGTTTATGAATATTTGGCTCCCTTAAAAACCTTTTGTGTTGTGTCTTTAAACATACCATTATATCAATCATGTAAAATTTCCCTTCCTTCCCTCCTTCTCCCCTTCAAGTGTATTTTTTTTTCTTTTTCTTTTTTTTTTTTTTTTTTTTTGAGACGGAGTCTTGCTCTGTCGCCCAGGCTGGAGTACAGTGGCGCCATCTCTGCTCACTGCAACCTCTGCTTCCTGGGTTCAAGCAATTCTCCTGCCTCAGCCTCCTGAGTAGCTGGGACTACAGGTGCCTGCCACCACGCCTGGCTAATTTTTTGTATTTTTAGTAGAGACGGGGTTTCTCCATGTTGGTCAGGCTGGTCTCGAACTCCTGACCTCAGGTGATCTGCCCACCTCGGCCTCGCAAAGTGCTAGGATTACAGGCGTGAGCCACCGCGCCTGGCCTTGAACTCATACTTGTTGCTGCTGTTGTTTTCAGAACCTGTGACGTGAACTCTTACTTACAAATGCGCCAGGATGTGGATTGGATAAGGCAGAGCTCCTCTGAAGAGGCAGGCATGAGGGTCAGAGTGGCCGATATCTACTTCCTGACCCTAAGGTGGTCGCTGAACCTGGCCATGGAACCCCAGGCACCTCAGAAGGGACACAAGAGAACACTCAGGGAACCAGATGGCTCTGAGACCCCCTGAGGCCTTCTTCCCATTCCAACACCATATCTCTTCAAACCTCAGTGGCCCAGCTGCAAGGGCATTCAAAGGACAATAAGATCTTCTGATCATTTTTTGTGTTGGATAGGGCAGCATGATAATGTGACCCATTACTGTGGGTAATGACATAGAGAAAGAAATTCACTGGGAGTGAGCTGTGTGAGGATGCTGAAGACCTCTGAATGGTGAGAGTGCATTTCAAAGTTCACAAGTTGCTTTTTCACGCATCACCTCCCTCACAACAATCCCGTGTATAATCCCCACCTTCCGGATGAGGAAACGGATGCAGGAATATTGAGCAGCCTGTCCCAGGTTACAGAGCTGGAAGGAGTTGCCAGTGGAGGCCAGGTGTCTTGATTCCAAGCCTACTGTTTTTCCTACTGTCTGTATCACAGCTGCCTGCCTTGACTAATCTGACGCAGACAAAGTCTGGAAGGAATAGAGTTGACATCCGAATAGCTGTAAATCCGCAGCGGGGCAGGCAGTCTATGTTAGCATCTAAAAGGCTGCAGAGGTAGCGGAGGGAAAGCTGAATGCGGTGTTCATGGCCACAGTTTCCTTTCATTCTATAAAGAGTGTGCTTGTCAAGCACCATCTGGAAGATGATATGCAGCCCCTTCTCCGTGACGAATGAAGACACGCAGAGGCAGATTCCAGAACAGCATCTACATCTTTGTTCATTGATGTCAGACACAAAATTGAGTTGTTTAAAAACTTGCTCTCAAATACAGAACAAAAGTCATGGTGCAGGAAGGTCATATGGAACTTGGACGAGCCAAGAAGGCGAGGTTTTAATCTGAAATTGTAAACAAACATGCTCTGGTAGAGATTTTAAAAACCTTTTTATGGAAAGACAAAACAGACACAGAAATCCACCCAAATCAAGTGTGGAGCTGGATAAGTTATTGTGAGGTGAGTGGGCTTGTAATCACCCTCTCTGGTCAAGAAATTAAACTTTGCCAGCTGCCCCAGAATCTCCTCCACGTGCCTGGCCCCAATGACAATCCTCTTCCTTCTCTTTCAAAGTAGTCACTCTCTGATTTATAGTAATCACTTCCTTTCATTTCTGTATGGTTTTATCACTCAAGTAGCTATCCCTAGACACTGTAGTTTAGCCTTTTTTTTCTTTTTTCTTTTTTTTTTTTTCTGAGACAAGGTCTCGCTCTGTCACCCAGGCTGGAGTGCAGCGGCACAATCATGGGTCATGGCAGCCGCAACTTCCCAGGGCTCAAGTGATCCTCTCACTTCATCCTCCTGAGTAGCTGGGACTACAGGTGCGTCCCACCATGCCAGGCTAATTTTTTTGTATTTTTTGTAGAGACAGGGTTTCATTATGTTGCCCAGAACTCTAAGCTCAAGTGATCTGCCTGCCTCAGCCTCCCAAAGTGCTAGGATTACAGACATGAGTCACAGCCCCGGCCTATAGTTTAGTCTTGTCCATTAAAAATTTGTACTATGTCATCAAGTCTCTTTTAATGTACAGGTTTCCTCTTTCTCCTTCCTTCCTTCCTTCTGTCTTTCTGTCTTTTCTTTCCTTCCTTCCTTCCTCCCTCCCTCCCTCCCTTCTCCTTCTCTCTCTCTCTCTCTCTCTCTTTCTTTCTCTTCCTTCCTTCCTTCCTCCCTCCCTCCCTCTCTCTCTCTCTCTCTTGATCTCTCTTTCTTTTCTTTTTGATACAGAGTCTTGCTCTGCTGCCCAGGCTGGAATACAGTGGCACAATATCTGCTCACTACAACCCCGGCCTCCCAGGTTCAAGCGATTCTCCTGCCTCAGCCTCCTGGGTAGCTGGGATTACAGGCGCCCGCCACCCTCTATCCCTTTCTTTTCCCTGCAATTTACAGGCTGAAGTGCCGAGGACATTTGGAGTCTGGAGTTTGCCAAGTGTACCCTCTTGGTGCAGTTCAACATGATTACTCTGTCTTCTGAGTTTCCTGAAAATTGGTACCTGGAACTGGACTGAATTGGAGTCTGGCTTGATCCCCATTGCAGGATATAAATGGCTTGTTCTTTCATCAGGAGGCCTTCATGTCTTGTTTCAGTTCATGTCTTTTTTCAATGTTAGCCGCTGTCGATGCTCAGTGCCTGTATCTTTTAACTAATTGTGATTTGCAAAATGATGACATTTTAATTCAATATCTTTTTCAATTATTGTTTGCAGTATTATTACAAAAAGACACTTCCAGCCGGGCGTGGTGGCTCACACCTGTAATTCCAGCACTTTAGGAAGCTGAGGCAGGCAGATCACTTGAGATTAAGAATTTGAGACCAGCCTGGCCAACATGGTGAAACCCCGTTTCTACTAAAAATACAAAAATTAACCAGGCATGGTGGTGCATGCCTGTAGTCCCAGCTACTCGGGAGACTGAGGCCAGCAGATTGCTTGAACCAGGCGGCAGAGGTTGCAGTGAGCTGAGATCATACCACTGCTCTCCAGCCTGGGTGACAGAGCGAGACTGTCTCTCAAAAAATAAAAAAAGACACTTCCTCTCATCTACTAACTGGTTTCCCAATGATACACTTCATATAGGAAGGCAAGATAATTGTTTTCTAATTTGCCAGGTTTTAAGATAATGAGTTGTTTTCCTATCATCCTCTGAGGGCAACCAGTGAGTTTTAAAACATATGATTATAAACTTCTGAATTTAAACATATTTGGTAGGTTTGAATGCCTTACAATGAGTATTCTTATTGGCACTCAGAAAAAAATTGTTTTAATCTTTAGCAAATAAGAACATCTAAAGTGGGCTCCTGAACCCTTTTGTCATCGCTCTAGTATAACAGTCTTTCACAGCTCTTTTGCAGTCCTGTATGATCCCAAACTTCAGCTCAGCCATTTCTCTTATTGAGAAATGGTGTAATATTTCAGGACCATAGTTGGGGCCCTTGGGATGTTCATTGCTACTGGGTTGGTCATTGTTTCTAGATTTTTTCAGTGGACAGAGCTACGAAACACACACACACACACACACACACACACACACACACACACACACACACACACGGTTAGCTACACAGATAGCCTATCTCATGAACTCATATTCCCATTTCTAGTTCAAATTCAGGACTACAGAGTTCTGTATGTAACCTAGCCTGGGTATGTCTCCAACTCCTTTCCTCTACCTCGAGAATTTGGTTTTCAAGAACACAAGGGATGATAGAATATCCCATAATACCTCATTTGCTTAATCTTGTATTATGCTAAGTATCTCCCCATGCTAATACTAATACTACCAGAATCAATTGATTACTGCAAGTAGTTCCCAGTTTTACATATGTTTTCCCCATTCAACTCGTTTTTAAAAATAGCCAAATTACATCTATATTGTCAGAGCATATAATCAGAGCATACTATACTTTCTTTCTTTTTTCTTTTCTTCTTTTTTATTTTTTTGAGACAGTATCTTGCTCTGTTGCCCAGGCTGGAGTGCAGTGGTGCAATCTTGGCTCATTGCAACCTCCCCGTCCCGGGTTCAAGTGATTCTCGTGTCTCAGCCTCCTGAGTAGCTGGGTGTGCACCACCACGCCCAGCTAATTCTCCTGACCTAAAGGGATCCGCCCACCTTGGCCTCCCAAAGTGCTGGGATTACAGGTGTCAGCCTCTGTGGCCAGCCTATACTTTCTTTTTAACCCTCCATTGGTCTTTTAGAAAAATAACACCTTTACGAAATATAATTCACATACCATAAAATTCACTCTTTTAAAGTGTACGCAATTCATTGTTTTTTAGTATAGTCACAGAGTTCTGCAACCATCACCACTATCCAATTTTAGAACTTTTTTGTCACCTCAAAAAGAAACCTCTACCCATTAGTAGAGATTCCCATTCCTCCTCCTTCCAGCCCTGACAGCCATTAATCTATTTTCCTTCTCTCTGTGGATTTGCCTCTTCTGGGCATTTCATACCAATAGAATCGTGGCCTTTTGTGACTGGCTTTTTTCACTTAGCATAATATTTTCAAAATTCATCTGTGTTATAGCATGTATCAATAGTTAATTACTTTCTGTGGCTGAAAATACTGTCTAGTTGGGATATACCACATTTTGTCTGTTCATTCATCTGTTGAGGGATATATAGGTTGTTACCATTTTTGGCTATTATGAATCATAGTGCTGTCAATATTTGTATATTAGTTTTTGTGCGAAAATACATTTTCAGTTCTCTTGGGTATATACCTATGACTGGAATTGCTGAGTCATATGGTAAATCAAAGTTTAACATGTTGAGAAATTGCCAGACTGTTTTCCAAAGTGGTTGTGCCATTTTTTTTTTTTTTTTTTTTTTTTGAGACAGAGTCTCACTCTGTTGCCCAGGCTGGAGTGCAATGGCGGGATCTTGGCTCACTGCAAGTTCCGCCTTCTGGGTTCACGCCATTCTCCTGCCTCAGCCTCCCGAGTAGCTGGGATTACAGGCGCCCGCCACCGCGCCCGGCTAATTTTTTGTATTTTTAGTAGAGACGGGGTTTCCCCGTATTAGCCAGGATGGTCTCGATCTCCTGACCTCGTGATCTGCCGGCCTCGGCCTCCCAAAGTTCTGGAATTACAGGCGTGAGCCACCGCGCCCGGCCTGTGGTTGTGCCGTTTTATGTTCCACTGGCTGTATAAAGGCTCCACTTTCTCCATATCCTCACCCACACTTTCTCTCGTCCATAGTTTTGATTATGATCATCTTTTCATGTGTGTGTGAAGAGGTGTCTCACCATGGTTTTGATTTGCATTTCCCTAATGACTGATGATGTTGGGCATCTCTGCATGTGCTTATTGGCTATTTCTTTTTTTCGAGGGTTTCACGCAATTCAATATGATTTGAAAATGATCAGAGATAAATTTCAGTGAATCAATAATTTTGAAAATGGATGTGCTTCTCTGAAAAATTAGGAATGATGTTGAAACTCCTGTTTAAGTGTATATAGGGGTATAAAAGTATATAAGGATTTCCCAGTTAGCTTCAATCCTTGTTGTCTTATAAAGCACTCATTTTCATGTATTTTTCTGAGGTACATATTAGCTCTCTGATGTAATTAGGTGTATATAAGAGGAATGCAACATAATTTGTATTCATCTTTAACTTTACAATGAATGGAGAAACAACTAAATCATTCTATCCATCATCTATCTATCTATCTATCTATCTATCTATCTATCCATCGATCTTTGAGTTTACTGTTTATATTTTTCCAGCTTTATTGAAGTATAATTGACAAAATTGTATATATTTAAGATATGAAATGTGATGACTTGATATACATATACATTATGAAATTGTTTCCATGATTAAGTAAATTAATACATCCATCATCTCACATAATTACCATTCTTTGTGTATGTGAACACTGAAGATCTGTCTTAGCAAATTTCAAATACAAAATACAGTGTTATTAACAATAATCAGCATGCTGTACATTAGATTCTCAGAGCTTACTCATCTTATAAGTGAAAGTTTTTGCCCTTTGACCAACATCTCCCCATTTCCCCCACCCCAAAGTCCCTGGCAGCCACTATTCTACTCTGTTTCTGTGAGTTTAACTTTTTTAGATTCCACATGTAAGTGAGATCATACACTGTTTGTCCTTCTCTGCCTGGTTTATTTCATTTAGCATAATGTCTTCTGTGTTCATATATGTTGTTGCAAATGACAGGACTTCCTTCTTTTTTATGGCTGAATAATATTCCATTTCATACACACACACACACACACATGCACACACACATACATTTAAAAAATTCCTTCATCCATCAATGGATGATTAGGTTGATTCCATAACTTGACTATTGTGAATAATGCTGCAATGAAGATGAAGTGCAGATATCTCTTCAAGATATAGATTTTGTTTTCTTCAGCGGCCATTTCTTTCCTTTGTTGGAGAAACATCACTTCAGATCTTTTGCCCACTTTTTAATTGGGTTGTTTATTTCCTTACTGTTGAGCTGCAACAGTTTACAAATACATGTTTACTGTATTTGTAGGATAAATATATACATTTATTTTCTGATATTAGACCCTTAAGCGATACATGATTTGCAAACATTTTCTCCCTATCTGTGCATTGTCTTTTCATTTTCTTGATAGTGTCTTTTGAAAAAAGTTTTAATTTTGATGAAGTCCAATTTATCTATTTTTTTCTTTGGTTGCTTGTGATTTAGGTTTCATAGCTAAGAAACCACTTCCAATCCAGGGTCAAGTACATGTACACCTATATTTTCTTCAAAGAGTTTCACAGTTTTAGTTCTTACATTAGGCCTTTCATGGATTTTGAGTTAATTGTTGTATATGGTGTGAGGAAAGGGCCCTCATTTACTTTCAGTTCTAAAAGGAGCAATATATCAGTGCTCACCATCTATACTTAGGTCAATGTCTGTCTAGTTATTTTGGTTGTTTGAAGCACATTAACACAATTCTTCAGAAAGGGATTATGGGGAACAAGATTCCTTGAATTTTTGCACATTGATGATAGTTTATCTGCATCCTTACTTTTTAAAAAAATTATTATTATTAGTTTTTAAGTTCCAGGGTACATGTGTAGGATGTGCAGGTTTGTTACATAGGTAAATGTGTGCCATGGTGGTTTGCTGCACCTATCAACCCATCACCTAGGTATTAAGCCCAGCATGTATTAGCTCTTTTCTCTAATGCTCTCCCCCTCATTGCTCTCCCCTGACATGCCCCAGTAAGTGTTGTGCCCTCCCTGTGTCCATGTGTTCTCATTGTTCAGCTCCCACTCGTAAGTAAGAACATGCATGTTTGGTTTTCTGTTCTTGCATTAGTTTGCTGAGGATAATGGCTTCCAGCTTCATCCATGTCGCTGCAAAGAACATGATCTTGTTCCTTTTTATGGCTGCATAGTATTCCCTGGTGTATATGTACCACATTTTCTTTATTCAGTCTATCTGTGTCCTTTCTACTTGAAATTTAGTTTTACTGGATATAAAATCTTTGAGTAATATTTTCTTTACTTGATTTTCCTTAAAATGCTTTCATGTCATTTTTCTGGCATAATGAATTATTGTCCAATATTTTATTTCCCTTTTAAGTCACCTGGTCTTTTTGCCGTGATCCCCCAAAATATCTTCTTTTTCTTTAGAGCTCAGAAATTTTATTCCAATATATTTTGGTCATGATCATTCTGGTTTGATATTGTCTGGTACAGAGTATCCTCCTTTAATGTGCAATTTCAAATCTTTTTAAAAATTCAGGGCTGGGCACGGTGGCTCATGCCTGTAATCCCAGCACTTTGGGAGGCCAATGGGGCGGGTCATGAGGTCAGGAGTTCGAGACCAGCCTGACCAACATGGAGAAACCCCATCTCTACTAAAAATACAAAAATCAGCCAGGCGTGGTGGCGCCTGCCTGTAATCCCAGCTACTCAGGAGGCTGAGGCAGGAGAATCGCTTGAACCTGGGAGGCAGAGGTTGCAGTGAGCCAAGATTGTGCCACTGCACTCCAGGCTGAGCAACACAGTGAGACTTCATCTCAAAAAAAAATAATAAAATAAAATAAAATAAAATAAATTCAGGATTATTTTCTTGAGAGACAGTTCTTAATATTTGTTTTGTTCCCTTGCTTTGGTTTCCCTTTTCAGAAACTCCTTTCAGCCACATGTTGGATCTTCTTTAACACTCTTCAAATATGCCACTATCTAAAATCTTTTTTATCTTTTTAATTTCTTTATGATCTTAAAAATTTTCCTCCTTTTTGCTTTTTATTGCTCCTCAGGTTTTTATTTATTGTGTTTATTCACTCTTGTACTGCTTTTTGTTTAGTCTTTATTTCTGAAATTCTTTTTTCCTTTCATTTCTGTTTTACATGTAAGTCCGTCCATGATTCATTTTGAATACATTGTTGTATAAAGTGTGAGGTTTAAATAGAAGTTGTTATTTATTTGTTTTTGCTTACAGATGTCCATTTGCTCCAATACCATTTGTTGAAACAGTTATTTTCTTCCTGTATTGAATTGCTTTTGCACCTTTGTCAGAAATCAATTAGCCAGCCTGGCCAAGATGGTGAAACCCATCTCTACTAAAAATACAAAAAAATTAGCCGGGCATGGTGGTGCACGCCTATAATCCCAGCTACTTGGGAGGCTGAAGCATGAGAATCTCTTGAACCTGGGAGGCAGAGGTTGCAGTGAGCTGAGACCATGCCACTGCACTCCAGCTTGGGCAACAGAGCAAGCCTCTATCTAAAAAAAAAAAAAAAAAACCAGCATATTTTGGGGATCTATTTCTGGGTTCTCTATTCAGTTACATTGAACTGTGTGTCTATCCTTCTGCCAACACCACAATATATTGATTACTCTATCTCTGTAGTAAGCCTTAATATCAAGTAATTACTCCCACTTAATTCTTTTCCCGGATTATTTTAGCTATTCTAGAGCCTGTGCCTTTTTGCATACATTTAAAAATAAATGTACATATGTCTTTTAAAAAAAAAACCAACTTGCTGGGATTTTGATAGGAATTGCAGTAAACCTATCAGGAAATTTGGGGAGAATTTACATCTTTACTATGTTGACTCTTGCAATTCATGAATACACTATGCCTCTCCATTTGTTTAGGAGTTTTTTAAAAATTTCATCATTGTGGTGATTAATTTTGTGTCAACTTTGCTGGGCCACAGTACCCAGATATTTGGCCAAATATTATTTTGGGTATTTCTGTGAAGGTGTTTATGGATGAGATGGAAATTTAACCCAGTGGAATTTAAGTGAAGTAGATTCCCCTCCATAATGTGGGTGGCCCTCACTCATCTAATCAGTTGATCTATTTTGTGGTTATGTCTTTCTGGTATGCTCTCACTGTCTATAGGGATGTTATTGTATTTCTTATTGCCTTTTTTCAATATCCTTCTTAAGAATCAACGATACTTAATCCCTACAAGAAAAGAGTAGAAAAAGGATTTCTACATCCTTTCCATGTTAGGAGATGATTATAATCAAATCTGAAACCTCCTAGAAAGTTGTTTTTGTTTAGATCCCACACTTACATCACTAAATCATTTCTGAAATTTCATTACTTGGTCTGTTTATTCTAAAGATATTGAAATAATGATATAATTAGAAGACTAAAACTAATAAAGTCATTACAATAATGACTATTGAATTATAGGTAGTAATTAGCCCATAAGAAATATGAGGTCTGGTGCGAGGTCTTACTGATCTTTACATGGCTTAGGGTAATGTCTTGTATATTATTTCACTCAATAGATATTTATAGAATAGATGGCTTAAAAGGGGGAGCATTTTAAATACTTTCTTAATTTTAAGACATCAATATACAAATATTTACTATAGCTTTTATTCTAATAAGGTGTTATTCTGTACACTGTGGGAAATTCAAATAAATACCCATTGTGAAGTCTCTTCTCAGTTATTATACCATATTTGAGGAAACAGCCTAACCTCTTTGCCTTATGCTGACTTAGAAGATGGGTGCCAGGTACCAAGCCACCTTTGCTGAATATCTGTATTCTGCTCTTAGTCTACCAATGGTGTTAGATCTCACCTTTCCTCCTATTTTGGTTCAGTCTTGCATTTGAGGTTCTAATATAACTTCATCTTCTGGATGCAGACCCTGTAGGCCTAACTTTCCCTTTGGTCTTTTCCAGCATAATCTGTTCTGCCGCTATAGGCCAGGGAAAGCTAGACCTAACGGGAATATGTTCAAATAGAAGTACTGACACAATAATAGAAAAATAACTGGCACTTAGTGTTTGCTATATGCCAGGTACTGCTCTAAGAACTCTAGATAAATGAAATCATTTAATCCTCACAAGAAATTTATAAGATAGGTATTATTATTACCTTCATTAGGAAGTGGAGTTGGGGTTTTTACTAAGGCAGTGTGACACTAACATGGGTGCCCTAACCATTCTGCTGCCCTGACTTTTAGATGTGAGAGAAGACCTAAGAGAGGGATAGAATTTGCAAAGGTGATGAAGAAAGTCATTCTCAGCAGGAGTGACCCATTACTGTCCAGAAGCTTAGAAACCAAAGGCCAGGCTAGGCGTGGTGACTCATGCCTTTAATCCCCGCATTTTGGGAGGCTGAGATGGGCCGACTGCCTGAGCTCAGGAGTTTAGAGACCAGCCTTGGCAACATGGAAAAACCCTGTCTCTCCTAAAAATAGAAAAAATTGGCCGGGCGCGGTGGCTCACACCTGTAATCCCAGCACTTTGGGAGGCCGAGACAGGTGGATCTTGAGGTCAGGAGATTGAGACCATCCTGGCTAACACGGTGAAACTCTGTCTGTACTAAAAATACAAAAAATTAGCCAGGTGTGGTGGCGGACATCTGTAGGCCCAGCTACTCGGGAGGCTGAGGCAGGAGAATGGCGTGAACCCGGAACGTGGACCTTGCAGTGAGCCGAGATCGCGCCACTGCACTCCAGCCTGGGCGACAGAGTGAGACTCCGTCTCAAAAAAAAAAAAAAAAAAAAAAAAAAAAAAAAAAAAAAAAAATTAGCTGGGTGTGGTGGCAGGTGCGTGTAGTCCCAGCTACTCTGGAGGCTGAGGCAGGAGAATCACTTGAATCCAGGAGGTGGAGATGGCAGTGAGCTGAGATCGCGCCACTGCACTCCAGCCTGAGGGACAGAGCGAGACTCCATCTCAAAAAAAAAAAAAAAAAGAAAGAAACCAAAGGCCAGTATTTTGCTGGAGCAGAGGATTAGAGAAACATGTTGGAGAGAGTGAAGAGAGAAATGGATTTTGCTGAATGGTCCAGGTTACCACTGAACATATAGCTTGCTTGCATGAAAAAAGCCAACATATGCCATAAGAATTACGTCTCAGCAATTTGCTGCTGCTGCTCTTGCTGTTGCTATAAAAATGTGGGCCAATCACATAATCGACACCAAAAATGAGTGCATCCTAATGCTTATTTCTCTAAGCAACTTTCCATTTATCCACAAGCAAAGTGTTTTACTTTTGCTTCTTAATAAAATAAAAGTGAAGGAGTTCTGATTGAAGGTGACCCATACTTTAGAGCCAAATGATAAATTTTACTCCATTATTTTCTGTTCAGTTGATGGATGAGAATTATCAAATCTCATGAGGCTTGACTCATAATTTTCATAGTTTTTCCCTAAAGGCAAAACACCTCTTTCATGTATAAGTTTGTTTGAGTCTGAGCATATGAATAACTGCTTATTCTAATGAAACCATTAGAATGCATAGGTTTCTAATAACCTGATTTAATAGTGCTAGTTGAGTTAACTGGAACTCACTTCTTAGCCTTATTACCCTCCTTCAATAATTAAGTCATTTACTTCTCAGGGGTTTTTCACAAAATTCTAGTCAATACTATCCCAGAAGTGTTAAAAACTTCAATTTTAACATAGTTTAAGATACAGAATTAGCTTGAATAAATAGTAATTGAATACCACTATCTGCTAGGACTGTGCTAAGTGCATTAGGATACTGCAAACGTGAATGATTCCTGTCCGTAAGGAACTTACTGCTAACGGAATAAGGCCAGCATTCATAAAGTGCGTAATGTTTGAAAAAATACTTTTCTGTATTCATGATCTAACTTAAATCTCATCACAAAACCTATGAAGTAATAAGTATTTCAAGGCCTGTCAAATTAGATTTCTTCTCTCCCTGCACTTAGTTGACCTTTAATTATTTTGGTAGCAATGAGACAGACATTTTAAACCTAACGAACAAAGACAAGTCAAAATTCTATATGTGCCTGATTCTCCATCAGTGTCCAGGGAGTCCAGCTTGCTTCCAGCCCTCCAATGATAATCACCTGAACAAACATGCTCCAGGACACTGGTGCACACATATCTTTTCCAGTCACTGCTTTCACTTCCTTTGGGTATATACCTAGGAGTGGAACTACTGGGTCATGTGGAAATACTACGTTTATTTTTGAGGAACAGCCAGACTGTTTTCCACGTTGGCTGCAGCATTTTACGTTCATTCCAGCAACCTACAAGTGTTTCAATTTCTCCACATCCTCTCCAACACTTGTTATTTTCATTTTTTTTATTATAGCCATCCTCGTGGATTTGAGAATTTCATTGTTTTTTTCTTATTGTGGTAAAATATACATAATATAAAATTTACCATTTTAACAAATTTAAGTGTGCAATTCTGTGGCATTAAGCACATTCCCATAGTTGTGCAAGTAGCACCACCAACCATCTCCAGGAACTCTTCATCTTCTGCAATTGAAACTGTACCCACCAAACACTAACTCCCCATTCCCACCACCCCTCTGCCCCTAGCAACTACCACCCTGCTTTCTGTCATTATGAATTTGACTACTCTAGGTACTTCATAAGGTGGATCTGAACAATATTTATCCTTTTGTGACTGCCTTATTTCACTTAGCCTAATGTTCATGGTTTGTTCATGTTGTAGCATGTGTCAAAATTTCCTTCCTTATAAAGGCTGAATAAGATTCCAATGTATGTACAGACCACATTTTGTTTATCCATTCATCCAAGGATGGACACTTGGTTTGCTTCCACCTTTGGAATAATGATGCTATGAACATGGGTATTATGCCTGTAATCCCAGCACTTCAGGAGGCCAAGACAGGTGGATTGCTTGAGCTCAGGAGTTTGAGACCAACTGGGGCAACACGGCAAAACCCCATCTCTACAAAAAATACAAAAATTAGTCAGGCACGGTGGTGCGCACCTGTAGTCCAAGCTACCTGAGAGGCTGAGGTGAGAGGATTGCCTGAGTCTGGGAGGTCCAGGCTGCAATGAGCCGTCTTTGTGCCACTGCACTCCAGCCTGGGTGACAGAGTAACACCCTATCACACGTGTTCCCTTTCTCTCTCTCACACACACACACACACACACACACACACACACACACCTCTTTGAGTCCCTGCTTTCAATTCATTTGGGTATTTATCCAGAAGTAGAATTTGTTTGATTTTTTTGAGGGGTCACCATGCCATTTTCCACAGTGGCTGCACCATTTTACATTCCCACCAGAAATGCACAAGGGTTCTAATTTCTCCATATCTTGACCAACACTTGCTCCTTTCTTTCTTTCTTTTTTTTTTTAAATAATATAGCTGGCCAGGTCTGGTGGCTCACACCTGTAATCCCAGCACTTTGGGAGGCTGAGGTGGGCAGATCATGAGGTCAGGAGATCGAGACCATCCTGGCTAACACGGTGAAACCCCATCTCCATTAAAAATACAAAAAAATTAGCGGGTGCGGTGGCGGGCGCCTGTAGTCCCAGCTACTCGGGAGGCTGAGGCAGGAGAATGGTGTGAACCTGGGAGGCGGAGCTTGCAGTGAGCCGAGATCACGCCACTGCACTCCAGCCTGGGTGACAGAGCGAGACTCCGTCTCAAAAACAAAAACAAAAACAAGTTAATAATATAGCTATCCTGATGGGTGTGAAGTGGCATCACATTATGGTTTTAATTTGCATTTCCCCAATGATGAGTGATGAGCATCTTTTCAGGTGTTCACAGGACACTCGTTTATCTTCTTAGGAGAAATGTCTATTCAAGTCATTTTCCCACTTTTAAATTGGGTTGTCATTTTGTTTTGAGTAGTTCTATCCATAATCTGAATACATGGCATATATCTCTGGTCAAGATAAATGCTTTGCATATATTTCTTTCCATGTTATAGTTTGTCTTTTCACTTTCTTGACAATGTGCTTTGATGTACAAAAGTGTTTAACTTTGATGAAGTATAATTTGTTTATTTTTTCTTTCATTGCTCATACTTCTCTTGTCATATCTAAGAATCTACAGCCAGAGCCAAGGTCACGGTTTATGCCTATGTTTTCTTCTAAGACTTCCATAGTTTTTGCTCTTTTATTTAGGTCCATTTTGAGTTAACTTTTGATTATGATATGAGCTTGGAGTCCAACTTCTTTCTTTTGTAAGTACAAGTCCAGTTGTCCCAGCACCATCTGTTGAAGAGACTATTCTTTCTCCCATTGAATGAACTTGGCACCCTTGTTAAAGATCAGTTGTCCTTAGATGTATGGATTTATTTATGGACCCTCAATTATATTCCAATGGTCTAGATGTCTACTCTTATGCCAGTACCATGCTGTTTAGATTACTATACCTTTGTGGTAAGTTTTGAAATCTAGAAGTATGAGTCTTTCAACTTTGTTCTTTTTCAAGACCCTTTGGCTATCTGGGGACCCTTGGAATTCCATATGATTTTGAAGATTGGCTTTTCCATTTCTGCAAAAAGGGCTGTTGGAGTTTTGATAGGGATTGCTTTGAATCTGTAGAGAATTTGGGGTGTTGTCATCTTAATATTGTCTTTCTATGCATGAACATAGCAAGTCTTTTCATTTATTTAGGTATTTAATTTATTTGAGCAATGTTTTCAGTGTACAAGCCTTCACTTCCTTGGTTAAATTTATTCCCAGGTATTTCATTCTTTTAGATATTATTATAATTGTCTTATTGTTTTCCTTTTCAGATTATTCATTATTGGTGTATAGAAACACAACTAACTTCTATGTGTTGATCTTGTACCTGGTAACTTTGCTGAATTTGTTTATTAGTTCTAGTAGCTTTCTTGTGAATTCTTTGAGATTTTCTATATATCAAATCATGTCACCTGCAAATAGAGATAGTTTTGCTTCTTCCTTTACAATTTGGATGTCCTTTATTTCCTTTTCTTGTCTAATTGTTCTGGCTGAACTTCCAATAAAATATTGAACAGTGGTGGTGAATGTGGACATTCACCACATGTCAAATTCCTGATCTTGGGAAGAAGCTTTCAGTCTCTCACCATTGATTATGATGTTAGTGGTGGGTCTTTCATAAATGTCCTTTATCGTGTTGAGGAAGTTAAGGGAAAGTGAGTTTTAAAAATTCTATTCATAGAAATAATTGGAGGCCTAGAATGATAATATCTTTCTTTAGAGAGAATTTTCTATTGTTTTGCCAGCTCCTAGGGGCTTGTGCAATGCAGAATTGGGGTTTCTGGGCACCTGCAAAAAGAGGGAAGTTTGACTTATTTCCTGCTCCAGGGATGCAGCCATTTGGGGTTCTGTCACAAGGCAGGGGACTGGTTTACTGGGTCCCCACCTTTGGAGACTCCTGAACTCAAATTCATCTTTCTGATTCTGTGTGCAGCTGCCAGAGCTAGAAAGGCAGCCCACGTGCTGCACACACCTCTCCGCATTCCTTCTCCTATTGCATCTAGGCTTGGTGTTCCCTCATTATCTCCATAATCTTTGATACTTTTAAGGAGATACTTAAAAAAAGTCCCCCTGGTTTCTAAGTTGTCTTTAGTAGGAGAAGTAGCTGGTCTGACATTCCTAGAAGTAGAGTTTCTCCCCTATTACTCTTCCATAGGCAGAAATTGTGAGATCCAAGCACAACTCTCTACTGCGTAAGAGAGGCTACCAAGGGTCTAGATTCTTTCTCATCCATTATGTATGGACAGGTACAGGTCAAAAAGAGCAGGAATCTGAAACAAGCATGTGGTGACTGAGGCATTTGTAAGTGTTCCTTGTCTCCCCATGGTGCAAGCAGCCCTGAAACCTGTCTTTCAGCAAGAAGCTCAGCCACCTTGTCATGCTTTGCTTAAGAACAATGGTCTTGGCCGGGTGTGGTGGCTCACATCTGTAATTCCCAGTACTTCGGGAGGCCAAGGTGGGTGGATCACAAAGTCAAGCGATCTAGACCATCCTGGCCAACATGGTGAAACCTTGTCTCTACTAAAAATACAAAAATGAGCTGGGCATGGGGGCGTGCGCCTGTAGTCCCAGCTACTCAGGAGGCTGAGGCACGAGAATCGCTTGAACTCAGGAGGTGGAGGTTGCAGTGAGCTGAGATCATGCCACTGCACTCCAGCCTGATGACAGACTGAGACTCTGTCTTTAAAAAAACAAAAACAAAGAAACAAAACCCAAAAGAACAATGGTTTTGTCTATTAGTCCCATCTGATCCAGGGAGAATAAAAGCCATAACTTGGTTCCAGGGGTCTCCAAGAATCTTCTGTAACACTAGGACATGTATGATTATAATGCTTTTACAAGAGACAAACACTGAAGATCAAAGAGAGTCAATGAGTTGTCGTGATCAGTGCCAGGGAGGCTAAGCTCAGGCCAGCACCCTCTCTCCCTACCTTTCTCCTTCCCTTCTTTCTGTTCTTTTCCTCCCTTCCCTTTCATTCTTCTTTCCTTTCTTTCTTTATGATTCACTCCCATGAAATCAACTCACTTTAACTACTTTTATCTCCCTATTTATATCTCCAAATTGCAAGTGTTCATCAAGGTAACTTTGGCTGTTGCATTTAATACAACAGGATTAAAAAATTCTGTAAAACATAGTATGAAATAAAAATTTTTGGAGGCCATTGATTTGGACAGAGCTCCCACCAACAGACCAAATTAAAATGGAGTCAGTCATGCTAAAGTCCTAATCCACCAAGCTGAAACTCGGTTGTTTAGCTGACTTTATGAGAAATCAGGAGAAGGAGAGGAAGAGGGGTGGGGGAAAGACAGACACAGAGAGAAAGAGAGAGAGAGAGAGGGAGAGAGAGAGGGGGGGAGAGAGAGAGAAGAGAGAGAGAGAAAGAAGAGAGAGAATAGACAAATATCCAGAAAGGCCAGTTTGAGCAGACATGATAAGGAAGTTCCGTTTTAACCATTATGGGGAAAGTAACTTTGAAACAACTAATCTGCTTTTTGTTCCTCATTTCTACTTTCTTCAATCTTTTTCTGTCTATACATACTCACTGCCCACATGGCAGAGTGGAGTTCTCTGAACCTCTTATGATTCTGAGGGCTGCCTTATTCATGAATTGTTCATTGTTTAAGTAAACTCTGTTAAATTTATTTGTCTAAAGTTTTCATTTTATCAACAAAACTGCTTTTTCATTGATAGAAATGTGAAGTAAGTTTAATTTCTAGATCAGTCTCTCCCTTTGGATGCAAACGAAATTTTACAGCGAAAGTAGATCCCTCTCCTAACCCACCTTCACCAAAATCTCCTGCTGTATTGCTTGGAGCTCTCTTTCCGTACCTTTCTTAAATAAATAAATAAAACAAATCAATTCACATATATTTTGGAAGCATCTCTCATTCATAAATGGGAGATCACTGGAGGTCACCAACTGGCTCCCCCTTCTGTTTAATTCATCACTGACACCTCCGAAACATCTCCCAAACACACCCAATTCTCGACATCTCCACTAACCCCACTTTAATCCAAAACACTATCACCTCTTGCCAGCTGACAGTAACAGCCTCTGAACACTCTTTCACTTGGGCACCCCTCAACCCATTTTTGGTATTGTGGTCAGAAAACTCTTTTCAAATCTCCTTATCATCTGATTCCTTTTTTTTGGTGGGGGTGGGGTTGGGGGGGCACTGTGTAGTCTCCATAACACTGAACCCAGTGTGCCGCCAGTCTTCCCACTAGACCGAAAGTTCTCTGAGTACAGGGGGCTTGCAACTCATTCTTCGATCTTCAGTGCCTGGCACATAGTGGGTGTATACTATTTTTTGAATAGTATACAATGTCAATAAACTGTAATTCACTAATTTGTTAGGCTATTGTGTGTTTCTCTCTGAATCCCTTAAAGGCAGGGATTTTTGTCTGTTTTGTTCACTGATGTACCCTAAGAACGTAAAAAAAAAAAAAGCCTTATGATTAGAGAGCTCTTTATGAACTTTTGTTGGAGGAATGAATGAACGGATGAATGAATGAATGAATGAATGGGGGAGATGATCAAATGCGAACATAACTTCCTGCCAGTCCAGGGTCATGCCTTGTATTGTTTCAAGCTCTTAAAAAGTGCTGCACTGCGAACTTCTAGGCAGAAAATGTCTCCAGGAAATTGGAATTTGTACTGGAGTGCTTTAAACAATGCCGGCCAGAGGCTTAGTCCTGTTAAAGATAAGAACTGGGGGAGAAGGCAGCGTTTGGCCACGGGCCAGCATTTTGAGATCAGTCACTCTATCTGTGGAATTCCCTACCCCCTGTTCATCCCTTGGCCATCTCGTTAAATTGGAAAATAAATCCCATCCCTGCTAAAGTGTTGGCTGATAAAGGCTTGAGCTATAGCCCCTTCAAGGGGAATTTGCATTTTAATAGAGGATCGTCAAGCCCCAAAGGAATCAATATCTCTAACGGTGAAATTTCAAGCACCAGCAACCGAGATATTTTGGGACTACACTCTCTAGCGTTTCTCATCCAACAGTAAGGTCTGCTAGAAAGACACGGAAGAATGGTCTCAGGAAATGACCGGCCGTTTCCCTTTATTACTCTGAACTTTGCCTTTTCACGTCTGGTCCCTTCAGACTCCCTAACGCTGGTGATCTCTTAATCTGTCAATGCAGCCCTTTTCAACACAAGCAGAGTCTTAAAGTTGGCTCATCAACAGGGCCACAAAGGAATTATGGCAATCAAAACTTGCAGGATTTCCCGGTATTCCAAGGGAGCCAGTACTTAGATATTTTAAACTCTATGTTGGCAAGAGGGAGTGGAGATGGTTTAATCGGTTATTAATGATATTGCGCATTTAAATTCGTTTTGTGCAATTTTTTTTTAAAGCCCAAACTTTTAACTTGTATCAAAAGCATGCAAACCAAAGGTGGGTAAGGGACATCGTGTGTGTCCTGGCAATGTTCTCGGAATGTCCTCCAGAGCTGAGTTCTCTCAGCGGATGGCTTGGGAGATTCTCGAACTGCAGAAAAGCAGCATCTTGGATCTTGGATTTTTGCATTCAAGAGGCTCCTGTTCGCCACACCTGCGGCCCAGCGCTCGGAATTTCCCTCCTGTCTGCTCCCAGCCCGTCTCCCCGTCCTCAGCGCCCCGCGCGCCCATCCCGAGCCGTCCCCAGGCTCTGAAGGCTCGGCTGGCCCGCTGCCGCTATCGGGCCCCTCCGCGCAGCCGACCCAGGGCTCCGCCGCGGAGGCTGATGCCGTTGCCCTTGATGCGCTGCCGCCCCCGCTCTCCTTCCGCAGACCTGCAGCCGCCAGGGCGCGAGGCGTGAGCGCGGAGGCTGGGACGCCAGGACCGCACCTGCGCCTTCCCCGCCCCTCTCCCGGCTCCCGGGTCCCGGCTCCCGCTCCCGCCCCAGCTGGGGCCCAGCGCACGGCGGCGGGGCTCGCGCCCGGGGACGGCAGCGGCTCGCGCCCGGTACGGCAGCAGCGGCGGCGGCTCGCGCCCGCGCTCGGGCCGGGGAGCGCGCGGGGCGGGCGGGGGAGGGCGCAGCGCGGCGCGGCCGGCGGGCGGGCGGCGCGGCGGCGGCGGCATGGGCGCGGGCACCGGCGGGGGCTGCGGGCGCCCGGCTCCCCGCCCGGCCCGGCCCGCTCCCGGCGCGCGGCCGCCGCAGCCCTGGCAGCCGGCTGGGAGGCCGTCCCTGCACCCGGCGCAACTTGCCTCGGACCCTCTGTGAGGAGAGGCGGCGGCGCGCGCCGGGCCGGGCGGGAGCGGGCGAGGCGTGCGGGCGCCCGGCGCGATGCCTCCGGCCGGCGGCCCCCGAGCGCCGCGTCCCGCCGCGCTGCCCCGCAGCCTGTCCCGCCTGCGCGAGTGCCCGGGCCGCTCCCGCATCGTGCTGGCGCTCGGGGCCACGCAGATGGCGCTCGGATGCCTCATCGTGGCAGTCAGCTTCGCCGCGCTGGCGCTCACCACCTCGGCCCGCGTCCGCCACTCCTGCCCCTTCTGGGCAGGCTTCTCGGTGAGTGTCCGCGACCAGGCGGGGACGGGCTCCGGGGACTGCGCGGGCCGGGGGGGCTAGGCGCTGCGGCCGCCGGGACGCCACCGCGGGCGGCAAGTTCCGGCGGCCAACGCCGGGGCCGAGTAGCTGCAGCGCGGGGCGCAGTTCGAAACTCCGAGCAGAATAACTCCAGGGCCCGGCTCGCCGCTCTCGGAGCATCGCGTTCCCGCTCCTATTGCGCTGATTCCCGGAGTTACTTTTCTTGGAGGAAACAGCAGCCAGGCGCCCGCCGTCCTCCGAGCCCGCAGCGGCCGGAGGGAGCGCCGGGGACCGCGCGCGCCGGGGACACGACCTCGCCATCCGAGCGGCCGCGGCCGAGGCGAGGAGGTGGGAGCCGAACCCGGAGCGGAGCAGCATGTGGGCGCGCCTCTCACCCTCGCGGCGGCCCTGACCGGGGGCGGTGGGGGTGGGGGGTGGGGTGGGGGGGCGGGGGAGGGGCGCCTCCCGTCGGGTTTTGGGTCAGCCCGGATATCGGGGATCGGCCGGGCGGCCCCTGTGGTCGCTCGCTGACTTGGCTTCGGGGACTTCTGGTTTCCCGCGTCCGCCCAGAACGGCGTGGTTTGTGGGCGACGGGACTGGGCAGGCGACCCGCATCCGGCGTCCTGGGGCAGGGGGCAGGCAAGGGGGGGCGGCGTGCTTTCTGAGCTCCAGACCTTAAGGATGACCGATTTTCAGACTCTTAACCACCAAATCAGAGAAGCCAGTGGTGAACAAATCTCCATAGAAGAAAGACGTCTCGATTAAAGTGACTGTCCCCAAGAGTTAATTTTTGGCGTTTTGTAGCATTTTGATGAAAGTCGGTTTTTTTCCTATATTAACAAAGAATGGACGTTATGGGAATGGGAGAGATATATATGCAGAGCAGATATTTATGAAGAGAGGCACTTGTTCTGAGAACTCTTGACATCTGTAACTGCATTTGGTGGATCGTGCTGAAATACATCGCATAGGCTTGTAAACTCAGTATGTTTTACTTCCATCTACAGAAATCCAAACCAATCCTTTAAAACTAATGTTTGCTATTTGTTCTTGAGTTTTAAAATTTGAAAAATTCGTCCAGCTTTGCTTATTTGTTTATTTCATAATGGTCTTTGTTTTTTAAGTTCATTGCATGGCTTTTACCATAAGATCTGAGCAAAATTGCCTCTGGAACACCTCGATCGATACAGGTGTGGTTGTTCATCCTAATGGGAGTATTAATTTTCGAAGCGTATTTTAGATCAAGGGTGAGCCTTGGAGAGCTGAATAGGAACAACAGACTGTGTGGTCATAGCTGGGAGTATTCAAAGAAAAGAGAGGAGGTTGGAGGCAAGCACACGGGAGCCATGATTTAAATGCCCCTCTCTATATAGTTTTCACACATCTATTGCTCAGTTTTTACCATTATTTAATATGCATTGTTTTCATGTCTGTCTAGCGGGCACTGAGGTTTAAGTCTGCTGGAACCAGCCTACAGGTGGCAGACTGGTGAATTAGCTCCACTTCCTGGCTCCTCCCTGAGCCCGCCCTTCCTGGTTTAGCCTTGGGTTCCCAAGGGTGTGGAGAGAGAACTGCCTTTTAATAATAAACCTAAAGGGGAAAACATTAATTGGACACAGTAGAAAAGCTTATTTATGTGAAAAATGCACATCATCCCCTACATTTTAGTTTAAAGAGTTAAATAAATGTGTAAAACAGTTAATTCAGTTTGCTTTTGCAGTGTTATTCTCTTCAACAGCTCTAACCTATTCTTTTTTTTTTTTTTTTTTTTTTTTTGCCTTAAGAGGCAGGATCTCGCTCTTTTGCCCAGGCTGGAGTGCAGTGACACTATCATAGCTCACGGCAGCCTGGAACTGCTGGGCTGAAGCGATCCTCCTGCCTCTGCCTTGCAAGTAGCTAGGACTACAGGTGTGTACCACCATGCCTGGCTAATACTAAAAACATTTTTTTTTTAAGAGATGGGGTCTCGTTATGTTGCCCAGGCTGGATTCAAACTCAAACTCCTTATCTCAAGGGATGCTCCTGCCTCAGCCTCCCAAAGCACTGAGATTACAAGCTTGAGCCACTGTGCCCGACCTATAACCTGTTAGTTCTAGCTTCCTATGATTCTGAGCAATTCCACACAGTTCTCCTATGTATGGACATTACTCTAGGGTCTGGGGATCAACAATGAACACAGCACACTCTGCTTACATTTTGGAGATTATAAGATGACTTCTGTCCTGAGTCCTCCATCTCCCACCCTCCTGTCTGTTTTTTCATGGGCTTATTTTCTGTCTTCAAACTTACTTTGCTGCAAGCACCTTGAAAGTTCTTTCAGTACGGTACAGTGTATACCATTTTTCATCTGTTGTCTACAACACTTTGCAGAAATGATGATTGGTTCCTGCTGTGTTGAGACAGGTTTGCATGTTAACATGGTTGTGAGTGGGGAACACTGACCCATTGCCATATATATGCCTGCCCTCTGAGATTGGTGCAACTGCCTTGCCAAGGTTGTTCGTCATTTAAGAATGGCAGCTGGGATGGCTGGGCTGGCTTCATAAAGAAATCCATACTGTGGGGCTTAGGGCTGCCCTCTGGTTTCTCTAAATCTTCTAAAATGAGACCTATGTGCTCTTTAGCAACATATGGCTTTCTAGGCCCTCTCTGTGGTTTGCACATGGTGAAAACCCATTGTAGAAACAACTCTCCTGGATTTAAGAAACAAAATTATTAGCTAAGACAGACAGCCCATGCTTAGTGAGCACTTACTTATTGTGTGTGTAATAGCCTGTTACTCTGGTGGCCTCTGCCTGCTGGTGCTCAGGGTTTTGTGTGGTTCCCTCTCCCTGAGTTTGGACTGGGCCTCTGATTTGCCTTAGCCATTGGAACACAGCAGAACTGAGCCTGACTCTGTTCCAAGCCAAAGCCTCAAGAAATCTTGGTGCTTCTGCTGAGTAAACTAAGGGGAAGAGGGATGAGTGACTTACCCAAGGTCACTCAGCTATGAAGTAGCTTTGAACTTAGTTGCTCTGACTTTTTAGAGGCCAAACTCCTGCTAACGATTAGGCAGAAGGGGATGAAATAAAGCATGCTGGTAAAGGGGTCCACTTTAGCAAGGAGGCTCTCTCTTTCTTAGGAAAAGCATAAAACATGCCTGGAAAGGTGAAGATACAAGAGAAATTTAAGGAGCCATTCCACTGGACCAAGTTGAAGAAGTTTAAGGTTGAAAGGGGAGGACTCGGCAAGGTTGGAGACAGGGGTGGGTGTCAGGCCTGGCCGGAGGTCTGTGATGAATACAGAGCTGTGCAGTTTCCATTGTTTGAGGACCCCCTGCAGGTGGTTTTCCTGTGCCGGGCTGTGCCAGCCAGTGAGTCAGCAGGTGGATCAGTTCCCTTGTGGATAGATGTCCTGCCCATTTTGAGAGGTAATGAGCTGTGTTCATAGTTTAGAAGACTAAGAGAGCTGGATGG
This sequence comes from Homo sapiens, assembly GCF_000001405.40. Lineage (NCBI taxonomy): Eukaryota > Metazoa > Chordata > Mammalia > Primates > Hominidae > Homo > Homo sapiens. The sequence goes on along the minus strand of NC_000015.10, from coordinate 29,567,031 downwards.
AGGTCTTGAATAGTTATCCTTTAATAGAGTAGTTTGTTATTTTTCTTGGAGATTTTATTAATGCCCAGAACTCAGGGACAAACAGCTACATTGTGAGTTATCCACATTACCAGTTACATATGTTGGTAAAGACGTAGCCATTGGAAGCTGACTCTGTGTGTGTGTGTGTGTGTGTGTGTGTGTGTATTTTTCCTTTAAAAAGCAACTCCACTGGATTTTTTTCATACTCTGAAATTAATATATAAAAAGTAAAAATAACTGAAGATAAAAAAGTGACTGGGCATGGTTGGCTCATGCCTGTAATCCCAACACTTTGGGAGACTGAGGCGGGCGGACCACTGGAAGTCAGGAGTTGGAGACCAGCCTGGCCCACATGGCGAAACCCTGTCTCTACTAAAAATACAAAAAATAGTCAGGTGTGATGGTGGGCACCTGTAATCCCAGGTACTTGGGAGGCTGAGGCAGGAGAATTGCTTGAGCCCAGGAGGCGGAGGTTGCAGTGAGCCAAGATCACTCCACTGCACTCCAGCCTGGGGGACAAGAGTGAAACTCCATCTCAAAAAAAATAGGTTGGGTGCGGTGGGTCACGCCTGTAATCCCATCACTTTGGGAGGCCGAGGCAGGTGGATCACGAGGTCAGGAGATCGAGACCATCCTGGCCAACATGGTGGAATCCTGTCTCTACTAAAAAAAACAATACAAAAAACTAGCTGGGCGTGGTGGCAGGTGCCTGTAGTTCCAGCTGCTCTGGAGGCTGAGGCAGGAGAATGGCGTGAACCCAGGAGGCGGAGCTTGCAGTGAGTGAGATCGCGCCACTGCACTCCAGCCTGGGCGATGGAGTAAGACTCTGTCTCAGAAAACAAACAAACAAACAAACAAAAAATATATATACACACACATACACACAAACAATGTATAGCTTTCGCCTACCCCAATTCTCTACCCATAGACCACCAACATTACCAGTGTTGTTTAATGCAATCCTTCCATGCTTCCCTTTACAATCATAAAATGTATTAGAATTTGTATATATATGTATGGAAAATGTTTCTTTTCTTTCTTTTTTTTTTTGAGACAGAGCCTTGCTCTATCGCCCAGGCTGGAGTGCAGTGGCGTGATCTCGGCTCACTGCAAACTCCGCCTCCCGGGTTCATGCCATTCTCCTGCCTCAGCCTCCCGAGTAGCTGGGACTACAGGCGCCCGCCACCACACCCTGCTAATTTTGTATTTTTAGTAGAGATGGGGTTTCCCCGTGTTAGCCAGGATGGTCTCTATCTCCTGACCTCGTGATCCGCCTGCCTCAGCCTCCCAAAGTGCTGAGATTACAGGCGTGAGCCACCGCACCCGGCCGGAAAATGTTTCTTTTCTTTTTAAAAACAATTTACAAAAATGACATTATACCACCCATATTACTCTGTAACTTCTTTTAAAAATTTAATGTATAACGAATATTCCCAGCCATAACTCATTATTATTATTTTTTAACACATTATCTTTAATGGCTGTGGAGTAGTCCAAAGTATGAATTATTACAAGTTATTCAGTTATTCTCCTGCTGGGAATAATCTCTACCAGTTCTATGTGTCTACAAACAGTGCTGCTTATCCAGCCTGAGATGCCACTGCTTTTTTTTTTTTTGAGGATAGATTCCCCAAAGTGGAATTGCTAGCTGATGAGTATTCAAATTGGGAGTTTTGTTAGCTATTTCTGGATTAATTTTCACAAAAGAATGTAGGCACATCCACCCACAGAAGCCTACAGTGTGTGCCCCTTTTTCTGTCCTCTTGCAGCGTGGGATATTAGCAAGGCTGAGCATTTTTATTAATTTCATAGAAGCAGAAAGATATTTCATTGGATCTGAATTTCCATGGATACTTTATTATGTGTTGCAAATATTTTCTCATTTTGCTTAATTTTTGATGTCTTGCCAGATAGAAAACTTTAAAACTTTTAATATAGTGCATCAATTTTGGGAGTACTGACAGTTTTATCATATTAAATCTTCCAATTCAGAAACAGAGTATGTCTCTTCATTTCTTTGTTCCTTGTTTTATGCCCTTCAGAACATGTTTTATGGGGATGTATTCATGGTGGCAAAGTAGTTTTTCAGTCTCCCCTGAACTCTTCCTGGAAGCTAAACCAATCAGCAAGACAGCCATAGATAAAGCTCAAAGAGGATATGTCAACAAAAGTGTTGGGGACTCTCTCCCCACTCCTTTATTCCCAGGACTGGGTGGGTTTGGCCAAACCACCAGCATCAGAAGGACCTGGAGAAGAGCCGCAGTGGCCTCAGGGGAGTGATGGGAAATGAAAGAAACTATTGACAGGTGGTGGAACCCAAAAACTACCATGAGCTGCTCACCCTTTAAAGTAGGATGGAAGTCTGGTGGGCAGACCTGAGAGCAACTGGCAAAACTGGAAAGGGGCTCCCAGGCTTCTGGCAACAGGTGAGAGCAACTAACTGTGTGTGGACCTGGGAGAATCAGCGTCGATGTGGTGGCAGAGGCCTTGGAGAATCTTAGAAACGTACAGTAAGTCCTCCCTTCTAAGCACCTCACCTTGAGCAGAAATTACTGGAAACATACACCAAGTTAAGCAGAAGACAGATGGCGAGAGAAAATAGGTTCAGATGGTGGAGATATGGAAGGGGACCCCCAAGGAAAAAGATCTCAAAAACTGCTTTAACAGTGAAAGATAACATCAAAAGCTGAGAGCATATAGCCTTGGAAAAGAAGGACTTCAAAGTTCTAGAGCTGGAGCAAAGGACTAGAGGCAAGAGATCTTTCTGAGCTTTACAAAGGTTCTGGACTTGATGCTGGGAAACAAGTGGGTACCTGGAGAATTCCTATTTTGAGTCTTTCACAGATCAGTAGAGCCAAATGGGAAAGGTATCCTAGTCCATCCCTTTATTAGGAACTTTCCTGATCTATTGGGAACTTCCTCCTAATAGATCAGGAAAATCCACCTCATTTAATCATGGACAACAAAAAAGGAATACGATCCAGCCTCATGCAACATTTATTCAGTGAAAACATGATGAAAATGAACATAATGGTACTACTGAAAATGAGAGCACACCAGAAAAATTATAAATTAATATTTCAATATAAGCTAAAAGAAAATAAAGTTTCCTAAGAGTAGTATGAATCAGAAACTTTATTTTACTTATTTATTTATTTATTTATTTTTATTTTTGAGGCAGAGTCTCGCTGTGTTGCTCAGGCTGGAGTGCAATGAAGCAATCTTGGCTCACTACATCCTCAGCCTCCCGGGTTCAAGCGATTCTCCTGCCTCAGCCTCAGCCTCCTGAGTAGCTGGGATTACAGGTGCTTTCCACCACACCCAGCTAATTTTTGTATTTTTAGTAGAGACGTGGTTTTGCCATGTTAGCAGGCCGATCTTCAACTGCTGACCTCAGGTGGTCCACCAGCCTTGGCCTCCCAAAGTGCTGGGATTATAGGCACGAGCCACTGCTCCCATCCTGAATCAGAAATTGTAAAAACTACAAAAGATATGGCTAGATGACAGGAAATTATGAAAGGAGAACAGAGAGATGTCAGAAAAGAATTTGGAAAAATGAGTTTCAAAAATGAAGACTTAATTAGAAGGAACATGGGAGCAAATAGATATTCTTAGGAAGCACAGAAATAAAAATAGAGGGTGAAAAGGAGAAAAATAATAAAAAAAAGAAGGTGATATAGTGAATTAAAGGAATGTAGGACACAGGCAAAGGAGGTTCAATATATGTATAATTAGTGTCCAGGGACAGAAAAACAAAGCAATAGAATAGCATAAATATTTAGAACTATAATGCAAGAAAACCTTCCTAAAATAAGATTTGAAAGGTTACATTGTGTAACTGGGAAAAATCAATGTAGAATAGTCAGCATTGACATGTTTCCCTGTAAAATAATGGATTTTAAAGATAAGGAGAAAAACTTGACAGGGCGTGGTGGCTCACACCTGTAATCTCAGCACTTTGGGAGGCTGACGCAGGTGGATCACATGAGCCAGGAGTTGAAGACCAGCCTGGACAACGTGGCAAAACCCTGTTTCTACTGAAAATACAAAAAATTAGCTGGGCATGGTGGCACACAGCTGTAGTTCCACCTACTTGGGAGGCTGAGGTGGGAGGATCACCTGAGTCTGGGAGGTTGAGGCCACAGTGAGCTTCGATTGCACCACTGCACTCCAGTCTGGGTGACAGCGAGAAATCCTATCTCAAAAACAAAAACAAAAACAAATACAAAACAAAAACACCAAAAAAAACCAACAACAACACACACACATAGACAGAACCCTCCCTTGGGCATCGGGTAAAAAGTCCTAGTCATTTGAAGATATAGTACACTGGAATGCTCATAGCCAAATTCTATGCTAATAAACAATGAAACTCTGTCTTAATATTGTTTTCTGGAAATTTTTTGAAATAATTTCTAACTTATAGAAAAGTTACAGAACAGAACCAAGAATTCCTGTGTCTCTTCTCTTAAATTCCCGAATTGTAAACATGTTATTGCATTTACCCCATGGCTTGAGCTTGTGCACATTGTCTTTCTCAAGGTAAAAAAATTCTCAATTATCATTAGTCTTTTTCTCAGTGTTTTGGGAGAAAGCTGTGGACATGATGTTGCTTCACCCCTAAAAAACTCAGTGTATATTCTCACCACTCATGGATGCTCTTTATGTACTCATCATAAACCTCTCCAAATTAGGAAAACAACATTGGAAGAACATTGTTATCCAATCTGTAGACCCCATTCCAATTTCATCACCTGACCAAGTAGTGTTTCTTTTTCCTCTCTGGCCCAGGGTCCTACCCAGGAACATGAGCATTCCTTGTGTGTCTTCACTCTCCTCAGCCTTCCTCTCTGTTTCACGTTTTCCACAGTTTTGAAGGGCACAGGCCTTGCATTCTGTAGGATGACCCTGAACCTGGATCCATCTGATTATCCTCATGGGCAGACTTGGCTCATGCATTCTTGGCAGGACAATCCCAAAGTTGATGCCATGCTTTTCTCAGTGCATCGCATCAGGAGGCGTTGATGTCAGCCCTTCTCACCATTGGCGATATTCACCTTGATCACCTAACATTATTGCTGTCCTCCAGGTGTTATCATTTTAAATTCACCATTTCCCCTTTAATTATAATTTGTGTAAGGAAGTCTCAGATTATGCCAATATCCTGTTTCTGGTCAAACCTCTCTCTTTCAACTTCACATCCGTTGATGATTGCCACCCAAACCAGCCTCCTCTACGATGATTGCCAAGTCATAATTTTATATTTCCGTTCCTTGTACATTTATTTATTTATTTATTTTATTATTATTATTATTATAATTTTGAGATGGAGTCTCGCTCTGTTGCCCAGGCTGGAGCGCAGTGGCGTAGTCTCGGCTCACTGCAAGCTCTGCCTGCTGGGTTCACGCCATTCTCCTGCCTCAGCCTCCCGAGTAGCTGGGACTATAGGCACCCGCCACCATGCCTGGCTAATTCTTTTGTATTTTTAGTAGAGATGGGGTTTCACCGTGTTAGCCAAGATGGTCTCGATCTCCTGACCTCGTGATCGGCCTGCCTCAGCCTCCCAAAGTGCGGGGATTACAGGCGTGAGCCACCACACCCGGCCCATTCCTTCTACATTTATTAATTGTTATTCTACTGTAGGAAGAGCTTTTCCATTCTCTCCTATGTATGTATGTATATATGTATGGATTTATGAATTCATTTTAGAACATGGGGGTGCAGATATTTCTTCATTCATACTGGTTTCATTTCCTTTGGATATATACCCAAAGGTGGAATTGCTACATGGGATAGTTCTATTTTTAAGTTTTAAAGGAGCTTTCATGCTGTTTTCCGTAATGGCTGTACTAACTTACCTTCCCACCAGCAGAGAAATTGTTCCCCTTTCTCCGTATCTTTGCCAACACTTGCTGTCTTTTGTCATTGTGAGAATAGCCATTGTAACAGGTGTGAGATGATATCTCATTGTGGTTTAGACTTGCATTTCCCTGATGATTAGTGATGTGGCAACTACTCAACCCTGCCATCATTGTGTGGAGGCAACCATAGACCATTTATAAATGAATGGGTATAACTGTGTTCCAGTATAACTTTGTTTGCAAAAGCAGCAGGCCAGATTTGGCCTAGGGATCATAGTTTGTTGACCTCTGGTCTACAAGATTGGGTCTGAAATTTCCCATGGACAGTGTGTGGAATAAAGACATTTGCTAATTTCCATGTTGCTGTGGGACATGTTGAACATAGCAGAGAGGGAAGAGCCAGGTGCTGCCACAGGGCCCTCAATGGTGGGCAAACAGACCTCCCTAGATGAGGCTGTGGGGCAGACATCCATAGCTGGAACCTGTGGAGACTGTAGCCCAGTCTCAGAGCATCCTCAGGGCCGCCCAAAACAGAGGTGTGGCGGAGCAGCAAGGTGAAGTGGCCATGCTCCCTGGGAATGATGACTGTGCAGTGAGTGCCCCTGCAAGGGACACCCTGGCAGTGGACACAGCAAGGGCAGGGCTGACACTGAGAGATGGGGCCAGCGGAGCTTCACTGCAGCTGGTCAGCAGGAGGACATTCCTGGGCCCAGGCTTCTCTCTCTCTGCCCCACTGGACACTTCTGTCACTCACACAGGTCTCTGCATTTGAAGCTGTTACCTCTCTCCTCTTGACATACCCTATTGCTGACTTTACATCTGCACTTGGACAAGTCATAGACACTTAAAATTCAGGATATCCCCAACCAAGTTGCTCATTTCCCCTCCAAATAAGTGTCTTCTGCTCTGTTTTCAAGGAGTGGAACCACCATTCACCCAGTTCCTCCAACCAGACACCAGTGGTCCTTCCTAACGTAGCCTCTTGTCATCCTACTGATTCTTCTTCAAAAATACAGACTTCTGCCTGCTGTGTCTCTCTTACCCAGATTATTCTGGTAGCCCCGTAAGTGGCTTCTCCACTTCTGCTCTTGTCCTCTCAATTTCCCCTTCACACAGCATCCGGAGAATCTTTATGATGCAAATGTGAAATGTCATATTCAGTTCCAGTTTTGTGGACCAGGTATTGGGACTAACCCAACGTCTAAGAGCTAGCAAAGCTGGGTAGGTTGAATATGGGTTAGGTCAATGTGGTAGATGGAACTGTGGTCCCCCAGAGAAGTCCACATCCTAATCCCTAGAAGCTGTGAATCTGTGTCTCACATGGCAAAAAGGGACTTTGCGGATGTGATTCGGTTAAGGATCTTGAGAGAGGGAGACTATCCTGGATTATGTAGGCAGGCCCTGTGTAATCACAGGGGTCCTCCTGAGAGGGAGACAGAAGATCTGAGTCAGTAGTAGGAGGTGGGATGATGAACGCAGTGACTGGAATGATGTGAGGAAGAGAGTTATGAGCCAATGAAGGCAGGTGGCCTCTGGAAGCCCGGAAAGGCAGGGAAGCAGATTCTCTCCTGGAGCCCCCAGGAGGATCGAGGCTTGTGACCCCTTGAATTTAGCCCAGTGAGACTGATTTGCACCTCTGACCTCCAGAATGTAGGATGATAGCTGTGTGTTGCTATAAGTCACCAGGTTTGTGGCAATTTGTTACAGCAGCAATAGGAAACTAATGCTGCTGAGGCATTCTGGGGACACAGGAGGGGAGAGTTGTTTACCTGCTGGTGGTCCAAAGATGATTAGTCAGAAATCCAGGGGGGCTCAGTCACCTTGCACACAGGCCTGTGTGAGGTGAGGGGAACAGGCGTGGCTTCCACACTGTTTAGATCCAAGGGCCCCCTCTGGTGAGTGCTGGTGGGTGGGTACAGTCATCTGTATGTGAAACTGTAACTGGATCGATCACAAGAACTAATGAGTGCTTACTTTTTTTGCCAGACGCGATTCTAACAGTGTTTCATATCAACTTATTTAAGCCTAGCAGTAAACCCTGGGGAATGGGTACTACGTCTTGTCCTCATTTTGTACAGCTGACCCTTGAACAGTACACGGTTAGGGGCACTGACTCCCTCTGCAGTTGAAAATCCACGTGTAACTTTTGACTCCTCCAAAACGTAACTACTAATAGCCTCATATTGACTGGAAATGTAAATAGATGATTAATACATCTTTTGTATATGCGTTATATGCTGTATTCTTACCATAAAGTAAGCTGGAGGAAAGAAAATATCATTAAGAAAATCATAGGGAAGAGAAAATGTATTTACTATTCATTAAGTGGAGGTGGATCATCATAAAGATCTTCATCTTTGTCGTCTTCCCACTGAGTGGGCTGAGGAGGAGGAGGAAGAGGAGGACTTAGTTTTGCTGTGTCAGGGTGGCAGAGAAGGAAGAGGTGGAGGAGGTGGATTTTCAACTGCAGAGGGAGTCAGGAGAGGCTGGCACACTTGGTGTAACTTTGACTGAAAAAAATCCATGTATAAATGCACCTATACAATTCAAACCTGGGTTTTTCAGGGTCAGCCGTAGATTGGAGATTGCCTGGGAAGCCCCACCTGGGTGAAGGGTTTGAGGGGAGGTTGGGGAGGGATGTGTGCAGAAGATGGGTGACCGGCCGGGCTGGTCTGGGAGGTCGTGAAGAGGGCGGGCATGTACTGAGCCTGGGTGCTGCGGGCCAGCTTCGGGCCTGTGCCATGGTCTGCAGAGATTAAGCATGTTTGGAAGTCCATGTAGCATCACTCATCCTACCTGGTGGGCTAGGATGCTGGAGTGGGAGAGGGAGACCCCAGGCGTGGGAAACAGCAGAGCCATTCTCCCGTGGGGTGGCTTCAGAGGCCTGCTAGGCAGCGTGGGCAGTGTTCACATGATGACAGGCTGCTCCTCTCTGAGTGCCCTCACACCTCTTTCTCTCCTTTTTCCCTTGTTTCCAGGAGCAAGAAACCCCACCCCCAGATCTCTGGGGAGGGGAGTATTTTATGAGGGGCAGGTATCCGCTGGCACAGGTGGGTGTTGAAGAAAAGTTTGTAGAATGATTGAAGAATGACTGCCTAATTCCTTAACCTCTCTGAGCCTCATTTGATCATTTGTGAAAAGGGGGATTGACTTATTGCTGTTTCCAAACCATATTGCACTGTGGTTTAGGAGAGCTAGAGAAAATTGTCACTTTACCCATTGCAGTTATCCAGGTATCTGATAGTGTGATGCTCCAAGATAGGCATGAGCGGTTGGCACAGGTTTCTGGGAATAATGTTGGGGGACAATTCCTGAGAGTTCCCAGTGAGGGGAAACAGAGGAACTTGGTAAGGGCAGGCTGAGCTCGAAGGGGAGAACGGGCACCTCCCTAAAGATCCAGGTGGTGAAACAAGGTCCCACTAGGTATTTTTACAACACAGTTTCTGTAAACAAGTTGTCATTTATTCCTTTTTGGCCCCAGATGAGTGCTACACAGTGCCTGCTAGGGCAAACATGAAGTGGGTGTGGGTATGAAGCAGTCCCACCACTTCTCCCCTCCCGTGTCTCCGATGGGGACCCACATCATCCAGATAACTAGCTTCTTGGTTCCAGCAGCGGTCTCTTGAATGGGCTCTCAGAATTATGTAGATGCAGCAGGTGGCACTTTTGGGGAGGGTGGAGAGAGGGGCCTGTGATCAGAATTGTTTGCATCTCAACCCCTGCTCTGCTCCCTGGGATCCTCAACTGTGGAGCTCGTCCCTGGGAATGAGGTGGAGCAGCTGGCATCTGCGCTTTGGGCTGTCAGAGAGAAGACACTAAAACCCCGTCGCTGCTCCCTGAGGGAGAGTCAAAGTTCGGGTCACCTAAGGTGGTATTGATCTAAGTCTCTTCACCTGAAAGAGCCCTTGAAAGCACAGTGGGAACTCATCAGGCAGGGAGGGGAGCCTGGGCCAGAGACCCAGCATTAACACAAGGGCCTGAGACAGGGCTGGGGCCAGCCAGGTTTGCTGGTGAGGGGCTGTTCTAGATATCTGACACATGACCGGCAGTGTTTGAGAAAGACTAATCTTTTACATCTGTGTTCTTTCTAAGTCAGGCAGTCCCCTTGCAGAGGAACTAGTGGATTATTTGCTCATAGACAAACTTATCAGCTTCGAAGAAGGAATACCTTGAGCATTATGCACTCCCAGGTGTTTCAGGGCGGAATATCCACCCCTTTGGCCATGGGATGGAGCGCTCTGGGGCCTGAGGTGGCTGCCCCATCCTGCACCCAGTCACATTGTGCCCCAGTCACACTGGCGGTGGGTGATGAGAGCCGGAGTTGGAGTAGAACAATCATGGGGACCACAGGTGGGGAACTGAATCCACATGTGGGGCGGGGGGGGGGCACCTGCATGGGGCTGAAGCCAGGGGAGAGAGAACTTCAGAGGACAGAGCCTTGCATGGAAGAAGAGACACTGATGGAGACAGCGAGATTTGAGAAGGCAGGAGAGACAGAAATGTGCGGGAGTCAGCCGGGTGTGTACCCTGAGAGATCTTGCAAGAAAGGCTCAGAGTCAGTATCTGTTTTTATTATTCTTGGCAAAACTGGTTGTTGACATTTTTTGGGCATGAAAATACTGAGTTAACTAATGAGTAAGGAAACATTTAAAAATGTTCTCTGTTCCTTGGGAATTTCACAAGAAATTTTCCTCCCTCCCTCCCTTCCTTCCTTGTGAAGAATGACTGCCTAATTCTTTAATCTCTCTGAGCCTCATTTGATCATTTGTGAAAAGGGGGATTGACTCTTATTGCTGTTTCCAAACCGTACTGCACTGTGGCTTAGGAGAGCTAGAGAAAGTTGTCACTTGACCCATTGCAGTTATCCAGGAGATAACTGTCGGAGAGATCCTTCCAACAGGGTCTCTCTCTACAGCCCAGGCTGGAGTGCAGTGGCAGGATCACGGCTCACTGCAGCCTCAACCTCATGGGCTCAAACGATCCTCCCACCTCAGTCTCCCAAGTAGCTGGGGCTACTGGCATGCCACCACTCCCGGCTAATTTTTTAATTTTAATTTTTGTAGAGAGGAGGTCTCGTTATGTTGCCCAGACTGGTCTCAAACTCCTGGGCTCAAGCGACCCACCTGCCTTGGCCTTTCAAAGTGTTGGGATTACAAGCGTGAGCACCGTGCCTGGCCAGGAATTCCCCTTCTTCGGGAAGAAGCTGTCCTACCCATGCGGGAGATTCAGAGGTGGGTGCGGGGGAGCTTTGACAGGGGTGTGGGCACAGGTGGTGGTGAAGAACGAATGGTTCCATTTGTGCACAGGAGTGTGTCTGACTCTGACCCCCAGGTCATGGGGGACCCAGAGCACAGTGGGCTCTGTAAAAAGGAAAGAGGTAGGAAAGAAGGATGCAACTCTCAGAGGGGAGTTAGGGAGGGCTTGGTGCCTTTCTTCCTGGTGCCCATCTTTTCTAGTTCTGAGCTGATCTAGCATATGCCTGCCTGGCGCAGGTGGGGGATCTGGGAATATGCAAATAGCCAGCTCACTGGGGTGGGTCACCCTGAGCAGCGTGGAAGGGCTGCATTTACAGAGAGTGCTGCTCGTCATGGTGGCTGCTGCAGTGGGACCATGCAGGCTTTCTTATAATTACAATAGAATGAAAATATTTTAACAGTTTAATACTTTGTTGTTATAGGGCTTTATTCTTTCAAATTATTTTATTTAAAAAAATACCATTCAGTTATTTTTGGAAATACAGAGTACCAAAAGAGAAAACCAACCTTGTCCGGTCTAGTAGCCCCAATTCTTTCTTTGGGGAGAAGCTGTCAAACACTGACTCATGGTCCAGGTAACCCTAGCGGGCATTGAAAGGACAAAAGTAAAAGTTGTACAGCATCTTGTTAGAAAATTCAGGTGCTACGGAGAGGTACCAAATGAAAAACCCAAATCTCTCTCCTCTCCCCAGAGGTGTTCCCCGAGGAAAGGGGGATTTCTTCCAGATCATAGATGAGTATCCTTCCCTCTTCCCCGGTTCCTTCTCTCTCTGTGAGTCAGAAGAGGAGATACTGTGCACACAGTTCCAGCCTTTCTTATTGTCACCTAACAGTGTCTCATGTAGCTGTTTGTCAGTGGATATAGCTCATGTAATTTTTAAAAAGTCTTATGGTGCTCTATTGAATGACTATAATGTAATTTATTTAATAAGCTCCCATTGAGCTGACATTTTTGTGTATCTCATTTTTGTCATAACATACTTGGAAGTATTGCTAACGTGTGTAAGAATGTTCATGGGGTAATTTCCTAGCCAAGAGGTTTCTAGGTCAAGAGGTCCATGCCTTTTAGATGGAAATAGATTTTTCAAATTGCCCCAAGGACAGGCTGAACCGTTTGCAAAACCCCACAGCAGTAGGTGAGAATACCCGGGCCCTTCCCTGGCTCAGCGCCACAGCCACCTCCTCCAAGAGGCCTCTCTGAGCACTCTATTTTAAGCAGCACTTTCTCTTATCCTGATTTTTATTTTCCTTCAGCACACTTAATACTATCTGAAATTTCTTTTTCACTAAAATCTAAATCCCATAAAGACAAAGATTTTGCACAACACAGTGTCTCTCTAATGCCTAGCTTGTGGTGGACCTGTAGATCTTCAATATTTGTTCAATGAATTTATGAATGGATTTTGATTCATTATGTTGTTAAATGTGATAGGGCCAATCCCCTTCGGCTCTCCTTCCCCCTTCCCTCCCCTTTCTTTCCTTCCTTCCCTCCTTTCCTCCCTCTCTCCCTCCCTTCCTCCCTCCATCCTTTCCTTCCTTCCTTACCTTCCTCACTTCCTTCCTTCCTTTTTTTTTTTTTTGAGACGGAGTCTCGCTCTGTCGCCCAGGCTGGAGTGCAGTGGTGTGATCTCGGCTCACTGCAACCTTCTGCCTCCTGGGTTCAAGCAATTCTCTTGCCTCAGCCTCCTGAGTACCTGGGATTACAGGCAACGCGCCACCACACGCAGCTAACTTTTGTATTTTTAGTAGAGACGGGGTTTCAACATGTTGATCAGGCTGGTCTCAAACTCCTGACCTTGTGATCTGCCCGCCTCGGTCTCCCAAAGTGCTGGGATCACAGGCATGAGCCACCGTGCACGGCCCCCTTCCTTCCTTTTAAATGGAATTCCAGTTACTGTTGTAACATCACAAGTTATCCTCAAACTTAGCAGTTTAAAACAGGTGTTTTATTTTGTTTATAATCTTGTTGGTGAGGAATTTGGAACGGCTCTGCTGGGTGATTCTTGCTTGAGGTCTCATGTGATTGTGTTGGATATCAGCTGGGGTTGTAACTCATCTGAGGACTCGACAGGGTGGGACATCCCAGACGTCCCACTCACATGGCTGGCAGTTGTGGCCTGCTGGCAGCTGGGGCCTCAGCCACGTGTATACTTGTAGCTCCTCCAGCACTGTGGTCTCAGGGTAGTTGGACTTCCTACATGATGGCTGCTTCCCCCAGAGCTAGTATCCCAAGAACACTAGGTGGAAACTGCTTGCTTTTTCCAGCCTAGGCTCACAAGTCTCATGGGGCCATTTCCTCTGTACTCAGTTGGCTGAAGCAGTCACAGACCTGCCAGCATTTAAGGGGAGGGGACATAGGCCCTACCTCTTGATGGGAGGAAGACAAGGGTCACACTGCAGAAAAGCATGTGGAAAATACAAACAGCCACACCTGGTAATTCTCGTGTATTTTTTTTCAGATTACTATTAGTATCATTTTGCTGAGTTCCAAAGTAAGTTCCCAAATCCTCCTGGTATTTTAATTGGTTTGCAGTAAATTTATGAATTGATTTAGGGAGAATTAACAACTTTACAGGTTTTTTTGTTTTTGTTTTTGTTTTTGACAGAGTCTTGCTCTGTTGCCCAGGCTGGAGTACAGTGGTGCGATCTCAGCTCACTGCAACCTCTGCCTCCTGGGTTCAAGCAATTTTCATGCCTCAGCCTCCCAAGCAGCTGGGATTACAGGCATGTGCCACCATAAGTGGCTAATTTTTGTATTTTTAGTAGAGACGGGGTTTCGCCATGCTGGCTAGGCTGGTCTTGAACTCCTGGCCTCAAACGATCTGCCCGCCTTGGCCTCCCAAAGTGTTGGGATTACAGGCGTGAGCCACCACACCCGGCCAAGTTTACAGTATGAAACATTCCAATCCAAGCACATGGTGCTACTTTTAATTTCTCCTTTTTGCCTCATTGGAGAACTTTCCAGTTTTCTTCATGTAGGTTCTGCCCACATCTAGTTCAGATGTGCCGTTCTTTTCAGGAGTTACTGTGAGTGGGGTCTTTTCAGCTGTTTTCTCAATGGTTTTGCTTGTTTATAGGAAAAAGGTACTTTAAAATTCTGCAAACAGTCAACTTGCTAACTATTCTAATTCTTTCTAATAATTTAAAAATTGGATTCTCTTGTTTTGTAGACGTGTAACATATCATTTTCCAATAATAATAATAATTTCTCTCATCTGCATCTATTGTTATCATAGATGTTTTAAGTCCTAATTCTTTATAATCTAGTTTGTGGGGTTTTTTTCTGTTGCCAATTTTCCTCGTTTTTTGTTATTATTATTATTTTTAGAGATGGGGTCTTGTTATGTTGCCCAGGCTGGCCTTGAACTCCTGGGCTCAAGTGATCCTCCCACCTTGGCCTCCCGAATAGCTGGGACTACAGGTGTACACTCTGGTGCCCTGCTTTCCTTTTTGTTATTTGAGTGTGTGCGTGTACTGTTTCCCTTCTGGTGCTTTGGACGGTTTAGAGTCTACTTTTAGTTTTTCCAGTGGTTACTCATATAACTCTGTATATTTGTTATGTATAACCTTCTGTTTCTTGATTTAGCAACTCTTAAATTATATCTATTGTTCACTTGCTATGAAAAATGAAAAAATTATCACATTTCCCCTTCTGTCTCCCGAGTTTTTTTGTTTTGTTGTTGGCTACATTTTCACTTTAAATCTCAGGCCGCCTCTGTTTCTAGGTTTATGAATTTTAGGCCATATCTTGAGGACTGCTCATCAAGATGGGGAGAGGAAAGGAAGGCCCTTATGTGTCTTTCCATTTCCCACTCCATGCTGTCCAATTTAGGAGACTGTTCCTTTGACATTGTCACGTTTAAGCATTTACCATCTGTAACCACAGGGAAGGGTTTCTTGCTTTTCTTCCAGCAGGGAGTCACAGCATTTTTTCCATCTCTGGAAAAAATAGATGACATGAAGGTTTTGGGGAAAATGCTACTTATTCTCTGGAGGCTGCCTTCAGCTCTTTCCCTTCTGTTATTCTTTAAGATGGGAGCTGTTAGGGAAATGGTTCAGGGTTTTGTTTACTTGCTTCTCCCTTGCTTCTTGCTTCCAAAAAGCCACGAGGACCAGCTTTGCTTTGCTGTTGGATTTTGGTGAAGGAGTATTTTAATACTGGGGTTTGCTCTGCCACCTTCTTGATCTTTTTTTTTTTTTTAAATAGGCATTTGATAATTCAGCATATATTGTTAAAAGTGAAGTAGTCCCATCATTGTCTTATTTTTTAATAGAAAAGAACCATTTAGTTTTTAAAAAGTCTTAAGACTCAGATAGATAGCTGAGAACTGGTATCTTATGATGCACAGTGAAGTTTTGAGCAGAGGCTCCCTTTATTTTGTATATAGCTCCAGGCATATGTATTGAGCACGTAATAATGAAGCACAGAGGTCAGGGTTCTTAGATGCAATCCCCACCCCAGAGTCCATTTTAGCCAGTTTCACAGAATTCTATATAGCCAGGATCAGTGCCCAAATCTCACCGATGGGCAGTGACAAGTGAAGACAGCTCTGTGACCATCGCTCAGCATGGAAGTGCCAGCTCCCTGCAGGTCAAACACTAGAAGCTTTGCCACTGCTGCCTACCCTGCTTGTGCCCACTACGTCACACTGCTCCCCTGATTGGCAAAGCCAAGCCATATGCCTGAGCTCTAGCTGCAGGGAGGATTGGATGAGCTTTTGCCTCTACATTTCAGGAGAAGGAACTCATATGGGAGATCTTCCAGTTGTAGGAAGGGTGTTCAAACCATGTTGTGTGGCCATAAATTTGACAGCTATTGATATTTACTACAGTAGTGTTCTCTGCTGGAGGCCGATTGCATCATTGGCCTGCTGTAGCCAAGGAAACATGGCAGGGTGGATAACGTGTCAGGCCAGAGGTGAGGAAATCTGATTGCACCCATGGATTCTCATATTTGCTGTGTGACTGTGGGCAGATCACTTGCTCTCTTTGACCTCAATCTCCTAATCTGTAAAGGAAGAGCTCAGGAAAGATGATGTGTGAGGTCCCTTCAGGTATATTTAGAGCACTTACTAAATGTTTGCTGCGTGAGTGAATGAATGAATCTGTTATTGATTGGGCTTCAAAGAAGATAAATGACACAAGGAAACATTGTGTTTAGGTGAGTTAACTTTTGGTTATGAATTTTATTTAAATTAGAGTGTCTTTGTATTCTAATGGTTTTAAGGTCCTGGAAATTCTTTAGATTTTAGCTTTTTAAAAACAGTTAATTTATGGCAAGAACAAGGAAGCAACAGTTGCCAAGAAAGTTTCAGTTTGGATAAACTATTAATGATTTTCCTAGCATGGAAAACATGAGGATTTTTACTCGCTTTGGTAACTGTCAGACTTCAGAACATCAAGATCAGATAACATTCAGATAAAATAATGGAGAAGATCCTTTCCTAAGTGAGTTAAATTATTTACAATTCTTGGCTTTGCAATAAATGGAATAAATGAGCATTTATTGAGTGAGTTCCTAGAGGACCTTTTCAGCTTCTCTGCCATCTTTGGTAGGACTTGCTCATTGGTGATCAACTCTGTTTTAATATGCACTTGCTTTCCCTTAGGTTTGTTTTTTTTTGTGTGAGTGTTAGGAAGTGAAGGATGATTATTTCTAATTTGTTCTCTTTCTCAGATGAGTGCTATCAAGGTTGTCCTATCTGTAAAGAACCTTGTGCCTTTTAGATGGAAGTCACTATACATATTTGACAGAGTCGGGGCCTAGATATGTCCCCACAGTAAGTCCAGATGAGTCTGATCATGTCTGGAGGGTTTGAAGGAGCTCAGCAGAGGGACAGTGTCTGGAGGGTAAGAAACAGCCACCAGAACTGTGGTCTCTGCTGTCCTTGTTGTGGGTGCCTCACAGAATCCATTTCTCCTTCATTCACCTCAGTTTCCCTTTTCCATTCTTAGGATTGACTCCACCCCAACTCACTCTGACTCTGAATCATTGAATCTCACTGTCTTGACACAGAGATTGTTTCAGGAGCCAATTTCAGTCAGCCTGAGAGAGGGAGTTCCAGGAGCCTGAATGGGAGTTTCTAGAAGCAATGCCCTTGCTTACTCTGGTATGAGGATTTAGGCTGGGACTGCTATAGACATTTAATCATGGTCATAGGAGAGCCTGAGGGGTTCTGTGAGGAGTCCAGGGATGAACTGGGCAGAGCAGAAGGTGAAGAAGAATTGGGACTAGGTGATATTGAGCTCCTGGCTCAAGTTTTGCCCCAACAACAGCACTAGTCTGTGAACTCTTGAATTATGGAAACTGCTAAAAGATGAATGAAGCCGGGCACAGTGGCTCATGCCTGTAATCCCAGCACTTTGGGAGGCCGAGGCGGGCGGATCACGAGGTCAGGAGATTGAGACCATCCTAGCTAACACGGTGAAACCCCGTCTCTACTAAAAATACAAAAAAATTAGCCAGGTGTGGTGGTGGGCGCCTGTAGTCCCAGCTACTCGGGAGGCTAAGGCAGGAGAATGGTGTGAACCTGGGAGGCAGAGCTTGCAGTGAGTGGATATCACACCACTGCACTCCAGCCTGGGCTACAGAGTGAGACTCCGTCTCAAAAAAAAAAAATGTATAACAAATCTAGTTTTGCAGATTTTAATCGCCTTTTATTTGTGATTCTAGAATCAGGCAGCCCTCAGAACCAGGGACAGGTTCAGAGAACTCCAGGGCTGCAACGTGGTCTAAAAGCATTTGTGGATAGCAGGGAAGTGAGGTACAGAAACAGAAGTGAGGTAGAGAGACAGCTGATGGTTAATGGCTCAGTGTTCGTCTTACATGAACAGGATTGGAACAGTTGTCCTGCTGCCTGCAGTTAACTGGAGCTCAGCTGCTATGATTGCCTGAGACTCAGCAATTTGTTCCCAAAGTATCCTCCTGAGTTAGGCTTTCCATTAGTTTGCATACTAAGTTAAGTTGCAGTTCATTACACAAGCACCTCCTCAGCCCAAATTTAGTTTAATTTAACAGAGCCAGTAGGTTCCCTGAATCGTTTGTGGGAATGTGTGATCAAATATTACAAGTGTATAGACCAGTATAGAGGATAATATAACAAATCCTCATTTATGCACCTCTTATGATGAAAAATATAACTCTTTTCTTATGTGCTTCATGGTACAGTTGTTTCCCTCTAAAGGATTGAAGCATAACAAATAGTGCTGGAAGTCTCTTATGATTTTGTGGTCCCATTATCCTTTCTTCTTTAATAGTTTTACTAGAATATGTCTTGTTATGGCTTCTCTGGATTGTTTTTCTTAGGTATGTGATGTACCTTTTCAGTATATTCAGTATTTTTCAGTATATTTCAGTATATTCAGCTTAATTCAATTTTTAAAAATTGTGGTAAAATACACGTAACATAAAGTTTACCATCTTAACTTTTTTTTTTTTTTTAGGCAGAATCTCGCTCTCTTGCCCAGGCTGGAGTGCAGTGGCATGATCTCAGCTCACTGCACCTCTGTCTCCCAAGTTTAAGCAATTCTCGTGTCTCAGCCTCTGAGTAGCTAGGATTACAGGCATGCACCACAATGCCTGGCTAATTTTTTGTAGTTTTTTAGTAGAGATGGTGTTTTGCCATATTGACCAGGCTGGTCTTGAATCCTGGACCCAAGATATCTGCCCACCTTGGCCTCCCAAAGCACTGGGACTACAGATGTGAGCCACCCGGCCCCATCTTATCCATTGTAAGTGTACAGTTCAATATTGTTAAGTATATTCACACTGTTGTGCAGCTAACCCCCAGAACTTTTTCATCTTGAGAAACTTTTACCCCCAACCCAGCCCCTGATAACTCCCCTTCTACTTTCTGTTTCTATGAATTTGGTTATTTTACATACCTCATAGAAGTGGAATCATACAGTATTTGTCCTTTTGTGACTGCCTTATTTCACTTAGCCTCATCAAGATTCATCCATGTTTAGCATGTATCAGAATCTCCTTCCTTGTAAAGGCTGAATTCCATTGTATGTCTATACCACATTTTATTTATTCATCTAACAGTGAATACTTGGGCTGCTTCCACCTCTTGGCTATTGTGAATAGTGCTGCTATGAACATGGGTGTACAGATATCTCTCTTGGACCCCGATTTCCATTTTTTCGATATATATCCAGAGGTGGAATTGCTGGATCTCATGGCAATCCTAATTTTAATTTTTTGAGGAACAGACAAATTGTTTTCCACAGTGGCTGCACCATTTTTTATTCCTACCAGGAGTCTATAAGGGTTTGAATTTTTCCACATCCTCTCCAACACTTGTTATTATGTTTTGTTATTGTTGTTGTTAATGATAGCCATCCTGATGAGGGTGAGGTGATACCTTGTTGTGGTTTTGATTTGCATTTCCCTAATGATGAATGATGTTGAACATCTTTTCATATGCTTGTTGACCATTTTATATTTTCTTTTGAGAAATGTCTATTCAAGTCTTTTACTCATTTTTAAAAATAGAATCAATGTGGGCCAGGTCTGGTGGCTCACGCCTGTAATCCCAGCACTTTTAGAGGCTGAGGCGGGTGGATCACAACGTCAGGAGTTTGAGACCAGCCTGGCCAATATGGTGAAACCCGGTCTCTACTAAAAATAAAAAAAAAAATTAGCCAGGTGTGGTGGCATGCACCTATAATCCCAGCTACTTGGGAGGCTGAGGCAGGAGAATTGCTTGAACCTGGGAGCGGAGGTGTAGTGAGCCGAAATTGCGCCACTGCACTCCAGCCTGGGTGACAGAGCGAGACTCCATCTCAAAAAAAAAAAAAAATTGAGTCAATATGTAGTTTTCAGTGGTTGTTCTGTTTCTTTCTTTGCAGAATTCCTTTTATACATATGTTGAGCCCTCTTTACCTGTCTTCTTTATCCCTTTCTCTTGAATGCTCCATATCTCTTTATTTTTTATTATTAAAATTTTCTATCTTTTCATCTTCTAATTGTATCCGTTTTTTTTTTTGTTGTTGTTTTTTTTTTTGAGATGGAGTCTCGCTCTGTCACCCAGGCTGGAGTGCAGTGGCGTGATCTTGGCTCACTGCAAGTTCGGCCTCCCGGGTTCATGCCATTCTTCTGCCTCAGCCTCCCGAGTAGCTGGGACTACAGGTGCCCACCACCACACCCAGCTAATTTGTTTGTATTTTTAGTAGAGACAGGGTTTCACCATGTTAGCCAGGATGGTCTCGATCTCCTGACCTCATGATCCGCCTGCCTCGGCCTCCCAAAGTGCTGGGATTACAGGCATGAGCCACCGTGCCTGGCCAATTTTATCTGTTTATATATAGGATAGATTTCTAGTTTCATAGCTCTAGCACACATTCTCGTTATTTTCACAAAGTGGCGATTGGTTTGGCCATGTACTTTTTGACATCTGGCTCCTCTTCTCTAGTCTGCCACTTGTATCATCCTTTTCCTTCTTTTTTTTTACCCCTATTACCTATCTTCTTCCCAAGTTGGTTTCTACTCCCAGTAGTTTTGTTTTGCAAATTGGACTCTGCATTTTTATACTGGCTCCAGCACTTTGCACTGATTATCTGTTGGCGATTTTGGAGTTCTTTTGTTCTCAGGGTCTGCAGATGTTTCATTGCTTTCCTTCCACTGTGTGGTACTTTTATCTTAAAAAAGATGCTTGCTTTAATATTACAGTGTCACAGGGTAGGGCTTTCCCTTGTGTATTAGAGCTGTCAATTTTGGTACCATTTCAGGCTTTCTATTTTGAGTGTCCAACATAAAGTGATCTCCCAATGTGTCATATCAGAAGTCTCCTAAGTTTCATTGTTGAGATAGAGGGCAATGAGATAGAGTTTCATTGTTGAGATAGAAGGTTCTGTGGCAAAGGCAGCAGTAGCTTCCTCAAGTTGTTGAACCTCTTTGTGAAATTTAAATGTCTAGTGGTGATATAGAATTATTACATATCCTTTAAGTCCTTCCCTTGGTTAATCACATGTTTTCTTCTCAGCTAAGCATAGTCAATGACATCAATCTTAAACATTAAACATTGCTTAGTGTTTATTTAGGATTAACATTTCAAGATGTTTTCCATTGCCTATCCATAGTACTAGAGGTTAGATTTATAGTGTCCACATTTGACTAACTTAAAAAAATGTATTCTAACTTCATCAGAAGAGTTTGCTTTGGTTTAATAATGAAAAGTGAGAGACAAGGGTGGCCTTCAGCAGCTATTGTACACTGTGGCAAAAATGACGTGGATCATCACAAACTAAATCACTGCAGCAAAAGACTAGTCATGTACCTACTCTTATAAAGCCTACCCTCCACTAAGCAGCATTGTTTTAGAAAAAAGAAATACTATAATAAACAAAGCTTTCATAAAATATCTACCCAGTGGCAGCTACATTTATCCCACACATCATACTGTTGTTTTACTCAAGATCACAAAACTGGACTCTTAAGCTTTCTTTTCATTCATAGGATAATGTTTTCTGTTATCTCTTTTGGCCATTGATAGCTTTGCCTGACAGCTTTAATACTGTTCATATTCCATGCTCATGTTCTTGACCTTTTGTGTCCTCTTAGCATTGACAGCATAATTTCAAAGCATTTTAAAAACTACCAGATGTCTGCATTTCTTCTTTGGTAAATATCGGATTTTCACTTTTTCCATAATTGCATTATGTATCTGTGGAAATTAAACAACTGTCATGGAAAGTCAGCTGGGACTTAGGACAGAAAAATGTTCAGTGATAGTCCTTACAGTGTGTGAGTCAGTCTCACCAGCTTGTCCTGACTTCGAACATTTTATGATCTGCCCAAAAGATTTGGCAGTTTTTACTTAATTGTGGAGCTTAGCCCGATGGAAGGCAACCTTCTGTCCACACAGTAGTGTGCAGTCTCAGTTGTATATCATCATGAAATCTTTTTGGAGGCATTTACGGGACAATTCAAATTCAACTACATGGCAGTACTCTGTGGTACTGCCATGCAGATACGTGTCACTAGGAACCCTTTATGCCTGGTTAAGTTTATGCATGCACAGGCAGACACAGCTGTTTCTCAGTTTGTTTCTTTGCTTGGCAGATAGCATATTTCTTTTGACATTGCTTCTGTGAGGCACCTGAACATCGGAACTGTTAGCATGTGAAGAATGTCAGTGTTAGACCTTAAGAAATTCAGAACCTAAATCAGTGCTGCACCACTTCTGCTCTGAGGCAGATGTAGCACCTTCCTGTAGTAAAAGATCTCTTTGTTGATTTGCCTGAGGGGTTACGAAGGCTTTCCTTACCCTCAGCCACCTTTGGAGCAGCTTTTTCCTGCTGACCAGTCCTGCCTAGCATTAGTTATTCAAATAACTACCGAATTTTTTATTTGAAAACCTTAAGAAAAAAATGTTAATTGTGGTAAAATACATGTATAAAATTTACCATGTTAACAATTTTAAAGTGTACAGTTCAGTAGTAGGTACATTCACATGGCTGTGCAGCCATCAACATCATACACCTCCAGAACTTCTCATCTTGCAAAAGTGAAGCTCTGTACCCCTTCAACATTTTCCTATTGTCTGCCCCCAGCTGCTGGCAACCACTGTTATACCTCCTGTCTCTATCAATCTGACTACTAACTGTGAATTATTCTGCTCCAAATATCAATTAATATTGAATGTGGAAATGTCCTTACTCTAATGCCTATTTTTCTGGCTTGGAGAATGTTCCTAACAGTAAAACTTCTTATGTCTTTCTTCTGCAGTGTTACTGTATTTTGTAAAATTATTAAATGCCTTAAAGGGCCATGTAGCAATTTTTTATATTTACATGTATGGAATACAATTATTCAGAGCAAAAATACTTTTAATAAAAGCTGTTTTATAAATACAAATTTATATAATATAAAAATAAAAGAAAATATAAAATACAGTTGTATTCAATAGAATGTGTTTAAACAGCTCTAGTAAAAGTTCAATTTCATTTACATAAAATCGGAGTGGAAATGTAAAGAACAAAGAAAGAGAATGGAAAATTTGACATCATTTTGGTAATAGACCAAGACCAATCTTTGTTGATCACCTTCTTTATGAAATTTAAAGTCAGATTGTGGGTTTGAAAAAGTTTTTTGGGGGATTTTTTTTTTTTTTGAGATAGAGTCTTGCTCTGTTGCCCAGGCTGGAGTGCAGTGGCGCAATCTTGGCTCACTGCAACCTCTGCCTCCCAGGTTCAAGCGATTCTCCTGCCTCAGCCTCCTGAATAGCTAGGACCACAGGTGCCCGCCACCACACCTGGCCAATCTTTGTATTTTTAGTAAAGACAGGGTTTTGCCATGTTGGCCAGGCTGGTCTCGACTCCTGACTTCAAATGATCCACCTACCTCAGCTCCCAAAATGCTGGGATTACAGGCGTGAGCCACTGCACCTGTCCAATTTTGCTGTCTTTTTTTAAGCCTGAGGTATGTAATTGGTTTCTGAAGCTAATTTAAAAATTCTCCCATCAAACATGACATTCTTTCTCTGCTAGGTATCTTTGGAGGAAAAATGGAAACTCTCCTCACTAAGTACCTGAGACCAAATTATGTTATGTGTTAGAATGGAGGTAGTCATCTATGTCTGCAGTGGTGAGTTTTGTGTGGTCCTGGGAGCAGGTGTCTGCTCCTTTGTTCACTGGCACCATAGGAGTCCTCTGTGTACGTGCAGCATTAATGGACACTATTATGATTCACCCAGCCTGCTCTTACCTCCTGTTGTAAATCACATGTGACTAACATGTCATGTAGACAGTCTCATTAAAAGCAAGAAGTTAACATGTAGAGAGTCTCATTAAAAGCAAGTCTGGGTATATACCCAAAGAATTAAAAGCAGGGACTTGAAGAGATACTTGTTTATCCATGTTCATAACAGCATCAACCAAAATAGTTAAGAGGTGGAAGCAACCCAGGAACCCATCCTTGGATGAATGGATCAATAAAATGGGGTCTCTCCATACCATGGAATACTATTCATTCTTAAAAAGGAAGGAAATTCTGACACATACTATGACATGGATAGACTTTGAAGATATTATGCTAAGTGAAATAAGCCAGTCCCCAAAGGACAAATACTGTGTGATTCCACTTATATGAGGTACCCAGAGTAGCCAGACTCATAGAAGCAGGAAGTAGGATGGTGGTTTCCAGGGACAGCAGGGGAGCAGTGTTCAGTGGGAGCAGTTTCAGTTTTGCATGATAAAAAGAGCTCTGTGCATGTTTGGTGGTGATGGTTGCACAACAATGTGAATGTACGTTGTGCCGTAGAACCGTAACTTAAAAATGGCTAAGGAGGGCCGGGCGCCGTGGCTCACGCCTGTAATCCCAGCACTTTGGGAGGCCGAGGTGGGCGGATCACGAGGTCAGGAGATCGAGACAGTCCTGGCTAACACAGTGAAACCCCGTCTCTACTAAAAAAAAAAATACAACAAATTAGCTGGGCATGGCTGCAGGCTCCTGTAGTCCCAGCTACTCGGGAAGCTGAGGCAGGAGAACGGCGTGAACCCGGGAAGTGGAGCTTGCAGTGAGCTGAGATCACGCCAATGCACTCCAGCCTGGGTGACAGAGTGAGACTCCGTAAAGCAGCCGGGTGTGCTGGCTCATGCCTGTAATCCCAGCACTTGGGGAGGCCAAGGCAGGTGGATCACCTGAGGTCGGGAGTTTGAGACAAGCCTGGCCAACATGGTGAAACCCCGTCCCTTCTTAAAAAATATAAAGATTAGCTGGGCATGGTGGCACACGCCTGTAATCCCAGCTACTCTGGAGGCTGAATGAGGCAGGAGAATTGCTTGAACCTGGGAGGCAGAGGTTGCAGTGAACCGAGATCGCACCACTGCCCTCCAGTCTGGCAAAAGAGCGAGACTCTCAAACCAAACCAAACCAAACCAATAAACCCTACCAATTCAAGCCAAAAAATAGAGTAAACCCTACCACTTCAAGCCAAAACAGGAGGACCAACTAATTCAGAAAAGCGTAAAAGATAGGCTTATTTGGAAGAAGAAAGACCTGTTACGCTTTTCTGTGTGTGTTGTAGTTCTGACTGTGTCAGCCCCAGCAGCTTAAAGCCCTTCCCTTTCTTCCCCACGACCTCGCTGTCCTGGCTCTGTGGCCACCAGCAGACCTGTCTTGTGCAGCTCCTGTGTGCTCTCTGTGCCCAGCCACAGTGGCCTCTTGCAGTCACCTGAACTCTGCCTGTTCCCTCCCATTTTAAGCATGGGTGCCTTTTCTTCCCTGTCTAGAAAACTTCTCATTCCTTTTTTCTAAGACAAGGGTGTGAGATTCTGCCCTTAAGCTGACTCCGAGGTCCCAGTAATGCCTTCTTATGCTTCACGTCTCACCCAGCAGTCCCTTTCAGAGAAGGCTCTCCCCGCCTCTCCTCTGGATGGCTGGCCCCTCTCCCAGCCCGCATTCCTGCCCTGTGTCCTCCCCGCTTGCTCTTGTCTTCTGTTACATGCTCCTCACTATCTGAAATTAAATTCTGTTTCTCATCTGTCTTCCCTCCTGGAACATGGGCTCCCTCAGGCTGAGGCTGAGGCCTTGGTAGCTGTGTCCATCCTGTTTCTAGGACCGTGCTTGGCCTACGGCAGGTGCTCAGTACCGATTTACGGAAGGAGCGAGTGAACAGATGAGATGAGTTGAAATTTCCGCAGTGTGCTCCGGGTCAGTTGTTGGGTCCTCCAAGGTGGGTCTGGTGAGTCTTTCTCAGCTTGCTGTGCCTTTTATTAACCATCCACATTATGTCCAAATGCCTGACATAGGGAGGGAGTGATGCTTTCTGGTCAGTGCAGACCCGGTGAATACCTGGAGGTTTGTGATCCCCAGGCCCCGAGCCATAGCGATGACAAAGAACTGCTCTGGCTCTGTCATTTTGAGAAGGCAGCTGGATTCTTCTAATGGGCGTTGTTATTTTAAAAAATATTTCCCTCATTTCCACAGATAGAGTCTATTTCTAGTTCACTAGCCACTAGGACATCATCTAGGATAAATACTCAAGGCTATAGGACTAACTTGTCTGCTTTTCATTTATTTTAAGATAGCTTTTTGATGCTTTTGTTTAGAGAAAGCTTTTTAAAATTCCAGTGGTATTAACTGTGTGATCCCTGGTTGGTGCAGATCACACTGTTTAGGGAAGATCCCATGTGCCGTTGGTAGTGTTACATCACTTTATCAGTGCTTGAGAATAGGATGATGGGACAGTTGTCAGTTACATGATCAATTATGCTGTCAAGCAATTATAGATGGCAGGCAAAGTGTTAGGTTTTCGTCTCCTGACATGGTATAGCACTCTTTCTATTTCTATTCAGATAGCCAGATCACCATAAAGTTAGCGGTATGTCTACCTGTCTCGGCGTGTTTATGTTGTGAACTTGCCAGTTTTCCTTCTCTCTTGTGTGATGCCTAAGAAGAGTTTCACTGAGCCCTGGTGGGCGAAAACAGAGTTGTCAGGTTTGTGTGTTGTTTTTGAATGCCTTCCACTGGCCTCTTTCTTTCTTTCTTTTTGATACATTATATTTGTACATATTTATGGGGTATAATCATACAGTTGGATAGAAAAAAATAAGTTCTAATGTTTGATAGCAGAGTAGAGTGGCTATAGTTAACAACAGTGTGTATAATACATTTCAACATAGCGAGAAGAGAGTTGAAACGTACCTAACACATAGAAATGGGAAACACTAGGGTGATGGATACCCTGGCTTGATTATTATACATTCAATACATTGGCCTGTCTTTGAGGTCTACTTTCTTTCATTTAAACTGGAAGACTGTGGATAAGGGTCCCAGAAAGGCTGGGGTGTCAGGAGTATGGGGTGCAGGGAGGCAATGGGCTGTGATATGACCCAAACTGAGTGATCCCCATACATCCTGGGTGCACGGGAGCCACTGGCCTGCCTGGGCCACATCTGCCTAGACTTTGTCTCTTGGGAGGCAGTGAGGCAAACAGAGTGAGAGAGCTGTTGGTGGCCACGTTTGCAGCTAGGTGGGCGTCCTGGGCAGCCCTGGCATGGTGTGAGGGCTCGCCAGGGCTTGGCTTGGAGTGTCATCCGTCATCTGTCATTTGTCACTCAGGGGATTTTGGCTGCTCTGGGCAGGATGTGGGGCACTGTTCTTGGCTCTGTAGCCTTCAGCCTTTCCTTTTGCCCTCCTAGCGATTCTGGGCCCTCTCCAACATTGTTTAGGTAAATGCCATTTTCCACCTTGCTCTGCCAACTTGATTCTGTTGCTTGGAAGTCAAAACCCAGAACAAGGCAGGATTGGAATAAGGAGTGGAGGCAGGTGGTAGACCCTCCAGGAAATAGGGGCAGGGCATGTGGGACTGGTAATTTGCCCAGTTTAAGGGCAGAGCTAGTGAAAGTACAGCCAGGGTTGAGTGGTGGACTCCTCACCGTCCATGGCAGGCAGTGGGGAATTGGATATTCAGGGGCTCCTGCTGATTAGCTTAAAGAAAAAGAATGCAGAGCCCAGATTCTGAAACTTTCAGCTCCTGGCATGTCGTGAACTTGCAGTGATTGCACTGAAACAAAAGGCGGGGGCAACAAGAAAGGAGCAGAGGGTTTCAGAGTGTGATCCTTCTGGTTGCTGAGCACACCAGCAGTTGTGTTCATGGCCTTGCCTGGTTCCCGAACACTGTCGTTGATTTAGGAAGCATGAGGTCTGACACTCTGGTGGATGCTGGTGGGGGTGGGGGGTGGGGAGAGGATTGGGAGACTCAGGATCCCTCTCAACTGTGCTTGCCAACCCAGGCAGGCTGGGACCTCTGTCGGGTGCAGCGTTTCCACCCGGCCCCAGTATCTCACCTGGGAAGGCAGTCTCCCGATGTTTCTCCCTCACCACCCCTTGTCATATCCAGACTGAAGTCAGTCCCCAGCAGGGAAGGTGCAGCTGCCATTATAAAGTCCACAGGGAGAAAGCTTACATGCCACGTGCCACTTGAACTGAATTTTTGCTAATATACATGGATGCAAACTTGGCTAATATATATGCTGGTGGAATCTGAGGGTGTTAGACCAAGGAGGAACAAACACAATTTTAGATTACACAAAAATTATCAATGTAGGTGCACCTACTCCAGAAAGATTTTTTTTTTTTGAGATAGAGTCTCGCTTTGTCACCCAGGCTGGAGTGCAGTGGCATGATCTCGGCTCACTGCAAGTTCTGCCTCCCAGGTTCACACCATTCTCCTGCCTCAGCCTCCTGAGTAGCTGGGACTACAGGCGCCCGCCACCACGCCCCTACCTTTTTTTTTTTTTTTTTTTTTTGTATTTTTAGTAGAGACGGGGTTTCACCGTGTTAGCCAGGATGGTCTCGATCTCCTGATCTTGTGATCTGCCCGCCTCAGCCTCCCAAAGTGCTGGGATTACAAGCGTGAGCCACTGCGCCCGGCCCAAAAGATCTTAAACCCCACACTGATCTATAAACCTTTGATTATCTTTTCATGTTGTCCTCTCTTCATGCCCTCACTTCCTTCTTTACCTAACTTATAATAATTTCCGAGTTCAGCCATTATGATCAGTCATCGTTTGCCTCTTCAGCTCTCTGGCTCTTCTCTCCTTCCTTATACTCTGTTGGCAAAACTCCAGCCCTGCTGAATTGAACTCTCTGCTTCCTCCAGGCCTGTAGCTGCCCAGCTGAACATGACTGGGACAAAACACAAGGCCGTGCTAAGTGACCTAACCAACCACATGCATAGTCACCCACCTCTTCTTTCCTCCCTCTCCCTCATTCAAGCATGTGGCAGACCCTATCCCAGACACTGCTGTGGGATGTAGCAAGGTTGGCAAAAATCCCCACCCTCCTACAGCGTGCATTCTAGTGGACAATGAACATGCCACATAAATAAAACGTATTGTTAAATCCAGGAGAAGGGGTGTGAAGGGTCAGTGGAAAGGGGTTGGGAAGGCCCCTTTGTAGAAAGGATGGCTAGGGAAGCCCTCATTAATGAGGTGATTTTTCAGTAGCGACCTGCAGAAGTGTGGAGAAGGGCAGAGCAAGTGCAGAGGCCAAGGCAGGAACCGCCTTGGGTTGTTCACAGGACAGCAAGGAGGCCAGCGGAGTGCAGTGAGGAAGAGGGGGAGCAATGGGAAACAATGATGGGACAGGGATCCCCATCAGTAGGGGCCTCCTGAGTCACTGGGAGGACGGTGGCTTTTTCTCTGAATGAAACAGGAGCTACTGGAGGGTTTTGAGCAGAGGAGTGACCTGACCTAACTTATTCTAACCGGATCATCCTGGCAGCTCTGTAGAGTGCTTTGAAGGAGGGCCAGGGTCGCAAAGTGGAGATTCCAGTTAGGAGGCTAATGCAATGATCCAGAGAGAGATGGTGGGGCCCTGGGCCAGGCCAAGGGTTTGAGGAGAAATAGTTGGATTTGCATGTACTGTATATAGGGTGCGTGGCTGGTCCTCAGCTTTACAGTTTAATCTCTACATTAGACTAAAAGAAGAATCAGGAGGAAACCAAAGGGGAAGTGGACCTCTCCTGAGGTCCTGCACTTGTTCTAGAATTTGTGGTGTGTGCTTTTGGTTGTATATATAAGGATAACGGCATGCTGTGTGGAGCAGCAATTTGTGTTTGTGTCTGGCGGTGTGAGTTTGGGATGAAGGAAGGATGTTGGTGCTGGCTGGTTAAAGCGGTGCGTGGACTCTAGTGGGCATTGGCTCCTTTAGGACCCTTTCTCTGCTTGGTAGTCCCCTCCCTTGGGACCAGTTGATCGAGTTGCCTTCAATCGCAATTACTGACATCATCACTCAAAGTGGCTTAAGCAGAAGGAAAATTTATTAATTTACATAGTATACATATATTATGTTACGTATACATAAAAAGGTCCAGAAGAAAGAAGGTGTATTAGCTTGCTAGAGCTGCCCAGATTAGGTGGCTTAAAACAATAGAAATTTCTTCTCTCACAGTTCTGGAGGCTGGAAGTCCAACCTGAAGGCATCAACAGAGCTGTGCTCCCTCTGAGACTCCAGGTAGATAGATCCCTTCCTCCCCTTTCTCCTGGCTTCTGGTGGTGGCCAGCAGTCCTTGGGCATTCCTTGGTTTGCAGTCTCAGCAGTCCAGTCTCTGCCTCCGTCTTCACCTGGGGCTCTCCTGTGTGTTTTCACCACATCCTTCTATGGTATGTGTGTCCAAATTTCCCCTTTTTATAAGGACACCAGTCATCTTGGATTAGAGCCCACCCAATGACCTCATCTTAATTTGGTTAAATCTGCAAAGACCTTCTTTCCAAATAAACTCCGATTCTGAGATTTTGAGGTACTAGGGTTTAGAACTTTGACTTTTTTTTTTTTTTTTTTGAGACAGAGTCAGGCTCTGTTGCTCAGGCTGGAGTGCAGTGGCACTATCTCAGCTCACTGCAACCTCTGCCTCCCGGGTTCAAGCGATTCTTCTGCCTCAGCCTCCTGAGTAGGTGGGATTACAGGCGTATGTCACCATGCCTGGCTAATTCTTTGATGTATCTTTTATGGGGGACAGAATTCAACCATAACAGGTTTCCAGTTGGTTAATGTAGTGCCTCGGTGACATTATCAAGTACCCATGTGTTTTCCATCTTTCTGCTCTGCTGGTAAGAGTATCTTAATTTAACCTGAATCCAGCTAGAAGGCTGCTGTAGTTTTAGGCACCAGAATCAGAGGACACATGTACACAAAAGAAGAGGGGTTACTGATCCCTGTGTCTCTTCTTAGTGGCAAGGAAATCTTTCCTAGAAGCCCCCCACCAGACTTCCCCTCAGTGGTCAGACCTAAGTCATGTGATCATCCCTGAACCAATCACTGGCAAGGGGAATTAGCTAATACTGACCTTTTCTTAGAGTGGGAGGTAGATTCACTTGACCTTGAGTCACATGGGAAAAGGATCCTCTAACAAAGCTGGGGATCTGTCCGAGGGAAGAGGGAACGTGGCTGTTGGGCAGGCTCCTCTGCCGCCTGGGTCTGCCTCCCTGCCTTTGGGGAATGTTTTCCGACTAGCCCCTGTGTCTTGGATTTCCACTCTTCTTCCTGGGATTGTAGCCAGTGCTTCAAGCAGTGGTTCTCACACTGTCAGATTTTGTAGTTAAAATGAAAGTTCGAGAATATTTGGGGTTCTGGTGAGCCGAGATCACACCACTGCACTCCAGCCTGGCCGATAGAGTGAGACTCTGTCTCAAAAAAAAAAAAGAATATTTGGGGTTCAGACATAAAGTTGCTAACTTTTTGGGTAGTTTGTTTTTTGAGACAGGGTCTTGCTTTATCACCCAGGCTAGAGTGCAGTGACACAATCACAGCTCATTGCATCCCGCACTCCCAGGCTCGAGTGATCTTCCTGCTTCAGCTTCCCGACTAGCTGGGACTATAGGTGCTTATCACCATACCTGGCTAATTAAAAAAATTTTTTTTTCTTTGTAGAGACAGGGTCTCACCAGGCTAGTCTTGAACTCCTGGGCTCAAGACTCAAGCAGTCCCCCTGCCTTAGCCTCCCAAAGTTGTGGGATTACAGGCATGAGCCACCATGCCTGGCCTTACTGTTTAGTTTTTATTCACACTGAAACTATTGTCTTTTATCACACCATTTTATTATACAAAGAAAAAGATTTTATTAGGAGAATGTTATAAGGGACACTCTCAGGTTCAACTTTAGCTTTTTACTTTATTTTTATTATTATTTTTTTAGAGATGATGTCTTGCTCTGTTGCCCAGGCTGGAGTGCAAACGGCACAGTCATAGCCCACTGCAGCCTTGAACTCCTGGGCTCAAGCGATTGTGCTGCCTCAGCCTCCTGAGCAGCTAGGACTACAGGCTTGCCCCACCATGCCCGGCTAGTTTTTAAGTTCTTTTTTTTATAGAGACGAGGTCTCCCTGTGTTGCCCAGGCTGTCTCAAACTCCTGATCTCAAGTGATCTTCCTGCATCAGCCTCCCAAAATGCTGGGATTACAGGCGTGAGCCACCATGCCTGGCCCCAGCTTTATTTTTAAGGATTGTTCTTCACATGTAATAAATTATCTCTTGACTTTTGAAAAGTATACAGTATCAGTCATTCACTTATCAGTCCATCAGTCTACAGATACTTATTGGTGCCTTTTTTTGTGCTGGGAACTATTCTTATTTTTGTCTTGGCCAGTGAAAACTTTGTGCCTGGCCACATTGTGGTAACAAGGTCTCAGGAATTGGCACCACTGAGGTAGAATTCAGGGTCCATTCCATGATGCCTCGCCCTGGGCTTGCCACGTTTTTATAGGGTGCCTCTGTGGACCGAGAGTACCAGAGGCTTAGCTCATCTCCTACTTAACAATAAGTAAGCCCTCATGCCCTCAAAAGAATTTTTGGAATTTACTCTTATCTTGGCATTTCATTGCTGAAAGAGATTAAGTATTTTACAAACTTGGAGACTAATCTGGGTCATTTATAGACATTTAAGAAGTATACTTGTTTGCCCTGTTGCTAAAGCAACCCTTTTTTTCATGGTGAAATAAAACCTGTTAAATATTCTTCAGAACCAGGAGGGGTATAAATAAAGTAGCTAAGTACAAAACAGTATAATATCCTGGAAGCCCAGTTTTCCATTTTGGGTGTTGGAATTCATGAGCCACATTTATAAAGTCTAAATCCAATATCTCCACGGAACCCTTTTTAGTGTGTATTTCTCCATCCTCTCAGACACTCCAGCGAGAAAATAGATTCCCAGTAGTTAGGGTTGTAAAAGCTGGAGCCACAGTTTGGTTTGGTTGGCTCCCACGTTCCGGTGAGCTCCTGATTAGGAAGGAGAGCAAGGCTACATATCCTTCTTTTTTTTTTTTTTTTTTTTTTTTTTTTTTTGGCCAAGGGGCACTTGCAGATGTGACCCACTGGTGTGGTGTTAGGTTGGACATATGACACTCTTTCTGTGGGTCACATATCGTTTCTATAGGCAGCAGCACATATTGCCACCTAATGCGTCTCCATACGTTCCTGAGCCGTGGGGAGTCCTGGGGCCCTGGCATTTCACAATGGAATAGATGTAAAGCAAACCCAAACTCTGTCCTGTTTCTCATTGTTTGGGCCTACTGGGGTCTGCTGTTGGCTCATTGCAGGCATGAGTGGTATTTCCCTTCTTCCTTTCCAAGAGAGTGTTGAATCTTGGTCTGCCAGAATGGGAGGTTCCCTTTCTACAGGGGAGAAATGCCTGACTTCTGTTTTTTACTGATGTCAGACTGGCTCGTCTAAGAAGGGGAAATTCCAAGGTGAGGATGGCCACAGATGTCTGCAGACAGAACACTTTCCAGGGTCAGGGCCTCTACAATGGACCTTATGGGCAGGGAGCTCAATGGTGATCATCATGGACCGTTTGCCAAATTTTCTGGGTTGCATATACCACTTAAGACTCTTGTACTCCATGAAGAAATGCTATTTCTCACCAGGTGAACAGGTGGAAGCTTAGAAATATTTAACTTTGGGGAAAAATAGAGAGGTATTTCTTATCCCCGAGTCTAGTCCAGCTGCTGTGTCCCGGTCACTTTTCAAGCTATTGCATTCCATCCCCCTTCATCCCACCATTGCAAGTGCAGCATCTGCTTTGCAGAGAGCCTCTTTCTGGTCATAAGTCTACTCCAACCAAAATGCGTAATTTTTATGAAACAAGAAAAATATAGACAGGGTGACTGGACATTTTCTGGAGAGTTGAAGTTGTGTGTGCTGTGGCTTTTGGAGTGGATAGACATAGCGCACTGCAAGAGAATGGAGGCCTCGTCAGACCTGCTGGGCGGGTGCTTCCTGGCTGGGCAGCCTTTAGGGGAGTTGCCAGGCCTCAGTTTCCCCAACTGTAGAGTGCTGCTACGAAGCCTATCCTGTGGGAAATCCAGAGTCAGAGAAAATTGAATAAAGTAGCCTGTGTACAATCCCTGGATTGGAACACACACTGAGCACATGGCCATTTCCCCTTCCTCCTGTAGAGGCTCCAGCACATGGAGGGTCTGCTGTCTTTGGGTGGTAAATATGGAAGTGAGTTTCAGTTGGATAGTTGAGAGTCTTGGCTGTAATCTTTGTCTTGCTATTTAATGCTTTATATTTATTTTCTGTGAAATGCCATTGAAATTTGTATGTTTCATAAATATTTCAACCTGAGAATTGCCTTTAATTCTTGGGGAGATCTCAGGTTTTGTAGATTTTAAAATCTAGCAGAAATCAATTCTATTGGCAGTCTCTCCTTTTTGTGTTAAAATCAGATAAATCCACATTTGCTAGTATAGCATATACAGAAAGTTTTAAAAATTGGAACTTAGACTTAAGCATTGGTTTAGCTAATTTAACTTGGACAACCCATTTATCAAAGTGAGATTTTCATTTTTGGTTAGAAGATGATGCTGTTTGGCACATCAGTGACCAGGAGTCAGTCTGAGTTGCAGCTTCTCTTGGTAGGTGCTAGAACAGCTGGTGTTGTAATTACTCAAACAAGTGTGTGGGATGCACCAGTTTTGTGTCTGCCAGTAGGAAGGTATGATCATGTTTTATGCTTATGATTTTGAATAAATGCCTAAATCAAGTGCATTTTTAAATAGTGTATCTCGGCCATGAATGCTACAAATCAGAAAACACTGTCTCTTTGTATAACTACATTTTAATCAGATTTTAATGCAGAATATGTGTAAAATATATTTCAAAGTTTTAGTAAACACAGATCACTTCCTGAGCTGTTTGTTTACCAGTGATGTTTTCTGAATAAAATATTTTCTCTAGGTCACAGTTTAGCGAAATAAATTCAAAATTGCTCTGTGTAATATAGGGTAAAAATTAGAATCTGAGGTATACAAAATTTCAGTTCGATAGGAGGAGGAAGTTAAAGAGATCTCTTGTACAACATGGTGACTATAGTTAATAGCATTGTCTTCTTGAAAATTGCTGAGTAGATTTTAAGTGATCTTACTACAAAAAATAAGGATGCAAAGTAATGCATATGCTAATTAGCTCAGTTTAGCCTTTCAAGCTGGGTGCGGTGGCTCACGCCTGTAATCCTAGCCCTTTGGGAAGTAGGGGCAGGTGGATCACCTGAGGTCAGGGGTTTGAGACCAGCCTGGCCAACATAGTGAAACCCCATCTCTACTAAAAATACAAAAATTAGCCAGGCGTGGTGGTGGGTGCCTTTAGTCCCAGCTTCTCCCCAGGCTGAGGCAGGAGAATCGCTTGAACCTGGGAGGCAGAGGTTGCAGTGAGCCGAGATTGCGCCACTGCGCTGCAGTCTAGGTGACAGAGTGAGACCCTGCCTCAGAAACAATTTTGCTTTCCATAATGTTTACATATTTCAAACAACATGTTGAAGTACGTGCAGTTGTACAAATTGTACAATAAATATGTACAATTTTTATTTGTCAATTAAAAATGAATTAAAAAATTTAAAAATGGGTTTCCCACAGCCTTTTGCCTTCCGTCCCCATGGTTGGCCCTCCCCAGGGCTGCCCTTCATGTTCTGCCCAGTTTCAGACCTCAGACAGGAGTTGGCCTGTCTTCTAGGCCCTTGTCAGAGTGGGACCTGGCCCTCCCCCACACCAGTCCACTTTCAGTTACCAAAAGCTTCTAATGTGAAATCCTGAAAGATGTTAAATGATGATGGCTAGTTTGAAAGTCTGGCGTGTCTGCAAAGAGCCCTGGTAAAATGAATAGTAGGCATTCAGATTTGTGTTTCTTGAATGAATCAGTAGTGGGTAAAATTGCTGGCTTCCCGTCCCCTACCTCCCTGTCTTCTCAAGGCGAGACTGTCACGCATAAAGGATTTGCAAAGTCAGGAGAAATCAAGAGCCCTCGTAGGTAAGAAGAAAACTGGGGGGAAGGTAGAACACAGCCTACCTGAGGCTGAGAACAGTGCACAGGGGAGCCCACGACTCCATGTGTGGCCAGAGCCACTGAGGGGAAGAATGCAGGCAGGTGCCTCCCTCTTCTCTCCGTCATTGGTCCCAGACTTGGGTGCGGCACCGTTTTGGGATGGGTCTGCATTTGAACCTTGAAATGCTAACTGGATCGAGATCAAGGACAGGGCTCAAAGGAAAGGCTACAGGAGGTGTCTGGCCAGAGTCTGCTCTGGGCCTGTGGTTGGAACTCTGTCAGATCCACAGCCCTTTGTCATGATGTTTTTGCTATATCCCCAAATGGAAGTCATAGAAAGTGCACCGTATTCTCACTTACGATTCCAAAAAGCATTACAAAGCCCTAAATGTAATTTTCACTGAAAATAATGTATGTTTCTGTGCTTAGGCATGTTGACCACTGGGAGACACAGGGAACGACTGGGTGCTTGCACCTCCACCCATCACCACAGACATGACGGCAGCCGCACAGCAGGACAGGATGTTGCACTGGAGTGTCCTTGTCAATGGGGACATGATTTTCCAAAGTGGTGAACCGCTCTTGGTAGAGTTCCAGACACGTTGGAGTTCGCTTGATCGATCTGGTAGTTGCAGTGCCGGGCACCTTAGTGTATATAAAAACAATGAGAAAACTCCTGGAGGTTAAAAGTGGAAGCAAGTTTTAGGTTGTGATTATTATAAGTTGGTGTTTCACCTACATTAACACGTAAAGGTTAACACTCCTTGCATAGATGGATGGCTACCATCCCTGGCCACTTTTCCCCATAGGTCAGGAACTACACAGCCATTATGACAACCCAGCACCCGCACAGATTCCCAGAGAACCATTGCTCTGGGCGAGGCTCAGGGAGCACTAAGTTGTTCAGTCCAGTTCCCTAGGGTGAGAAGGCAGCTGCAGGTGGATACTAAAGCCTTGTTCGGAAGAGCTTTGCATTTTCTGGAGCGTCCCCTCCCCACCTAGGCGCCTTCCGTACATCCGAGCATGGGAGATGTGAGCGGGAAAGACCACCCCAACCAAGACTTATAAGCACGAGGGGCCCTGGGCTTCATCCATCAGAATGGAGCTTTAGGTGGGGCCTGAGGTCTGCAGAGGCCGTGTGGTGAAGAATCCATGCAAAAGGCTAGACAAGAAGATGTAGCTTCATTTTAGCTCTGTTTGTCTTTAGTCAGATGACTAAAGAAACACCGCTTAACTTCTCTGACCTTCGGTTTTCCTGAGATTCAGAATGGCCATAAACCTGTGATGTTTTAGAGTTTTTGCTATATCTAAAATGAGGTAGTTTGTAAGTGCTGTGTAAACCCTAAGGTAGAAATTTTATTAGCTCATTTGAGCTTGGTCAAGTCAATCAGCCACTCTAGGTGTCATTCTCTGTGAGACAAGGTTTTGGTGTGTGTTCATTGTGCCCTTTTATTCTGTATATTTGGGTGCTCTGGCATCTGGGGCCTTGCTGATGCTGGAGGGACTGTCCCTCCCAGGCTAGCTGATTCCTGCAGGTGGTAATGGCTCACCTGTGAGTGAGCCTTTCAGAATGCAAACCAGCCAGCCTAGAGCCCAGTTCCCCAGCACTTCTTCTGGCTCTCACCTTCTAGGCCACGGTCCACCAGCCCTAAACACCTCAGAGCCAGGTACCAGACAACTCATGACAGCCCCTCCAGCCCAGAGGCTGCTGGATTCTTCAAACTAGCCAGTCCTAACCATGCTTAACCTGCCTCACCAATGGCACCAATCATCCTCAAACTTCTTTTGACTTCATAGAGAAGATACTCAGAAACTGAGTGAGGCGTAGCCTTCCTGTGCCTTTACTGGATTAGCTACCACACACCCCTCCACACCCTCACACACCCCTCCACACCCTCACACACCCCTCCACGCCCTCACAACCCCACCTTTATGTGGACCCTCTGCCACTTGCAGCTCTTGGGAGCTTATGTGCCCACAGCTCCTTGACCGGACATGCAAGAGGCTTTTGTTTTGCAGGTTGGAGAATCCCAGGGAAGACTCAAATAGGCTGGTTTCATGTCATGGTCCTATCTCTGGACTAGCCACAGTGGCTGGGGAGGGGCTAGAAAGAGTATAATTGGAAGTTTCAAGTACAATCACATGGGACAAAGGAGAATTTACAAGAAGAATAGAGTTTTACGCAGATAAAACAATACATATCACTTGAGTAACATAGTTTTACCCAGTTATTTTTAATGGTTGTATATACAAAATTTTATGAACATAATCTATATAACTGTTCTGCGATGGATGGAGTTTAGACAGTTCCATTTGAAACACAAAAAATGTGATTTTCAAGTGCAGAGATCTGAAATTAAGTGAATTACCTGTGAGTGGGCCTTTAAGTGAATTACGAAAGAGCGTTGGCATATAGATTTCATGGTGGAGCTAATCCTACTATCTAGAATTACAGTTCTTTGTAATGAGACCTTTGGACTTGATTTGCTATCAGAAGATGTGTTTGGTGAGGAAGTATCATTTGACTCATTTCAGGGGCTCTGTTTTTACATCTTTATTTTTGGGTTCCTTTATCATTGGAAACTGGCTTGTTATCTTTCAAGTGGGCACAAGGCCAGTGGACCAGATGGTCTGTACTGTAGGCTTGCTAGGCAGGAATGTGTCACTCTCACTTGGGTACTAGCGGCTGGATTTCTACTGGGAGTGGGGAGCCAAGAGGAGGAGCATCACTTCATTAGTTTGGAAGGACATGCAGCTTCTCTTCCAACTCATCCTATTTTTTTTTTTTTTTGGTCAGCCTTTAACATTGAGACTGTATCTTCTTATTTTGAAGGACTTTGAGGTTTTACAAATCTTGATGGGATTTTTATGGAATGCAATCTCAGATGCTGTCACATGATACTACGGACCACCCAATATCAAGGATCTGACCCCGTCAGATGACCCCTTGAATTTTGGTATAATGCCATCACAACCTGTCATTTGTTGTGCTTATTGTTTGCGTCTGTTCACCAGGAGGTCTGCTCCCCAGGGCAAGGATCATGGAGTTTGTCACCTTCACCTAGCACAGCACCTGGAAGGTAGGGGAGCTCAGTGAGTGTTTGCCAAATGGATGAATGCACGGTGTCTGCAGGGCGGATGTGTGCAGAGAGGCCTCAGTTATGGTGCACTGGTGTGTTGCTGGAGTGAAGCAAGGTCTCATCAGCCCTAGTTTGTCATAATCTTAGCAGCGAAACCAGCAAGCCCGTGAGAATGGAGACCCCTGTGAATCAGAGGGGTCCGCTGAAGCATCC
Source organism: Homo sapiens (assembly GCF_000001405.40). Lineage (NCBI taxonomy): Eukaryota > Metazoa > Chordata > Mammalia > Primates > Hominidae > Homo > Homo sapiens. Next base: position 29,527,837 of record NC_000015.10, on the reverse strand, counting down.
TTACTGAGGGGGGCTTACTTTGAATTCATGGACCCTGGGGTGAATTTCCTGGGGTGAGACCTTGAGATTACATACAGATCCTTGTGTGTTGTGTGTGTGTTTATTTTTCTGGGGAGAGGAGTCCAGCTTCTATAAGCTTCTCCATGGCTCATGAAGAATGGTGGTGGCAAGATTACAGGGTCTGCAGTGGATGCCTTCTGTTGGCACATCTCTGATTTTGTGCCCTGGGGAGGAAGTGAGGCAGGTGATCTTGGGAATTACCTAGGAGTAAAGTAGTAAATTCTGTGTTTCATTTCACACGAGACTAAATTTCAGTGGGGAAGATGAGAAGGATTTTGTGAAATACCTGAGCCTACAACAGGGACACAAACTATTGATTGTTGGGATTATTTTTCTAGGAATGTTTTAGACAGATTTGTTTTCCTAAAGACTCATCAGCTGATCGTGGGGTGGCTGGGGGGCATCATGTGAAGCAGTGTTTCTCAAAGGTATTTTCCCATGGAACCCCCTTTTTAATGGGACATCTACTTAGATCTCACAGACTAATTAGAAAATGTCCTGAAACCCAGCAAAGGTTGGGCCGATGAAACAGAGCGAGCAGGTGCATACGGATGGCATTGGATGCAGGCAGGCAACAAATTGAAGAGTGTGGAGAAACGGGGGCATGGCCTGGCCATGAGGAATTTCCTCAGTATTTAGAAGCTCAGGAGAGCAGGCTGAGCTGCCACAGGAAACCAAGAAAGTGTGGCCAGATCTGGGGGAAAAGCAGGAGGGTGTGGTTTCAAGGATGTTGAAAGCAGAAAATATCAGCAGAAGGAAAGTGTGGCCAAATGGGTTGGTGACAACTGAGAAGCTGAGCAAATGGACAAACACGTGCCCCCCGGATTCCACAGCATGGAGATCGTTAGTGACCATTTGAGGACAGGTTTTGTGGAAAATCAGTGAGGAGGCCAGATGGGAGTGATGGAAGGGAGAGTGGGAGTGTGGAGGCAGACATGGTTCTCTGGGGGTGTTAGGTTGGCACGACTGGAAAGATGGGAAGGTATGGGGCAAACATGATCCTTTCCAGGCTGGGCACAGTGGCTCAGACCTGTAATCCCAGCACTTTGGGAGGCTGAGGCGGGAGGATTGCTATGGCCCAGGAGTTTGAGACCAGCCTGGGCAATATCGTTAAGACACCATCTTTAAAAAAAAAAAAATTTTTTTATAGTAGCCAGGTGTGGTGACATGTGCCTATAGTCTGTTACTCAGGAGGCTGAGGTGGGAGGATTGCTTGAACCCAGGAGTTTGAGGCTGCAGTGAGCTATGATCACGCTATTGCACCCTAGCCTGGGTGATGGAATGAAACCCTGTCTCTGAAAAAAAGAAAATACTCTGTACAGGGGGAGATTAAGAAGTAGCAGTCTGTGGGCTGTGGCTTGCCTCTAAGGTGGGAATTTATCAGTGGGGGTTGGAGGAAAGAGGGAATGATGTGGAGAGTCAGAGGCTGTCCAAGAGGGACACCATCTTTGAGAAGCGTGAGGGGAGCCTTGGTTTTTGGAAGATGGACACTTTCCCTGTAACAAGAGAGAGTTGTGATCCTATTTTTTCTTTTCTTTTTTAACCAGATGATTGAGTTGTTTGCAAGTGCCTTTCAGTTCACTCTACAGAAAAGCTTTTTGCCAGGTGTAGCACTATATCACGTACATGGAATTTTAATTTTACTTTTTGCATCCAAGCTTGCACAATCAATTCTTGTACTTCAGGGTATAGAATGTACCTTTCTCCTGCCATAGCATATTAAATCTACCCATTGGAAACATTTGCATTTAATAAATACAGAATTGATTAGCTCATTCTTGAAATAAATCAGTTAAACTTGTGCTTTTTGAAGTTGAAGAAATTACTTTCGTAGTTACTAAAGAATGTGCATGTCAGGAAAGGAGGGCCTTATTTCTGTGTTTTTACTTTCTGTTTGTGGTTAGGTTTTTATTTTTGTTTTCTGGGTATACAGTTCTGAGAATTGTAATACATGTATCCATTCCTGTTACCATCACCAAAATCAGGTTAGAGACCAGTTTCATTACCTTGTAAAATGGCTTCATCTTGTGATACCCCTCTCAAACCCATGCCAGCCACCAACTACTGACCAGTTCTCCATACTATAGTTTTGTCTTTTGCGGAATATTATGTGAATGGAATTATACCGCATATAACCTTTTGAGACTGGCCTTTTTCACTCAGCATAAAGCCTTTGAGATTCATCCATGTTGTTTCATGTGCCTAGTTTAGCCCCTTTAATTGCCTGGTAGTATCCCAGTGGGTGGCTACACCACAGTTTGTTACTCATTTACCTCTTGAAAGAATTTTGGTAGTGGTCTATTTTCTTAACATTTAGCAAAATGTTTTTGAGGTTCGTCTATTTTGTGAGCATCTAATAATACTTTATTTCATTTTATGGCTGAATAGTATTCCAGTAAACAGTTGTATATTCCATTGTTTATCCATGCATCGCATGATGGACATTGGTTGTTATGCGTGATGCTGCTGTGAACATTCCTGTACAAGTTTTGGAGTGAACACATGTTTTCAGTTCTTGGGTATGTACCTAGGAATAGAATTACTGGGTCATATGTAACTATGGATTTAACCATTTGAGGAACTGCCAAATTGTTTTCTAAAGTGTCTTCATTTTACATTCTTACTGAAAGACAGGACTAGCTGGATTTCCTAGGCCGACTAAGAATTCCTAAGCCTAGCTGGGAAAGGTGATCACACCTGCCTTTAAACACGGGGCTTGTAACTCAGCTCACACCCAACCAATCAGGTAGTAAAGAGGGCTCACTAAAATACAAACTAGGCTAAAGCAAGAGGTAAAGAAATAGTGAAATCATATATCGCCTGAGAGCACAGGGGGAGGGACAATGATCGGGATATAAACCCAGGCATTCGAGCCGGGAGTGGGCAACCCCCTTTGGGTCCCCTCCCTTGTATGGGAGCTCTATTTTCACTCTATTAAATCTTGCAACTGCACACTCTTCTGGTCCATGTTTGTTATGGCTTGAGCTGAGCTTTCGCTCGCTGTCCACCACTGCTGTTGGCTGCCATTGCAGACCTGCCACTGACTGACACCCCTCTAGATCTGGCAGGGTGTCTGCTGTGCTCCTGATCCAGCGAGGCGCCCATTGCTGCTTCCGACTGGGCTAAAGGCTCGCCATTGTTCCTGCACGGCTGAGTGCCCAGGTTCATCCTAATCGAGCTGAACACTAGTCGCTGGGTTCCATGGTTCTCTTCCGTGACCTACGGCTTCTAATAGAGCTATAAAACTCTGGAATCCATAAGGCCAAGAACCCCAGGTCAGAGAACAAAAGGCTTGCTGCCATCTTGGGAGTGGTCTGCCACATCTTGGGAGCTCTAAGAACAAAGACCTGCCCGTAACATTACCAACAATGTGTGGGGGTTCTACTTCACATCCTCACCAACACATGTATTTTCTAGTTTTTTTTATTACAGCCATCCTTGTGATTGTGATGTGCTTTCTTGCTGTGGTTTTGATGTGCTTTTCCCTCCTGACTAGAGATGTTGAGCATCTTTTCATGTGCTTATTGGTCCTTCAAATCTCTTTTTGGAGAAATGTCTATGCAAATCCTTGGCTCATTTTCCAATTGAGTTGTCTTTTTATTATTGAGTTGTAACAGTTATTTATGTATTTTGGATACTAGACCTGTACAGACATATGATTTACAATTTTTTTCTTCCAGTTTGTAGATTGTCTTTCTTTCTTGATGGTGTCCATTGAAGCACAAAATTTGTAATTTTGATGATATCCCATCTATTTTTTTGTTTGCTTGTTCTTCTGGTATCATAGCTAAGAAAACATTGCCTAATCCAACATCATGAAAATTTACATCTATATCTTTTTCTAAGAGTTTCATAGTTTTACCTCTTATATTTAGGTCTTTGATCAATTTTGACTTAAATTTTGTATATGATATGAGACAAGGGTTCAATTTTATTCTTTCACATGTGGCTATCTAGTTGTCCCAGCACCATTTGTTGAAAAGACTGTTCCTTTTGCATTATACTGACTTGACACTCTTGTTGAAAATCAATTGACTATAAATGTATGGGCTTATTACAGTAGCTTTGTAGTAAGTTTTGAAATCAGGAAATGTGAATCTTCCAACTTTGATTTCCCAAGATTGTTTTGGCTATTCTGGATCCAAGCATTTCCGTATGAATTACAGGATCAACTTGTCCATTTTTGCAAAAAAAAAAAAAAAAAAAAAAAAAAAAATCTAGCTGGGATTTTTATAAGGGTTGTGTTGAATTTGTAGAACATTTTGGAGAATATTGCCATCCAAACAATATTGTCTTCCAGCTCAGAAGCATGGGATGTCTTTTCTTTAAGCTTTCTTCAATTCATTTCAATGATCTTTTCTAGTTTTTAGTGTACAAGTTATATCTCTTTTGTTAAGTTTATTCCTAAGTATTGTATTTTTTATGCTGTTATAAATGGAATTGTTTTCTTCACTTTAGTTTTTGATTGTTTATTGCACATGTACAGGAATCTCAGATTTCTGTGTATTGATTTTTGTACCCTGAAACCTTGCTGAACTCATTTATTACCTCTAACAGTATTTTTGTGGATTCCTTAAGATTTTCTAAGGAAGTCATCTGCAAATGTTACTTTACTACTCAGCCAGGCAGGCAGTTGACAGCCCTACCTTCGTCTTCCCTTCCTGCTTGTGCAAAGCCTCAAGGTCAGTCGGAGATGAGAGCTTAGGGCCTTCCCAGGCCTTTCCTGAGCATGAACACAGTGCTTGGCATGTACACAGCCTGTGTGCATGTGGCCTTTTAATTTTCAGCACTTTATTGGAGTTTTTCAAAGGACCTACAGACGTTTCATTCCATGGCTTTTTCCTTTAAGCTTTTTGGTTAGCCTCTTTTTGCCTTTTTGTTAACCACCACCTCTAGCAGCTGTTGTGGTTAATGATCACCTTCAACTGTTTTCAGCAAATGCCCCGAGGCTAAAGACATGTCACACTGAGCAAGGTCTGAGTCAGGTCAAATAAAAACAGCCTTCTAGGTGGTTTCTTCTAGAGAAACATCAGACAGGTCATTTCATGTCAGTTCTCTGGGAATGAGAATTTGAAGGAGCTCCAGCCATGTTTTGCCAGGGTTCTCACATGCACTGTGATTGTGGGCTATTGGTTTGCAAGGCTCCTGCCGAGACGGGTAGGTGGGAAGGGAATAGCACCAAGCTAATGTGCCACAAAGCTCACCTGTTCTTACCGAGATTCAGACATTTTTCTTGAGGAAGCACTCATCAGATTGCTGCAATCTGTTTTTAATTTTTAGGGTTCTGAAAAAGTTGATTCTGACACTTTCTGCCAGTTTTCTCATTGATTTTATGGAAGAGAGAATTTTCATTGGTCTTCAACTCTGGCATTTTTGTTGACATCATTTTTATTAAAGTTTGAGGATTCTTTTTATGTTCTAGGTACAAGACCTGTATCAGCTATATGCTTTGTAAATATCTTCTCCTGGAATGTGTCTTGTATTTTCATTCCCTTTACAGTGTGTTTTGAAGATGCCACATTTAAAATTTTGTTGTCATATGTAATAAATCTTTGCCTAATCCAGAGTTATAAAGATTTGTTTCCATTCTTTCCTTTACAGATTTTATAGTTTCATGTTTTACATTTATGTCTGTGATTCATTTGAAACTAACTCCTTTATGTGGTATGAGATATGGATTGAGGTTTATTTCATCTTTTCCCCAGATGGATATCCAGTTTTTCCAGCACCATTTGTTGAAAAGACTATCCTTTCCTCGCAGAATTGCTTTTGCACCTCTATCAAAGATTTTTTTCTGTATATGTGTGGATCTATTTCTGCAGTAGAGATTATACTGTATTGGTCTACTTGTCTGTCTTGATGCCAACACCACACTGTCTTAATTAATGTGTTTTAAAAATGTGTGTGTGTGTGTGTTTAAGTGTATGTATATATTCTGATGAGGAACAATGTCTCTGGATCAGAGGAAATATTTTATATTCACAGTGCCAACTAGTGTCAATTCCCCAAGGGACAGTGTGGTCAGTGCCACTTACTCCCCTGTGCGTGCAGTGCTGTTCAGGAGAGGCCCCTGAATTGCTATAGGGTGTCTAATAACTTTGCCCTTTTTCTGCCCCAGAGACAAAGAGGGAGAGACTCTTACTCTGCAATCTAAACAAATCCTCTCTGGGGAGAGGAGGAAAGTTCCCTAGTTTTATTTTACTGAAAGGTAGCAAATGGTTGCAAGACAGATATGTCTCTAAATCTCTCCTGGGCGTTATACTACTTCTAGCTTTCAAGGCATTCAAATCCTCTATCCTTATTTTTACAGTGCTGCTTGTTTAGAAAAACCACATATGCAGAAGTTCATGGAGAATTGTCTGTTAACATACTTTGACTTAATTCTTGAAACCTCTTGAAAGGTTATGTTAATTCTCTTTGTTCCTCTTCTTCAAAGTTGTTGCGGCTATGCTATATCCTTTGAATTTCTGTGCGAATTTTAGAATTAGTTTGTCAGTTTTAGAACAAAGCCTGCTGGGATGTTGATTGGAATTACACTAACTCTGTACATCAGGATTTTTCCACCTCGGCACTGGGAGTGTTGACATTTTGGGCTGGATAATTCTTTGTTGTGGGGCTGTCTTCTGCATTGTGGGGTGGGTAGCAGCATCCCATCCTTTACTCATTAGATGGCAACAGTACCTTCTGCCACCAAGTAGGGACAACCAACAGTGCCTCCAGACATTACCAAATATCTCCCGGAGTGACAAAATCACCCGTGGTTGAAAAGCACTTCTACAGATCAACTTGGGGAGAGTTGATGTCATAATAATATTGAGTCCTCTGCCCTATGAATACATTATATCTTCCCAATTATTTGGTCTTTAATCTTTCTCTACAGTAGTTTGTAGTTTACAGTGTACAGGAGTTACTTATCTTTTGTCAGATTTCTTCCTATTTATTTTACAGACTTTGATGCTATTGTAAATGGTATTGTTTTTAAATTTAACTTTCTGATTACTTACTACTAGTGTATAGAAATACAGTTGCATCTTGTATATTGCTCTTGTATTCTGCAGCCCTGCTAACCTAAACTCACTTATTAGTTCTTGTAGGTTTTCATAAAATACTTCAATTTTGTTTTTTATTCCAATGCAGTTTTTTAGCTTTACATTGTATGTGGATTACTCTTTTATTCTTCTAATTTTTTTTTTTTATAGGAAACATGGGCAGTGTTTTGTAGAATTGATGGGTACAATTTAATATAGGGTCAGGTGACCAGACTCAGGATTCCATTGTTTCTTGGTGAAAAATATTGATAGTGAGTAATCTAGATAATTTTGGAAGCATGAAGGTAGAAAGTGAATTCATAGGTCACATATCACAGGTTGAATGGGTCTCTGACAGTCAGTTTGCTATTTGATCACCTAAATAAATAATTGTTTGCATTGGTCAGCTTTAGTTGAGACTTTTAAAAATGTATATCTGCCTGCTATATTTATGGAGAATATTATTTTTGTTCTTCAATAACACTTCAGATGAAGCTAGAACTATTCTTCAATTTGTAGGTTGTAGACTTTGCCATTTAGAAAAACATTAATTTTTATCCATGTCACATAATGCACATTTGGCCCTTCAAAGAGTGCAGGGGTTAGGGGACCCGTCATGCGCATCCATGTGAAGAGAGTCCACCAACAGGCTTTGTGTGAGCAACAAGGCTGTTTATTTTACTTGAATGCAAGTGGGCTGAGTGGGGCAGTTTTACAGGATTTGGGTAGGTAGTGGAAAATTACAGTTAAAGGTGGTTATCTCTTACAGGCAGGGGCGGGGGTCACAAGGTGCAGGGTGGGTAGATTTTGAGACTCATTGTCCAGGGGAGGAATGTCACTAGGTCGATTGATTAGTTGGGGTGGGGCAGGAACAAATCACAATGGTGGAATGTCATCAATTAAGGCAGGAACTGCCTATTTTCACTTCTTTGGTGGTTCTTCAGTTGCTTCAGGCCATCTGGATGTATACTGCAGGTCACAGGGCATATGATGGCTTAGCCTGGGCTCAGAGCCCTGATGGGACCCAACCTCCCTCACAGTCAGAAATCCATGTATAACTTTTGACTTCCCCCAAACTTAACTACTAATAGCCTACTGTTGACTGGAAGCCTTACTAATAAACACGGTCAATTAACACATTATGTAGGTTACATGCATTATATACTGTATTTTTGCAATAAAGTAAGCCAGAGAAAAGAAATGTTAATAGGAAAATCATAAGGAAGAGAAAATATATTTACTATTTATAAGTGGAGGTGGGTCATCATAAAGGTCTTCATCTTTGTTGTAGTCTTCATATTGAGTGGGCTGAGTAGAAAAGGAAGAGGAGGGCTTGGTCTTGCTATCTCGGGGTGGCAGAGGAGGAAGAGGCAGAGGAAGTAGGAGGGGCAGCAGGAGAGGCAGGCACACTCAGTGTAACTTTGATGGAAAAAAATCCACATATAAGTGGACTCGCCCAGTTCAAACCTGTGCTGTTCCAAGGTCAGCTGTATATTTATTGATAATCCTGAAGTTGTACTTGAGCTCCCAACTTTAGCTTAAAGGGGACTTTTTATCTACTCTGTGTGTGTATGTGTGTGTGTGTGTGTGAGAGAGAGAGAGAGAGAGAAAGAGGTGTATATTATTTTAGAATACCAAGAAATGTAGTGCTCCAAATAAATATGCAGGCTTGTTTTCCTGACTTGGTAAGAGGACTTGGTGCTTTTACTGAGAACAGCTTGGGGAGCATTTCAGGCAGTCTCTGAAGTACTCACTGGTGGAGAGGGATTTTCTTCCATAGAGCAAGGGTCTGCTTTTGTGTCGCAGTAGTGCACACCTTTCTTTGGAAAAGAGTTAGCAGTTCCTCTTGAAACGCCCTTGATCTCTGTTGTCCTTGTCATCTGTGACCTTCCTCTCTGTTCTTGCCATAAGAGGCTTTGTCAGGTGGTGGTCTTTTTCATTTTGACATTCTGGGAGAATTTCTGAAGCTTTCCCCTGTGTCACTAGTTTGGTTTTCCAGGGTGTAGGTTCTGATTTTTACTTCCTTCAGCGTGGGTTTCCCCCTGTGGTTATAGCTGTTGTCTCCATGGCATTCCTGTTGACCTCATCTGGCTCCATGCCTGTGGCCTTCCTCCTGCCCTTCCCGGCTGTCTACCCTGGATTCAGGGAGGTGCTGCCTGCCTGCAGTCCTCTGGGTTGCGGGTCCAGAAGGACTGTCCTGGGTCCTACAGATGTAGAGGTGTGTTCTCCCTCCTCATGTCCATGGCACGCCTCCTTTTCCTTGTGTTTCTATAGGAGGTGCATTTATTGGTATTTTCTTTTTTATTTGTTTTTTTAGAAATGTCATTAACTGAACATTTGTTGTGAAAATTTATGAATACCTGCTATAAAACATTCCAGCAATACAGAAAAGTAGAAAGAATAAAAATACTAAGTATCAGTTATGCAGGAGGAATGAGTTCTGAAGATCTAACGTACGGCATGGTTACTATAGTTGAGAATGCTGTGTTGTGGACTTGAAATATGCTAAGAGAGTAGTTTTTTTGTTTTGTTTTGTTTTGTTTTGTTTTGAGACTAGGTCTCACTCTTTCACCCAGGCTGGAGTGTAGCAATCATAGCTCGCTGTAGCCTCCAACTCCTGGGCTCAAGTTACCCATTTCCTCTGTCTCCCTGCTACAGGCATGTGCCACTATGCCTAATTAGATAGGGTCTTGCTGTGTTGCCCAGGCTGGTCTTAAACTCCTGGCTTCAACCCATCCTCCTGCCTCAGCCTCCCAAAATGTTAGAATTACAAACATGAACCACCGCACCCAGCAGTGCGGTTCTCGCCCCATGTACAAAACATCAGAGCTATGTGAGGTAATGGACATGTTAATTAGCTTGATTATGGTAATTATTTTGCAAGGTGAATACAAAAACATCACCTTGTAGACCTTAAATACATGGAATTTTTATTTGTCAAGTGTACCTCAGTAAAGCCAGGGAAAAACAGAAGAAGAAAAATGACATAAAATGTCACCTTTCACAAATAACCCCTCATAGACATTGGTGAGCGGGACTTCGACATCACGCTGTTCATGGATGTAAAGGGAGGATGTGTGTCCAAAGAGTTATATATTATACATTTTACTTTCAGGATAAATGGTAAGTTTGAAATTTACTTTAACAAGAAAAAGAATATGAATATGCTTCACAGTCAAGTAGAAAAGGCTATAGAATTTTTTAAGTGGTTAGAGTCCTTTTTTTTACAACGGGAAGTTCAAGTGTAGAAGCGCAGAGGACATTAGTGCAGGCATACCTAATTTCAAAGAACGGTATAATGTAGGGGTTAACATTTGGGACCCAGACAGCTGGGTTCAAATCCCATCTTGGCCACTTGACCTCAGGCTAATCACCAAACTTGCTGTGACTCAGTTTCCCTCTGTTACGTCTAAGATAGAAGTAATAGCAGTATCTTGTAGAATTATTCTAACAGTTGAGTTATTATAATTTATAATGTAAAGCACTTAGGGCAGTGTCTGGCACACTAATATTATCATTTCCCTCCCGTGGCTAGATTGTTGCAAATTGTTGCATGTGTGGGATGAGGTTGATAGCATTTGCTCTCCGCTGCTCCCCCGCTTCCTGTGGTATTTCCTCATAGTCTTATGTTTAAGTGCTCAGAGAACCCTGCCAACCTGCCTCTCCTCCTCCTGAGCTGCTGCCATGCTGCCTTTACTAAGGCCATTTCTAACTTCTTTATTTTGCCTGACTCACCTTTGGCCAGATTTTGTTGTCCAGTAGTTTTTTTTTTTTTTTTTTTGGCTCATAATTGTTTTATTTCCTTAAATTCTGGAAGACAATTGGCTTTCCATTTGAAGGAAAACCTACTAGGAATAAATTCCTCAATATGACATAGCCTAACTCACCCCAGAGAACCACCCTCCTCTGTGCTGCCCGCCCAGGGATAAACTCTTCCTGCCTGGAGATCCATATGTTGGTCTCTTTTGTTATTATGAAAAATGTTATACGCCCAGAAAAGAATAGAGAAAATATGACAACACACTTGTGTTCATAACATGGAGCTACAGCAAATAATACCACTTTACCATAATTGCTTCACATCTTCTAAAGTGAAATAAATTGCTGCATGGAAGTGAAGCTCTTTGTACCTGCACCCCCCCATCCCCTCCTTTGCTCTCATTTCCCAGCAGGTTTCCCCCAGCCTGCAGTTGGTGTGTGTTCTTCTTGTCCAAGTTTTTATGCTTTTTACTATATGTGTTTATAGTCAACAGGTAGTATTGTTGTGTACACTTCAAAGTTCATAGACATGATATTGTATTGTTACTAGTGTTTCTGCTCCTTAAGTCAACTTTGTGTTTTCTGTATTTACCATTGTTGGTATGTATAGATCCATGCATTTATTTTAATTGCTGTGGACATTCTATTCCATTGCATGAATGGAAACCTTAGCGTTTGCCATTTGTTGACATTCCAAGGCAGGGGTTCAGTTACCATCCATGTATCTGACTGTGTGTACCCTGTGTGACCGTTTCCCTGGGTCACTGAATCTCAAACTTGGCTGCATGTTAGAACCCCTGGAGACTTTTAAAAATACCAATGCCTGGGTCCCATCCCCTAAGTGCAATCTGATTTAATTGATCTGGGAGGCAGCTTGGGCATCAGCATTAAAAAAAAATCTCTCCAGGAAATCCTAATATGCAGCAACATTTAAGAACCTCTGCTTGAGGCTCTGCTGTTCATTGTAGGAGCCACTGATCACCCATGGCTATTCAAGTTTAAGGTAATTAAGATGACCTGTATTATAAATTCATTTCCTTAGTTGCACTAGCCATATTTCAAGGGCTTAATGGTCACAAGTGGCTACCATATTTGACGGCATAGGTATAGAACATTTCTACCACTGCAGAGAGTTTGGTTGGACAGTGATACTCTCGGGCACACACCTGGGGATATGGCCAGGGGATACATTCCCCATCAGTTGTACTAGCCACCTGGGCTGCTCATTAAAGTGGCTGTATTAGTTCCTGCTGCTGCTGTTACAAATGACCACACATTTAACAGCTTAAAGCAAAACACATTTATTTTCTTTTAGTTCAGTAGATTAGAACTCCAACACAGGACTCGCTGGATTACAGTCAAGGTCTTGTTCCTTTCTGCAGGCTCTTGGGGAGAATCCATTTCCTTGCTCATTCAGGTGCCAGCAGAATTCATTCCTTGTGGTTTGTGATGGTAACTTTATGTGACTGGGCTAACAGATGCCCAGATAGCTGGTGTTTCTGGAAGAGATGAGCATTTGAATCAGTAGACGGAGTAGAGAAGATCATCCTCACCAATGCAGGTGGTCATCATCCGATTTGTTGCCAGTCTTAACAGAGAGTCAGAGGAAGGGTGCGTTCTGTCTCTCTTCTCGAATTGGGACATCCATCATCCCCCCGACCTTTGGATATCAGCACTCCTGGTTCCTGGGTCCCTAGTGCATCTTGTTCATATTTGGGGTCTCATATCTACCTCCAGAAAGCAGTCCTCGGGTCAGGACTCAGGTCTGACCCACTCTGGCTGCTCTGCACTGTCTAGCTGGGGGTCCTGCTCCGCAGTCAGGATTTGTTCCATGGTTGAGTAGGTTGTGTCATGATTATTTGAGACTTTGGGAAGTCCCCACTTAATTTTGAATTCTTGAAATTCCTTTAACAGGTGTCAAAACTTTTCTTTCCAGAACTTTGAAGAAAGTGTTCGTGGTAGGTTTTCATGCAGACAGAGATTCCATCAAGGGGCCGTTCTTTCCTAGGCAGTAAGGACAGGGGGGCCCTTGGGAGCATGGGTGACATTGTCCTGTCTATCCTGCCGTGTTGAAGGACATGATGAGGGGCTGTCTTTTGGGGGAACTGACAAGTGCCTCTGAAAACAGAGCCAGCTGCTCACGTTCATGATTCATGTTTTCATTCTCCATTCCTCACTCTTTTATTGCACTCTGGTCCCAACAGCCCTGTGCTTTGAAGAAATCCATCTTTAGAAAATAGGTGATATTGAGTCCTCTGCAGTTTGTGGGAGTTGTTCTGAAAATGCAGGTGTGGGTTGCATAGCTACTGATGAAATAGTGCCAGGAAATAGACTAAAGTGGGAATTTCCCCCCTACAGAGAAGGTGGACAGAGGGCTGCAGAGGAAAGGAAAGGCATGGAACCACACTGACAGCTCTGTTTAAAACTAGGTCTTCACTGAAAGCAGGGAATCGAACAGATGTTTGCACACCTATGTTCATGGAAGCCTTGTTTACAATAGCCAAAAGGTGGGAGCTACCCAAGTGTCCATCAGTAGATGAGTGGATACATAAAATGTGGTCTGTATACACAGTGGAAGATTGCTCAGTCTTCAAAAGGAAGGAAATTCTGACACAGGCTACAACATGGATGAACTTTGAGGACATTATGCTAAGTGAAATAAGCCAGCCACAGAAAGACAAATGCTGAATGATTCCACTCATACGAGGCACCTAGAGACAGAAAGCAGAATGGTGGTTGCCGGGGGCTGGAGGGAGGGGGAAAGGAGAGTTGTTCATTGGATATAGAGTTTCAGTTTTGCAAGGTGAAGAAGTTCTAGAGATCTGTTGTCAAACAGGGTACATGTAGTTAACACTATAGTACTGTACACTTAAAAATGGCTAAGATGGTAAATCTTACATGTTTTTTACCACATAAAAACCGAAACAGAAGCAAAACACTTGCCCCAGCACTCCCTGCTCCCCCTATCTGGGCTCTGTTTTTCCCCCGGAGCACTCATCATTCTTTTGTGCCCAATTTAATTACTTAGGAGGTCTCTCCCCTCTAGAATGTAGACACTGCAAGGGTGAGATTGTTGTTTCTTTTGTTCACGGATGGTCAAGAACAGCGCCAGGTATTGATGAGGCACTTTATAAATGTGTTGAATACAAGAATGTGCTCCAGATCTGGCTGGGGCCATACTGCAGAGATGTGGACATGGACTCGGAGGTGCTCCTGGTGAGAGCCTCCTTAGCGTGTCCATGAAGCTGAGAGCTTGCATTTGGGTGGGAATGCTCCTTGTGGAATAGGGACAGAGAGTCATGGGTGAGACAAGGCTGCCTTTTGTTTTCAAAGTGGAGCACATGTTCATCATTGGCTGAATGAAGTTCTAACAGTCTTGCTAAAATGAGAATTGCCTGTTCACCCCACGCCTTTTTAAATGTGTGTCATGCACTCTCCCCTGTATCATGGCAGGTATGTGTATCAACACTGTGTCTTCCCTCCACGGAGAAGGTGGAGGGGACATGGTTTTGCAGAGGGAAAAATTCCTCATTTTGTTTGCTTCTTGCTAATGTTGACCAATGGTTTTCAAACTAGGTTCCGTGGAACCTTAGGGTTTTAAAATTCCTTTTCAAATAGAGTACATCCACTTTTAGTGGCTTCATATTTTGATGCAGCCTAATAATTAATTTGACAAAGTGTTGTGTTGTGTTTGGCTTTAGGGTGCTTTGGGCCGGGTGTACCGACTAGCTTTGTCACTTGGCCCCTTTACTGCTGGGTAGTTCAAAGCAGGCGGCCCTTGTGGTCCCTAAGATGCTTTATTTTGCCATTTTGAAAGCTCAGGGAGAGCATATGTAAAACAAGGCAGTGAGTGGAAAACAGCTTTTCTTTAAGGCTCAGTACTTAAGGCTAAGACGTCACACAAAAAGAGTGTTTAAAGAAGGATTTAGAGAGAAAATCTCACTGCAGATGAAAAGAGGCTGACTTTTTAAAGAATATGAGAGATTTCAGAGAAAAGAAAGAATCCTTGGGTGAATATTCCCCATAGCATTTATACAACATTGGCAGTTCATTATTTACTTATAAAACTTCAACAGAACCAAACTATAGAGCGTGGTGGTGGCTTCAATATCTGACAGTTTACCAGTGGATTTGTGCATCACCAGTTATAATCACTAGAGATGGAGTATGGAGGTGTTTTAGTCAGCTCGGGCTGCTCTCTAATGGGATACCATAAACTGGGTGGCTTAAACAGTAGACATTTATTTCTCACAGTTCTGGAGGCTGAGAAGTCCCAGGTCAAAGTGCTTGCAGATTCAGTTCCTGGTGAGGGCTCATATCCTGGTTTGCAGATGGCCACCTTCTTGCTGTGTCCTTGCATGGTGGAGACAGAAAGCTCTGGTGTTTCTTCCTGTTCTTATAAGGTCACTAATCCCAACATGGGGCCTCCACACTCATGGTTTCATCTATCCCTGATCACCTCCCCATCTCCTAATACCATCCCATTGGGGTTAGTGCCTCAACATACGAATTTTGGGAGGACGCAGTTCAGTCCATAGCAGCAGGAGTGATAATTAGGAAAGGGAGAGGGATTATTGGTCTTGTTGCCTTGGTGTGGTTATCTG
Organism: Homo sapiens; assembly: GCF_000001405.40. Taxonomy (NCBI): domain Eukaryota; kingdom Metazoa; phylum Chordata; class Mammalia; order Primates; family Hominidae; genus Homo; species Homo sapiens. Next base: position 29,512,386 of record NC_000015.10, on the reverse strand, counting down.
GGCTTGCTTGTATCCTCACTTAAGCTGAAATGTTTCTATTTCTGTCTGTCTTTTAAAGCAGTCCACGTGGACTTGTTAGGTACTCCATATTTGTTGAATCCAAGACAGCTCATAGCTTTATGGGGCCTGAAGCATGTGTAGTTTGAGGGGTTGTTTTATGACAAATAACAAAAAATACAAATATAAACAAACTAGGGCTTCTTCCAGGGGCCTTTGGAAGGCCACAAAGCTTTAGTTTCATTAGGTTCATGGTAGTTCTGGTTGGCTCATTTCATTTTTTTTGTTTAAAATAATGTTTATTTACCATTTTTCAAATATTGGCAGTAATATCGTTCACCATAGAAAGTTTAGAAAATACAGATGAGCCAAAGCACCGGCCCTGATTTCATAATTCTAAAACAATCTCTGTTAATATTGTAGTATGCATGAGGTGTTTTGATTGCTGGATGTGCATATTTTCACATTTCAACACTGCCAGGGCCTGCATGCTTCTTTACAATAGATAACACGTCAGCATTTATTGGCAGCATACATTTTCTCTTGTGGTGTGCCTTACAGTTGTTGGCATCCTAGATATGCTGGGGTAAGGGGTTTGTTATGCAGGTACTAAGCTGTGGGAGCACCCTTCGAGGCTGGAAGTGATGGAAGACCAGAAACCAATGGTGCAGAAGTGACAGGTCAGTTTTTATCATTCAGAAGCAGCCTGTGAGGTTTCAGGCCAGGATACTTGCAGGCCCTTTGACAAATCTCTGACACTCTCAGTCGGGTGTGGTGGCTCACGCCTGTAATCCCAGCACTTTGGGAGGCCAAGGCAGGCAGATCACTTGAGGCCAGGAGTTGGGAGACCAGCCTCTCCAACTCTACTAAAACTACAAAAAATAAAAAAAAAAATCAGCTGGACATGGTGGCACACGCCTGTAATCCCAGTTACTTGGGAGGCTGAGGAGGAAGAATCACTTGAACTCAGGAGGTGGAGGTTGCAGTGAGCTAAGATCACGCCACTGGGCAACAGAGCAAGACTCTATCTCAAAAAAAAAAAAAAGAAAAGAAAAAAGAAGAAGAAAAGTAAAATCTCTGACACTCTGGATATAAGGAGGCTGCTTTGGGAATCTTATGTAAAAATGAGCCCTCCTCTGCAGGAAACCCGCTTAACACATGGGAGCATGTCTTCTTTTTCTTTCTTTCTTTTATTTTAAAATTATACTCTAAGTTCTGGGATACATGTGCAGACCTGCAGGTTTGTTACATAGGTATATATGTGCCATGGTGGTTTGCTGCACCCATCAACCCGTCATCTACATTAGTTGTTTCTCCTAATGCTATCCCTCCCCTTGCCCCCCACCGCACCGACAGGCCCCAGTGTGTGATATTCCCCTCCCTGTGCCCATATGTTCTCATTGTTCACCTCCCACTTATGAGTGAGAATATGTGGTGTTTGGTTTTCTCTTCCCATGTTAGTTTGTTGATAACGATGGTTTCCAGCTTCATCCATGTCCCTGCAAAGGACATGAACTCATTCTTTTTTATGGCTGCATAGTATTCCATGGTGTATATGTGCCACATTTTTTTTTTTTTTTGAGATGGAGTCTCACTCTGTCGCCGAGGCTGGAGTGTAGTGGCGGCATGATCTCAGCTCACTGCAAGCTCCACTTCCCGGGTTCACGCCATTCTCCTGCCTCAGCCTCCTGAGTAGCTGGGACTACAGGTGCCAGCCACCATGCCCGGCTAATTTTTTTGGTATCTTTAGTAGAGATGGGGTTTCATCGTGTTAGCCAGGATGGTCTCGATCTCCTGACCTCGTGATCCGCCCGCCTCGGCCTCCCAAAGTACTGGATTACAGGTGTATATGTGCCACATTTTTATCCAGTCTAACATTGATGGGCATTTGGGTTGGTTCCAAGTCTTTGCTATTGTGAATAGTGCTGCAATAAACATACATGTGCATGTGTCTTTATAGTAGAATGATTTATAATCCTTTGGGTATATACCCAGTAATGGGATTGCTAGTTCAAATAGTATTTCTAGTTCTAGATCCTTGAGCAGTCGCCACACTGTCTTCCACAATGGAGGAACTAATTTATACTCCCACCAATGGTGTAAAAGCGTTCCTGTTGCTCCACATCCTCTCCAGCATCTTTTGTTTCCTGACTTTTTAATGATCGCCATTCTAACTGGCATGAGATGGCATCTCATCGTGGTTCTTATTTGCATTTCTCTAATGACCAGTGATAATGAGTTTGTTTTCATGTGTTTGCTGGCTACATAAATGTCTTCTTTTGAAAAGTATCTGTTCATATCCTTCACCCACTTTTTGATGGAGTTGTTTGTTTTTTGTTGTAAATTTAAGTTCCTTGTAGATTCTGGATATTACCCCTTTGTCAGATGAATAGATTGCAAAAATTTTCCTCCATTTTGTAGGTTGCCTGTTCACTCTGATCATAGTTTCTTTTGCTGTGCAGAAGCTCTTTAGTTTAATTAGATTCCATTTGTCAATTTTGGCTTTTGTTGCCATTGCTTTTGGTGTTTTAGTCATGAAGTCTTTGCTCATGCCTGTGTTCTGAATGGTATTGCCTAGGTTTTATTCTAGGGTTTTTATGGTTTTAGGTCTTACGTTAAAATCTTTAATCCGTCTTGAGTTGATTTTTGTATAAGATGTAAGGAAGGGGTCCAGTTTCAGTTTTCTGCATATGCTAGCCAGTTTTCCCAACACCATTTACTAAATATGGAATCCTTTCCCCATTGCTTATTTTTGTCAGGTTTGTCAAAGATCATTTGGTTGTAGTTGTGTGGTGTCATTTCTGAGGCCTCTGTTCTGTTCCATTGGCCTGTATGTCTGTTTTGGTACCAGTACCATGCTGTTTTGGTTACTGTAGTCTTGTAGTATAGTTTGAAGTCAGGTAGCGTGATGCCCTCCAGCTTTGTTCTTTTTGCCTGGGATAGTCTTGGCTATACAGGCTCTTTTTTGGTTCCATATGAAATTTAAAGTAATTTTTTTCTAATTTTGTGAAGAAAGTCAATGGTAGCTTGATGGGAATAGCATTGAATCTATAAATTACTTTGGGCAAAATGGCCATTTTCATGATATTGATTCTCCCTGTCCATGAATGTGGAATGTTTTTCTATTTGTTTGTGTCCTCTCTTATTTCCTTGAGCAGTGGTTTGTAGTTCTCCTTGAAGAGGTCCTTCACATCCCTTGTAAGTTGTATTCCTAGGTATTTTATTCTCTTTGTAGCAATTGTGAATGGGAGTTTGCTCATGATTTGGCTCTCTGTTTGTCTATTATTGGTGTATAGGAATGCATGTAATTTTTGCATATTGATTTTGTATCCTGAGACTTTGCTGAAGTTACTTATCAGCTTAAGGAGTTTTTGGGCTGAGATGATGAGGTTTTCTAAATATACAATCATGTCACCTGCAAAGAGAGATAATTTGACTTCCTCTTTTCCTACTTGAATACCCTTTATTTCTTTCTCTTGCCTCATTGCCCTGGCCAGGACTTCCAGTACTCTGTTGAATAGGAGTGGTGAGAGAGGGCATCCTTATCTTGTGCTGGTTTCAAAGGGAATGCTTCCGGCTTTTGCCCAGTCAGTATGATATTGGCTGTGGGTTTGTCATAAATAGCTCTTATTATCTTGAGATATGTTCCATCAATACCTAGTTTATTGACAGTTTTTAGCATGAAGGGGTGTTGAATTTTATCGAAGACCTTTTTCTGCATCTATTGAGATAATCATGTCGTTTTTGTCATTGCTTCTGTTTATTTGTGATACATTACATTTATTGATTTGTGTATATTGAACCAGCCTTGCATCCCAGGGATGAAGCCGACTTGATTGTGGTGGATAAGCTTTTTAATGTGCTGCTGGTTTGGTTTGCCAGTATTTTACTGAGGATTTTCGCATTGGTGTTCATCAGGGATGTTGGCCTGAAATTTTCTTTTCTTGTTGTGTCTCTGCCAGGTTTTGGTATCAGGATGATGCTGGCCTCATAAAATGAGTTAGGGAGGAGTCCCTCTTTTTCTGTTGTTTGGAATAGTTTCAGAAGGAACAGTACCAGCTCCTCTTTGTGCCTCTGGTAGAATTCGGCTGTAAATCCATCTGGTCCTGGGCTTTTTTTGGTTGGTAGGCTATTAATTACTGCTTCAATTTCAGAACTTGTTATTGGTCTATTCAGGGATTTGACTTCTTCCTGGTTTAGTCTTGGGAGGGTGTATGTGTCCAGGAATTTATCCATTTCCTCTAGATTTTCTAGCTTATTCGCATAGAGGTGTTTATAGTATTCTGTGATTGTAGTTTTTGTTTCTGTGGGGTCAGTGGTAATCTCCCCTTTATCATTTTTTATTGTGTCTATTTGAGTTTTCTCTCTTTTCCTCTTTATTAGTCTGGCTAGCGGCCTATTTTATTAATCTTTTCAAAAAATCTGCTCCTGGATTCACTGATTTTTTGAAGGGTTTTTCATGTCTCTATCTCCTTCAGTTCTGCTTTGGTCTTAGTTATTTCTTGTCTTCTGCTAGCTTTTGAATTTATTTGCTCTTGCTTCTCTAGTTCTTTTCATTGTGATGTTAGGGTGTTGATTTTAGATCTTTCCCACTTTCTCCTGTGGGCATTTTAGTGCTATAAATTTCCCTCTAAACACTACTTTAGCTGTCCCAGAGATTCTGGTACGTTGTGTCTTTGTTCTCATTGGTTTCAAATAATTTATTTATTTCTGCCTTAATTTCGTTATTTACCCAGTGGTCATTCAGTAGCAGGTTGTTCAGTTTCCATGTAGTTGTGCAGTTTTGAGTGAGTTTCTTAATCCTAAGTTCTAATTGGATTGCACTGTGGTCTGAGTGACCGTTATGATTTCTGTTCTTTGGCATTTGCTGAGGAGTGTTTTACTTCCAATTATGTGGTCAATTTTAGAATAAGTGCTATGTAGTCCTGGGAAGAATGTATACTCTGTTGATTTGGGGTGGAGAGTTCTGTAGATGTCTATTAGGTCTGCTTGGTGCAGAGCTGAGTTCAAGTCCTGAATATCCTTGTTAATTTTCTGTCTCATTGATCTGTCTAATATCAACAGTGGGGTGTTAAATTCTCCCACTATTACTGCATGGGAATCTAAGCCTCTTTCTAGGTCTCTAAGAACTTGCTTTATGAATCTGGGTGCTCCTGTATTGTGTGCATCTATATTTAGGATAGTTAGCTCTTCTTGTTGCATTGATTCTTTTACCATTATGTAATCCTCTTGTTTGTCTTTTTTGATTTTTGTTGGTTTAAAGTCTGTTTTATCAGAGACTAGGATTGCAACCCCTGCTTTTTTTTTGCTTTCCATTTGCTTGGTAAATCTTCCTCCGTCCCTTTATTTTGAGCCTAGTGTGTCTTTGCATGTGAGATGGGTCTCCTAAATACAGCACATGGATGGGTCTTGACTCTTTATCCAGTTTGCCAGTGTTTGCCTTTTAATTGGGGGCATTCAGCCCATTTACATTTAAGGTTAATATTATTATGTGGGAATTTGATCCTGTCATTAAGATCCTAGCTGGTTATTTTGCCCATTGTTGATGCAGTTTCTTCATAGTGTTGATAGTCTTTACATTTTGGTTTGTTTTTGCAGTGGCTGTACTGGTTTTTCCTTTCCATATTTAGTGCTTCCTTCAGGAGGTCTTGTAAGGCAGGCCTGGTGGTGACAAAATCCCTCAGCATTTGCTTGTCTGTAAAGGATTCTATTGAACTTCACTTATGAAGCTTAGTTTGGCTGGATATGAAATTCTGGGTTGAAAATTCTGTTCTTTAAGAACATTGAATATTGGCCCCTACTCTCTTCTGGCTTGTAGGGTTTCTGCAGAGAGATCTGCTGTTAGTCTGATGGGCTTCCCTTTGTGGGTAACTCGACCTTTCTCTCTGGCTGCCCTTAACATTTTTTCCTTCATTTCAATCTTGGTGAATCTGATGATTATGTGTCTTGGGGTTGCTCTTCTCGAGGAGTATCTTTGTGATGTTCTCTCTAGTTCCTGAATTTGAATGTTGGCTTGTCTTGCTAGGTTGGTGAAATTCTCCTGGATGATATCCTGAAGTGTGTTTTCCAACTTGGTTCCATTCTCCCCATCACTTTTAGGTACACCAATCAATCGTAGGTTTGGTCTTTTCACATAGTCCCATATTTCTTGGAGGCTTTGCTCCTTTTCATTCTTTTTTCTCTAATCTTGTCTTCACACTTTATTTCATTAAGTTAATCTTCAATCTCTGGTATCCTTTCTTTTGCTTGATAGATTGGGCTACTGATACTTGTGTATGCTTCACGAAGTTCTCGTGTTGTGTTTTTCAGCTCCATCAGGTCATTTATGTTCTTCTCTAAGCTGGCTATTCTGGTTAGCAATTCCTCTAACCTTTTTCAAGGCTCTTAGCGTCCTTGCATTGGATGAGAACATGCTTCCTTAGCTAGGAGGAGTTTGTTATTACCCATTTTCTGAAGCCTACTTCCGTCAGTTCATCAAACTCATTCTCTGTCCAGTTTTGTTTTCTTGTTGGCAAGGAGTTGTGATCCTTTGGAGGAGAAGGGGCATTCTGGTTTTTGGAATTTTCAGCCTTTTTTCTCTGGTTTTTCTGCATCTTCATGGATTTATCTACCTTTGGTCTTTGCTGTTGGTGACCCTCGGATGGTGTTTTTGCTTGGTCATCCTTTTTGTTGATGTCGATGCTATTGCTTTCTGTTTGTTAGTTTTCCTTCTAACGGTCATCAGGCCCCTCATCTTCAGGTCTTCTGGAGTTTGCTGGAGGTCCACTCCAGACCCTGTTTGCCTGGGTATCACCAGCGGAGGCTGCTGAACAGCAAAGATTGCTGCCTGCTCCTTCCTCTGGAAGCTTCATCTCAGAGGGGCACCTGCCAGATGCCAGCCAGAGCTCTCCTGTGTGAGGTGTCTGTCAACCCCTGCTGGGAGGTGTCTCCCCATCAGGAGGCACTGGGGTCAGGGACCCACTAGAGGAGGCAATCTGTCCCTTAGCAGAGCTCGAGCACTGTGCTGAGAGATCCACTGCTGTCTTCAGAGCCAGCAGGCAGGAATATTTAAGTCTGCTGAAGCTGCGCCCATAGCTGTCCCATCCCCCAGGTGCTCTGTCCAAGGGAGATGGGAGTTTTATCCATAAGCCCCTGACGGGTGCTGCTGTTTTTCTTTCCGAGATGCCTTGCCCACAGACGAGGAACCTAGAGAGGCAGTCTGGCTACAGTGGCTTTGTGGCACTGGGGTGGGCTCTGCCCAGGGGGAGCATGTTTTCTAAACACTTAAACATTCTCCATGCCTTTTTTATTGTCTTTATAAGTATCCACTCTATGTTTATGGTTTGTATAAGATATTCCAATTTAACAAACAGTTGTTGGACATTTTTTCTCCTTTTTCTCTTGTCATCTACAAGGTGACTTGGCATTGTACATCCTTGTATCAAAATCTTTGCACAACTTCAGAAGAATCTCCTTATGAGAACAGACCTGCTTCTGCAAAGGGATAAATATGTTTTCAAGGCTTTCTAATGACCTAACATGACAGTGCCAGCCCTGGGTATCATCATGGAAGACACCAGAGCTTCTAGTTTGATAGATGAAAAATGTTATGAATGCATTATTATTTTACTTAGCATTTCATGAATTACTCATGACTGCTTTCCCCACTTCTTTGTTGGTGAGTTTGATCTTTAAGATTCAAGTATTTCCTCCACTCAGGTAAATAGTCTGAATCCAGCTTCAAATAGAAAAGGTCAGAGAGTGAGCCTAAGAATCCTAAGTATAAAAGCACGAGGCAGAATTCATGGATGCCTAAACTTGGAAACACACGCTTCAGTTCTTCTTCATGGTGTCTCAAAATATCACAGATCAAGTTACAGTCTCTCGTGTCCTTTTCCAACCTGTCTATTTCCTCTGTAAACAAAGAGGAATTTCTCTTTTACTTCATTTCTTTGTTTCTGGAATCAATATGTAGTACTTGTGTGCATGTTTCAAAACATCACACAAATGGTTTTAACTGTGATGTCATTCTGAAACTTGCTTTTCACAGTTGGTATTGTTTTCCACTTCCATGTGGGTTGATCTGCATAAAGTCATTTAACTCCTCTATAGAGTGCCCTTCTGAGAACATATCCCAATCTTCTGTGTTGTGTTGTTGCTGACCGTTTAGCCTGTTTCTGGTGTTCTGCCTTTACAACATGCTGCAGGGGTGCATAGGTAGAAACATGTTGGTAGAGCCTGTCTCTAGAAGTAGAATTCCTGGGGCACCTTAATGTCACTATAATCGTCAAACTGCTCTTCAAATTGTTTAAATCAATCTGTACTCCTAGTAGGGCCAAGGAGAGTTAACATTCGTCTACTTTCTCTCCAATACCAAGTATTATTAGACTTTTTAATTTTAGCTACTGTGATGGTTGTGAAAAGGTATCTCCAGTGGAGGATTCAAGTTTTGTAGGGCCCATCTCAGTTCTTTTAACAGAAAGAATACAAAATTGTAAATACAAATTTAGTCATGACAGTGGATATTTATTTGGAATGAAAAAACAAATCACAATGAATTATAAACTTAAAAATGCTTTAAATGCATGAAATATACCACACAGTTGAGAAAAATAACATTTACAAGTTAAAGAATTGCATGACCCATCTTTGTAATAGTTTTTTGCTGCATATTCATTAATTGTCTATTAGTATGATAATTTTATAATTTTATTTTCTCTAGATCCTAAAAAGATATTTAGCTTTACTTGCTCTAGCATAGCTGGCTGATTAAGATGATTTTATTATCCTTACTTCTTTTAATTATTGAGGTATTATTCACATAACATGCAAGTCACCATTTTGAAGTGTACAGGTTAGTGTTTTTTTAGTATAGTCACAGTGTTATGTTAAATCATCATGACGTAATTCCGGAACATTTCCATCACCCCAAAAAGAAATCTCATAACTGTTAGCAGTCACCTCCAATTCCCCAATCCTCTAACCCTTGGCACCTCAAATCTACTATCTGTTTCTATGATTTTGCCTCTTCTGGACATTTCACATAACTGGAATCATACAATATGTGGCCTTTTGTATTTGGCTTCTTTTACTTAGCATAATGTTTACAAGGTTCATCCATGTTATAGCATGCAATAGCACTTCCTTTTTGTGGAAAATGACATTCCATATGTATATACCACATTTTGTTTAACCATTTATCAATTGATGAACATTTGGTTTCTTTCCACTTTTAGACTATTATGATTGCCGCTGTGAACATTTAGTGTACTGGATTTTGTGTGAACATATCTTTTCAATACTGTTAGGTATATATGTAAGGGTAGAATTACAGAGTCACACGGTAATTCAGTGTTTAACTACCAGACTGTTTTCCAAAGCAGCTGCAACATTTTACATTCCTATCAGCAACGTATGAGTTCCAGTTTCTTCATATTCTTGCCAACACTTATTTTCTGGTTTTTTTTTCCCCCTTTATTCTAGCCATCCTAGTGGGTATGAAATTGGTATGTCATTGTGGTTTTGATCTGTATTTTTCTAATGGCCAATGATATTGAACTTCCCTAAAGATCTTTTCATGCATTTATTGGCCATTTGTATATCTTCTTACGAGAAATTTTTGTTCAAATCCTTAGCCCTTTTCCTAGTTGAGTTATTTGACTTCTTGTCGTTGAATGCTAGGAGTCCTTTATATATGCTGGTTACTAGACCTTTATCAGACATATGATTTGTAAATGTCTTCCCTCATTCTATGGGTTGTCTTTTCATTTTGTGGATAGGGCTGATTGAAACATAAAAGTTTTAAATATCGATGAGGTTCAATTCATCTATTTTTTCTTTGGTCACACATGCTTTCAGTGTCCTTTCCAAAAAACTTTTCCTTAACTCAAAGTTGCACAGATTTATATCTATGCTTTTTTTTTCTAGGATTTTTAGTTATAGCCCTTACATTTAGGCCTTTGATTCATTTTGCATTAATTTTTGTATATGGTATAAGGTGGGGTCCAACTTCATTCCTTTGTATGTGGATATCTAGTTTTAGAACCATTTCTTGAGAAAATTATTCTTTCCTTATTGAATGGTCTTGGCACTCTTGTTGAAAGTTACTTGGCCATAGATCTGTTTCACTGATCTATTTGACTGTCTTATACCAGTATCACACTGTCTTGATTACTGTAGCATTGTAGTAAATTTGGAAATCAGAAAGTGTGATTCCTCTCACTTTGTTCTTTTTCAAGATTGTTTTGACTTGTCTGGGTTTCAGGAATTTCCATATGAATTGTAGGATTAGTTTGTTGATCCTTGCAAAAAAAAATTCTCGATGAGATTTTTGATAGGAATTGCTTTGATCTGTCCATTAACATTAGATATATTTTCATTTATTTCAGTCTTTAATTTACTTCAGCAATGTTTTATGGTTTTCAGTGTATATGTCTTGCACTTCTTTAGTTAGATTTTTTCTGAATATTTTATTCTTTTTACTGGTATTGTTGATGGAATTGTCTTTTTCATTTCATTTTAAAATTTTTCATTGTGTGTATACAAATACAACTGATTTTTATACATTGAACTTATATCGTGTCACCTTGCCAAATTTATTAGCTTTAATATGTATGTGTGTTTATTATTTAGGGTTTTCTCTATATAAAATTAGGTCATCTGTGAACAGAGATACTTTTACTTCTTCCTTTTCAGTATGGATGCATTTTATTTCATCTTCTTGCCTACAGCATTCTTTTTTGCCCTGGCTATAACCTCCAGTAAAATGTTGAATAGAAGTGGTGAGAGGTAGACATCCTTGTCTTCTTCCTGATCTTAGGAGCAAAGCTTTCAGTCTTTCCCTGTTAAGTATGATGTTAGCTATTGGTTTTTCATGGATGCCCTTTATCAGGTTAAGAAATTTTCTTTTCTGTTTCTAATTTGTTGAGAATTTTTATCATGAAAAGATGTTGGAATTTGTCAAATACTTTTTCTGCATCTATTGAGATGATCATGTGGGTTTATGCTAATATGCTTTATTATGTTGATAAATTTTTATATGTTGGACCAACCTCACATTTCTGGGATAAACTCTACTTGGTCATGGTGAATAACCCCTTTCATATGCTGTTAGATTCCATTTGCTAATGTTTTGTTGAGAATGTTTGCATCTGTAGTCACAACGGTTATTGATCTGTAGTTTTTACTTTTGATGTGTTTCACTTCCACAGAATGAATTACGAAGTATTCCCTTCTCTTCTACTCTTTGTAAGAGTTTGAGAAATAATGTTGTTAATTTTTCTTTAAACATTTTGTAGAATACCCCAATGAAACCATCTGGTCGAGGCTTTCCTCATTGAAAGATTTTTTTTTAGAAAAGTTGACTCATTTCTTTATTAGCTACAGGTCTGTTTCTTCTTGAGTCAATTTTGGTAGATCGTGTGTTTCTAAGAATTTGTCCATTTCATCTAGGGTATCTAATTTGATGGTATCCAGCTTTCATAGAATTTTCTTAGAATTATGATATTCTCTCTTTCATTCCTGATTTTAGTAATTGGAGTCTTCTATTTTTTCTTTGCTCAGCCTAGCTAAAGTTTGTCAATATTGTTGATCTTTTCAAAGAACCAACTTTGGTTTTGTTGATTTTCTATGTTGTTTTTCTGTTCTCTGTTTGGCTCCAATCTCTTTTTTGTATGTGTTTGATTTAGATTTAATTTGCTCTTTTTTAAGTTTCTTATGGTGGAAGGTTAGATTATTGATTTGAGAGTTTTTTATTTTATTAGTGAAGGCATTTACAGATATAAATTTCCCTCTGAGCACTGCTTTTATTCAAATGGATTAAACTCTGATATGAAAGATTAAGCTTTAGTATATTGTATTTTATTTTTATTTTATCTCAAAGTATTTTCTAAGTTCTCTTGTAAATTCTTCTTTGACCCATTGGCCAATGGAATGTGTTGTTAATTTGCATGTATTTGTGAATTTCCAGTTTTCCTTTTGTGATTGATTTCTTAATTTATTCTTTTGTGATCAGAGAACATGTTTTGCATTATTTGAATCTTTAAAGATTTACAGAGACTTGTTTTTTGGCCCAATATATGTTTCATCAGGAAAATGTTCCATGTATGCTTGAGAAGAATGTGTATTCTGCTGCTGTTGGGTTGAGTGTTCTATAGATGTCAAGTTGATTGGTTTATAGTGTTGTTCAAGTCTTCTGTTTCCTTGCTGTTATTCTATTTGTTCTATTCATTATTGAAATTGAGGTATTTAATTCTCCAACTATTATTGTTGAATTCCCTATTTTGTATTTCAATTCTGTCAATTTTTTGCTTCAGGTATTTTTAGGACTCTGTTGGTAGGTGTGGTATATTTATAATTGCAGTATTTTCTTAATGACTTGACCTTTTTATTAGTGTATATTGTGCTGCTTTGTTTTTAGTAGCAATTTTTATCTTAAAGTGTATTTCATCTGATATTAGTGTATACACTCCAGCTCTATTTTGGTTTCTGTTCACATGAAATATCCTTTTCTTTCCTTTTACTTTCAACCTGTTTTTGTCTTTTAATCTAAAGTGAGTCTCTTGTAGACAGCATACAGTTCCACAAGTTTCTAATTTATTCTGCCAATCTCTGCCTTTCTCTTAGAGAGTTTAGTTCATTTACACAATATGTAATTACCAATTAGGAAGAATTTACTTACACTTCACTATCAGAAAGTAGTGTAGAGTTTTTGTATGTTATCAAAGTTAAGTTTTTGACTGGGCATGGTGGCTCACACTTGTAATCTCAGCACTTTGAGAGGACAAAGCAAGAGGATTGCTTGAGCCTAGGTGTTTGACATCAGCCTGGGCAACATAGTGAGACCTCATTTCTAAAAAAAAAAAAAAAATTAGCCTAGTGTGTGCACCTGTAGTCCTAGGTACCCAGGAGGCTTGGGTGAGAGGATCATCTCTCAAGGAGTTAGAAGCTGCAGTGAGTTATGATCACGCCACTGCACTCCAGCCTGGGCAACAGAGCAAGCCTCTGTCTCAAAACAAACAAACAAGTTTTTATCAGCTTAAACTGTTATAACTATAATATGCTTTATGTAAGCCTCATGGTAATGGCAAAGCAAAAACATATAGTAGATACAGAAAAGATGAAGAGAAAGGAATCAAAGCATACTGCTACAGAAAATTGTCAAGTCACAAAGGAAGACAGCAAGAGAGGAAGAAAGGATCAAGGCATCCTCAAAACACCCAGAAACAAATTAACAAAATGACAATTGAAAGTTCTTATCAATAATTACCTTGAATGTAAATGCATTAAATTATCCAGTCAAAAGACAGATTGGCTGAATAGATTTAAAAACAAGACTCAACTATATGCTGCCGTAAGAAAATCACTTCAACTTTAAAGACATACATAAACCGAATGTGAAGGAATTAAGATACTTCTTGCAAATGGAAACCAAAAGAGAGCAGGGGTAGCTATATTTATATCAGACAAAATATAGTTTGACTACAAAACTTTAAAAGAGATCAAAAAGGTCATTATGTAATGAAAAAGGGATCAATTCATTAAGAGGACACAATAATCATATATGTACCCAACATCAGACCACGTAAATAATATACAGCAAATATTAATAGATCTGAAAGGAGAAATAGACAGCAATACAGTAATAATGAGGGACCTCATTACCTAACTTTCAACTACAGACAGGATATCCAGAGAGAAAATCAGTAAGGAAACATTAGATTTTACACTTTATACCAAGTAGACCTAACAGATATATACAGAAATACAGAACATTCTATTCAACAGCAGCAGAGTACAGATTCTTCTAAAGTATACATGGAACATTCTTCAGGATAGGTTATACGTTGGGCCACAAAACAAGTCTTAATGTATTTAAGCAGATTGAAATTATATTTTAATTATATATCAAATTATGTAATATTTCTTTCTGATCATAGTATCATGAAACTAGAAATAACTAATGGAAGGGAATTGGGAAAATTACAAATATGTGGAAATCAAACAACATACTCCCAACCAATGGAGCAGAAGAAATCAGTAGGAAAATTAAAAAATATCTTGAGACAAATGAAAATGAAAACACAGTGTACCAAAACTTTGGGTATATCAGTCCATTCTCACACTGTTATAAAGATACTGAGACTGGATAATTTATAAAGAAAAGAGGTTTAATTGACTCACAGTTCCACATGGCTGGGGAGGCCTCAAGAAACTTAACGATCATAGCAGAAGGTGAAGGGGAAACAAGGCACATCTTCATAAGGCAGCAGGAGAGAGTGAGGAAGTGCCACACTTAAAAGCCATCAGCTGTCATGAGAACTCAGTCACTAACACGAGAAAAGCATGGGGCAAACCACCTCTGTGATCCAGTCACTTCCCACCAGTTCCCTCCCTCAACACATGGGGATTACAATTTGAGATAAGATTTGCATGGGGACACAGAGCCAAATCTTATCATAGGTGATGCAGCAAAAGTAGTTTTAAGAGGAAAGTTTATAGTGAAAAATGCCTACATGAAGAAAAATGAAAGATCTCAAATAAACAACCTATCATTACATATTGAGAAACTAGAAAAAGAAGAACAAACTAAAGTTAGCAGAAGGAAGGATATAGTAAAGATCAGAGAACAAATACATGAAATAGAACTTAGAAAAATAATAGAAAAGATCAGCAAAACTAAGAGTTGGTTTTTTGAAAAGATAAATGAAATTGACATACTGTTAATTAGATTAAGAAAAAAGAAGACTAAAATAAAATCAGAAATGAAAGGGAAGACATTACAATTGATACCACAGGATTACAAAGGATCCTAAGAGAGTACTACAAACACTTATATGCCAATAAATTAGCCCAGAAGTAATGGATAAATTCCTAGAAACACACAACCTACAAAGACTTAATCATGAAGAAAAAGAAGTCTTGGATTTAATCGTGAAGAAAAAGAAGTCTTAACAGGCTAATAATGAGTAAGAAGTTTGAATCAGTAACAAAAATCTTTCTATCAAAGAAAAGTCCAGGATCCGATGGCTTCACTGATGAATTCTACCAAGCATTTAAAGAAGAATTAATACCAGTGCTTCTCAAACGCTTCCAAAAAAAATTGAAGAGAAAATGTCTTAGTCTATTTTGTGTTGCTGTAACAAAATACCACAGACTTGGTAACTTACATAGAAAATAAATTAATTTCTTACAGTTTTGGAGACGGGGAAGTCCAAGATCTAGGGCCCACATCTGGTGAGGATCCTCTTGCTATGTCATTGCATAGCAGAAGGCAGAAGAGAAAAAGAGTGCGAGAGAGCAAGAGATGGAACTCACAGCTTCAAGCCCTTTTATAATCAGCATTAATGCATTGATAAGGATGGAACCCTCATGACCTAAGCACCTCCCATTAGGCCCTACTTCCTAATACTGTTGCATTGGGGATTAAGTTTCTAACACATTAACTTTGGAGGGCATATTCAAACCATAGCAAGAAGGAACATCTTCCAACTTGTTTTATGAGGCTAGCATTACCCTGATAGCAAAGCCAGGCAAAAATTCTACAAGGAAAGAAAATTACAAGCCAATATCCCTGATGAATATATGTGTAGAAATCTTTAGCACAATACTAGAAAACTGAATTCAATAGCATATTAAACAAATAAGTGGGATTTATCCCTGGGATACAAAGATAGTTCAATATAATCAATAAGTGTGGTACAACACATTAACAGAAAGAATGAAGGACAAAAATTATATGATTATCTCAAATATTTAAACCAACATTTGACAAAATTCAACAATCTTTTATGACAAAAACTCTAAACAAATTTAGGTATAGAAATAATATGCCTCAACACAATAAAGGTCATATTTCACAAGCTACCATCATAGTCAACCATAAATGGTTGAGAGCTTTTTCTCTAAAATCAGGAAGAAGACAAGGATGCCCACTCTCACCACTTTTATTTAAAGTAGTAGTGGAAATCCTAGTCAAAGCAATTAGGCAGTAAAAATAATTTTATTATTTTATTTTATTTTATTTATTTATTTTATTAGTCATCCAAATTGGGAAGGAGGAAATTGTTTCTGATTGCAGGAGATGTGATCTTGTAATAGAAATTCCTAAAGACACCACCCCAAAACTAATTAGAACTATAAATGAATTTAGTAAAGTTGCAGGATATAAAAAGCAGTTGTGTTTCTGTACACTAATAACACATTAGTGTACAGTATTAGAAAAAGAAATTAAGAAATCAGTCTGATTTACAATAGCATCAAAAATAATAACATAAATAAGCTTAAATAAGGAGATGCAAGATCTATACACCAAAAACTATGAAACATTGATAAAAGAAATGGAATGATACACAAATGGGAAGATATCCCATGTTCATGGATCAGAATAATCAATATTATAAAAATATTCATAATACCCAAAGTGATCTACAGATTCAATGCAGTCTATCAAAATTTCATTGGCATTTTTCACAGAAATAGAAAAAACAATCCTAAAATTCATAGGGAACCACAAAAGACCCCGAATAGCCCAAGCAATTTTTAACAGGAAGAACAAAACTGAAGTCATCACATCTCCTGATTTTAAATTATATTACAAAGCTATAGTAGCCAAAAAAACATGCTACTGGCATAAAAACAGACACATAGACCAATGGAACAGAATAGAAAGCCCATAAATAAACCCATGCATATATGGTCAACTAATCTTTGACAAAGGTGCCATGAATACACAATGGGAAAAGGATCATTGTTTTCAATTAATGGTGTTAGGAAAACTGGATATCCTCATGCAAAAAAAGAAAAAATATGAAAGGAAACAAAATTGGAGAGTTATCTGACACTGTACACAAAAATCAAGTTAAAATTGTTTAAAGATTTAAAGGAAAGGCCTGAAGCCACAAAACTCCTAGAAGAAAACATAGAAAGCTCAATAAGATGGATCTTAGCAGTGATGTTTTGAATATTACACCAAAAACAGAAGCAACAAAAGTAAAAACAAATAATTGGACTACACCATACTAAAATATTTCTTTAGAGCAAAGGAAACAATGAAATGTAAAGGCAACTCACAGAAGACATACAAATGGCAACAAGTATGTGAAAAAGTGCTCAACATCATCAATCATCAGGGAAATACAAATCAAAACTACAATGAGATGTGATCTCCCACCTGTTAGAATGGCTATTCTCAAAGTACCAACAGATAACAAGAGTTGGTGAGGTTGTGGAGAAAAGGGAACCCTTATATATTGATGCTGGGAATGTAAATTGGTACTGCCATTGTGGTAAACAGTATAGAGGTTCCTCAAAAAATTATAGAACAACCATATGATCCAACAATTCTACTTCTGGGTATATATCCAAAGTAATTGAAATCAGTGTTTTAAAGATAAATCTACACCCCCATGTACACTGCAGCATTAGTCACAATAGCCAAGATAATGGGAACAACCTAATGTCCATCAGTGGATAAACTGATAAAATGTGACACACATACAAACACACATCCAGACACACACACACATGCACACAAACACACAGGCAGAGGAGTATTAGCCAGCCTTCAAAGAAAGGAAATCCTGCCTTTTTGAACAACATGGATAAGCCTGGAGGACATTACACTAAGTGAAATAAGCAAGCCAGGGAATGATAAATACCACATGGTCTCACTTATATGTGGAATCTAAAAACGTGGCTCATAGAAACAGAGAGGAGAATGATGGTTGCAGGGGCTGGGCCTGTGGGAAATGGGTAGGTGTTGGTCAAAGCGAACAAACTTTCAGTTACACGATGAGTTAGTTTTGGAGACCTAATGTGGCTATAACTAAAATAATAATGTTTTGTATACTTGAAATTTGCTAAGAGAGTAGATTTTAAATATTCTTACCACAAGGATAAAAATGGTAACTATGTGAGGTGATGGATATGTTAATTGGCCTGATTGTGGTAATCATTTTACAGTGAATATGTGTATCAACTTATGTTGTTCACCTAAAATATATACAATTTTTATTTGTCACTTATACCACAATAAAGCTGGAAGAGTTGAATACATTTTAACGTATTTTGGCACAATTTTATGTGTATAAAGTTCTTGTGTCTTAGTTTTTTTCTAGGTACCTGGTGGAGTTTATTGCTAATTCTAAAAATGGTTTTTAATTGATTGTTATTGAAATATTGGAAAGCGTTTTTAAAGTTTTTTTTTTTCCTATAGTCTTTCCAAACTCGTATTAGGTCTGATACTTTGTATATGTTTTTGAATTTTATATGTAATCATTCTGTCAGTAAAGAATGATAATATTGTCTCTTTTCGATCCTTGTTACTTATTTTCTTAATTGTGCTGGCTGGGAATTCCCATTAAATATTGAATAGTAATAGTGAAGGAGAGCATTTTTGCTGTGTCTTCATTGGGAATGCTTTCTTTAAATTTTTTGAGATGGAGTCTCACTCTATTGGCCAGGCTGGAGTACAGTGGTGTGATCTTGGCTCTCTGCAACCTCTGCCTCCTGGGTTCAAGCAACTCTCCTGCCTCAGCCTCCCGAGTACCTGGGATTACGGGTGTGAGCCACCACCCTGGCTAATTTTTTGTATTTTTAGTAGAGATGAGGTTTCACCATATTGGCCAGGCTGGTCTTGGAACTCCTGACCTCAGGTGATTCGCCCACCTCAGCCTCCGAAAGTGCTGGGATTACAGGCCTGAGCCACCATGCCTAGCCAGGAATGCTTTTATTATCTCTATCTGTCTATCTATCTATATTCTGTTTATTTCTATCTGAACTATTTATTTATTTTTAGAGACAGGATCTTACTCTGCACACTGGCTGGAGTGCAGTGGTGTTATCATAGCTCACTGCAGCCTTGAATTACTGGGCTCAAGTGATCCTTCTGCCTGAGAATGCTTTTAAATGCTCAGCATTAAGCGTGCTGTTTGCCTCAGGATTTACATAGCTTCTCTTTATGAGGTAAAAAGAGTTGTCGGCCGGGCGCGGTGGCTCACGCCTGTAATCCCAGCACTTTGGGAGGCCGAGGCGGGCGGATCACGAGGTCAGGAGATCGAGACCATCCCGGCTAAAACGGTGAAACCCCGTCTCTACTAAAAATACAAAAAATTAGCCGGGCGTAGTGGCGGGCGCCTGTAGTCCCAGCTACTTGGGAGGCTGAGGCAGGAGAATGGCGTGAACCCGGGAGGCGGAGCTTGCAGTGAGCCGAGATCCCGCCACTGCACTCCAGCCTGGGCGACAGAGCGAGACTCCGTCTCAAAAAAAAAAAAAAAAAAAAAAAAAAGGGTTGTCAGGGAAGCATTGGAAATACTATTATTGAATTACTAATAAGTTCACTAATTAGGATTTTAACTGAAGTCACTGTTATTTAAAATAATTTATTTCAACAAAAACTTTTTTTTTTTGGAGACGGAGTCTCACTCTGTCGCCCCAGCTGGAGTGCAGTGGCGTGATCTCAGCTCACTGCAACCTCCGCTTCCAGGGTTCAAGCGATTCTCCTGCCTCAACCTCCTGAATAGCTGGGATTACAGGTGCCCGCCACCACGCCTGGCTAATTTTTGTATTTTTAGTAGAGACGGGGTTTCACCATGTTGGCCAGGCTGGTCTCGAACTCCTGACCTCAGGTGATCTACCTGCTTTGGCCTCCCAAAGTGCTGGGATTACAGGCATGAGCCACCGTGCCCAGCCTCAATAAAAATTTTAACAATTATTTTAACAATAGGCAGTGTGTTTGGCAGCATGTTAAAATAGTAATTGCCTTTTATTTCCTATCGGGAAAAGTTATACCTCTATATTAATATGTTTAACACTTGAAGGTCATAACCGATAGCTCATAGAATTTAGCAACCTTCCTATTGAGTCCTCATGGCTCTTGAGGTATCTGCCTGGCTTCTTAGAGTTTTATAGAACACAATTTGTCAATCTGATGTAGAATGTACTTCTCCTTTTACAATGGTGATAATTATGACTTGCTCTCTAACACATGGAAATCACATGATATCGTAATCATAATTAGAACCAAAGAATGTTAGACCAAGGTGTTTCCCACTATGCATATATGAACTTATTAATCAATCTAAATAATGCCAGGTAATAATCAGTGCATTCCTAACATGAGCTGATGTTTTCCTCATGCTACTGCTAATTCTTACAATGACTTTGCAGTCTGAGTATTACTGCGCCAGTTTTATACAGGTGATTAAACTGTGGGGTTGAGAAGTGAAGTAAGTTACATGCAATAAATGGGGATGTCTATGGTACAGCCTACTGGAGATTCTTTTTCTCCCTGAGACTTTTAGCTGCCTTTGTCTGCCCTGAAACCCACAAGCTAGAAAAAAAAAAAAATCAAACCAACAGTAGAAATAAAGGCAGTGAATCGTATGGCTTTGACAGATTGGGCCTTGCTGTGTGATTGCAAAAAAGTTAAGTTTGACATCCTGAGTGTTTGAGCTTTTCATGGAGTGCAGGAAAAGGTCTAGCTGATGGAAATAGTTTTTTCCCCTCAGTTGAGTAACGAGATTGATATGTATAGTGTCAATCAGAAGGGTGTGGTTGTGAATTCTCTAACTTAACTTTAATGTCTACTGTGAGGCAGGAGATGACCATGATTGGAAACTTGTTTTCTAGTTGTTCTAAGTCGAAAAGGTAAATAATTTCCCCTATGCTGGCTATCTCCATGAAATAAATCTTCATGTTTTTTCCTTTACCTTCTCCCAACAACTTTGGGCTGTGTGAGAGAAGTTGAAGGAAAATACAGAGATTTCTTTCTTGAATGCAGTCAGATAGCTACTGTGTGAAACTTCCTGAGATTTACTTTGCCCTTCCATTTATCCAAGGACTCTTTAGATTTAAAGCCTTCTACAATATGAAACCTAGGGACCCTAGGGCTCACCAGATTGGAACTTAAAATTGTAGGGAGCAAAAGAATTGATGGTTTGTTCCAGAAAGGGCAGGTACTCACACTCAACAAGTCTAGATGAGAGGTGACAATGTGCTAGCAGTGCTCGCTCGCTCACTCTCTGCACCTCCTGGGCCTCGATGTCTGCTTTGGCCACGCTTGAGGAGCCCTTCAGCCCCCTGCTGCACTGTAGGAGCCCCACTCTGGGCTGGCCGAGGCAGGAGCCAGCTCCCTCTGCTTACGGGGAGGTGTGGAGGGAGGGGTGCGGGCAGGAACCAGGGCTGTGCACAGGGCTCGTGGGCTAGCCCAAGATCTGGGTGGGTGCAGGCAGCGGCCCCACACTCGGAGTGGCCAACTGGTGCCACTGGCCCTGGGCAGTGAGGGGCTTAGTACCTGGGCCACCAGCTGTGGAGGGGGCGCTGGGTCTCCTAGCACTGCTGGCCCGCCTGTGCCACACTCGAATTCTCGCGGGGCCTCAGCCGCCTCCCCACGGGTCAGGGCTGGGGATCTGCAGCCCGCCATGCTGCCCCCTGCAGTGGGCTCCCGTGCTGCCCGAGCCTCCTGCCTGAGCCTCCCAGAGGGGCATCACCCCCTGCTCCATAGGCGTCCAGTCCCATAGACCCCCAAGGGCTGAGGAGAGCAGGCGCCTGGAGTGGGACTGGCAGGCAGCTCCCCTTCGGCCCTGGCACGGGATCCACTAGCGGAAGCCAGCTGGGCTCCTGAGTCAGGTGGGGACTTGGAGAACTTTTATGTCTAGCTGGAGGATTGTATATGCACCAGTCAGCACTCTGTGTCTAGCTCAAGGTTTGTAAATGCACCAATCAGTGCTCTGTGTCTAGCTAATCTAGTGGGGACTTGGAGAACTTTTACACCTAGCTAGAGGATTGTAAATACACCAATCAGCACTCTGTGTCTAGGTCAGCGATTGTAAACGCACCAATCAGCACCCTGTCAAAACAGACCAATTAGCTCTCTGTAAAACGGACCAATCAGCTCTCTGTAAAATGGACCAGTCAGCTCTCTGTAAAATGGGCCAATCAGCAGAATGTGGGTGGGGTCAGACAAGGGAATAAAAGCAGGCTGCCGGAGCCAGCAGCCGCAAACTGTTTGGGTTCTCTTCCATGTTGTGGAGGTTTTGTTCTTTCGCTCTTTGCGGTAAATCTTGCCACTGCTCACTCTTAGGCTCTGTATTACCTTCAAGAGCTGTAATACTCACAGCGAAGTTCTGCAGCTTTGCTTCTGAGGCCAGAGAGACCATAAACCCATTGGGAGAGAAGGAAGAAACTCCCAACATGTCCGAACACCACAAGGAACTAACGACTCCAGATGCACCGGCCTTTAAGAAGTGTAAAATTCACCGGGGGTCCACGGCTTCATTCTTGAAGTCAGTGAGACCGAGAACCCACCAATTCCGCACATACAGAAATGTTTACTGGAGAGCGAGAATGGACCACCTTTGACTATATAATTCATTTTCCATTGTTAAACTGCTTTGAACCCAATAGAATTATTGAATTTTATTGCTGAGCTATTTAGAGACAGTTTCATTTCAGAAGAATTAAAACATTTTGATGCTTGAACATTTTTGTGGTGATCTTTGTAGCAAAACTTCAGGATGCATCAAAAGCATCAGCCATCTCGAGACCTGTGTCAGCACAGCCTAGTTGGAAGAACTGCGCCGTCATGGCCTGTGGTTGTGTAGCTGAGCGATGGTACCCAGACGTGCAAATGTGCCTAGCTTTGTGGACGGCATCAGGCAGGGGCGTGTTCACCTAGAGTGCTGTTAAGTTCTCCTTCATAGAGCTGCAGGCTCTGATGGACGGGTACTGTTGGGGTTGTGCATGGGATATCCAGAGAGACATGACATTTTGTGCGTAAAATACATATGTTCTTATTTATTGGTTTAGAATTGATGCCAGTAATTGGCATTGGGATGCACCTATGTATAGAATGAATTCAATTAAAATAGTTTTTGGACTGCTCTTACATTCTTGTAAAATACGCACATACAGAATCAAAGTTCAGGTGGCCTTTACACATGGAATTTTATCCTGTTGCTGACTGTTGATAAAGATCACCCCACCATGTTTTCTGTCTGCACCCAAGGGCAACGTCTTACTTTGGCAGGTAACTCATGTCCTTGGCAGTTCATGGTTCCATATGGTTTAGTCTATATTACATTACCTTTTGATATTGCTACAAGCACCCAGTTAGCATATTATCTTAAATCAGTACCCTCGCTCCATATTTCTCTCGGCCAGGCAGGTAAGGAAGGAAGGAAGAGATCTCAGGGTAATCCATGCTGCTTCTGCTACTGCCTGTGATTCAGAACTTTGATCAGTTTGTCAGAAGCCAGTTTTTCCCATGTTTTATTTTTCTTTACTGAGGTGAAATTAACTTAACAGTAATAATTTTTGTGTGAATAATTCTTTGACGTTTAGTACATTCACACCGTTGTGTAACCACTCCCTCTATAAAAGTCCAAAATTATTTTCATTGTCTCCAGAGGAAATCCCATACTCATTAAATTGTTTCTCCCTATTTCCCCTCTCCTAGCCCCTGGAAGCCATCAGTCTGAATTATGTCCCTGTGGATTGTTACCTGTTTCTGATATTTTATACAATTGGAGCCATTCAATATGTGGGTGTAAATTTCTCCTTCATTTTTCAAGGGTATTTTTGTAGGATGTATCATACAATGCTTGGTTGGAAGCATCACCCCCATCCTGCCCATCACTTTAAAATGTCATTTCATTGCCTTCTGGTCCCCTGGTCTCTGATGAGAAGTCAGCTGTTAATCTGATTGAGGATCCCTTGTATGTGAATCAGTGGCTCCTCTCTCGCTGATTTCAAGATTTTTCTCTTTGCCCTTGGCTTTTTGACTGTTTGATTATAATGTGTCTCAGTGTGGATTTCTTTGTATTCATCTCACTTGAAACTCACTGAACTTCTTGTGTGTGTAGATTTGTATCTTTTATCAGGTATGGTAAGTTTTGGCAATTATTTCTCCAAATATTCTTTGTGTTCCTTTCACTCGCACCTCTCCTTCTGGGATTCCTGTTATGTACTTGGTATTGGTATGCTTGATGGCATTTCATACCTGTTAATCTTTTATCATTTTTGTTCTTCCTCTCAGACTGGATAATTTTCATTGCCCTGTCTTTATGTTCGCGGGTTCTTTCTTCTGCCTAGTCAAGTCTGTTACTGAGATGCTCTAGTGATTTTTAAAAAAATTCAGTTGGTGTACTTTTTGACCTTAGAATTTGACTCCCTTTTATAATTTCTATATCTTTATTTCAATTCACTTATTTGTTCATACATTCTTATCCTGATTTCCTTTAGCTCCTTTTCCTTTCTTTCCTTTAAGTCATTTAGCATATTTAGGGCAGTTGATTTAAAGTCTTTAGTAAGTCCAGTGTGTGTGTTTCTTCAGGGACAATGTTTGTTAATTTCTTATGTGAATGAGCCATATTTTCTTGTTTCTTTACATGGTTCATAAGTTATTGTTGAAAACTGAACATGCCAGGCATGGTGGCTCACACTTGTAATTGTAGCAGTTTAGGAGGTTAAGGTGGGCAGATCACTTGAGGTCAGGAGTTTGAGACCAGCCTGGCCAACATGGCAAAATCCCGTCTCTACTAAAAATAGAAAAATTAGCCAGGTGTGGTGGTGCATGCCTGTAATCCCAGCTGCTCTGGAGGCTGAGGCAGGATAATTAGTTGAATCCAGGAGGTGGAGGTTGCAGTGAGCTGAGATCGAGCCACTGCACTCCACCCTGGGTGACAGAGTGAGACCCTGTCTCAAAACAAACGAACAAACGCCTGGACATTTTGCATATTAAACAGAGGTAACTCTGGAGATCAGATTCTTCCCCCACCTCAGGGTTTGTTGTTGCTTGCTATAGACTGTAGAGTTTTGCAAGATCTGTAATTCCTTACCGTGTGTGGTCTCTGAAGTCTCTGTTTAGTTGTTTGTTCAGCTAGTGCTGTCAAAGAGATTTCCTTGAGCACCAGATGCCAAAACATGATAGAGAGAGCGAGGGGGTTGGAGAGAGAGGCAGAGAAAAACAGAGAGAGAAGAGACTGACCGCTTATCTGTATGGAGTGGCTCTGTGGTGGAGTCCTCCTTTAACACTTAGCCTGGCTTTTTACAGCTATGCCTTGACCTTCATTTCTTGTTTATACTGAACCTGGAGCTCATCCAGAGGTGAAAGACTGGGGTCTTCTCAGGCTTCTTCTGAGCATGCGTTCTGCTCTGGGCATTCACATGGCTGTCTACATTCCCACCCATATGCATAGGTGCTTTGGAATGCTTGAATTTCTTTTTCCCTTTTATTTTTAGTTGTCAAATAATAACTGTACATATTTATGGGATACAGAGTGATATTTCAATATGTGTATACAATGTGTAATGATCGAATCAGGATAATTAGCATATCCATCACCTCATTTCTTTGTGTTGTGAACATTGAAAATCCTCTATTCTAGCTTTTTGAGAATATATAATAAATTGTAGTTAACCATATTCACCCTATAGTGCTATAGAACACCAGAATTCATGCTTCCTATCTAGCTGCAACTTTGTATCCATTAACCAACCTCTCATCATCCTCCCCTCACTGGTACCCTTCCCAGACTCTGCACCCACAATTCTAATTTTCTATATCCATGAGCTCATTTTTTTTCAGCCATCACATATGGTTGAGATCATGTGGTATTTGTCTTCCAGTGCCTGACTTACTTTGCTTAACATAATATCCTTCAGGCTGATCTGTGTTGCCGTAAATGACAGGATTTCATTCTTTTTGTTTGTTTGTTTGTTTTGAGGCAGAGTCTCGCTCTGCCGCCCAGGCTGGAGCGCAGATGTACAATCTTGGCTCACTGCAACCTCTGCCTCCCAGGTCCAAGCGATTCTCTTGCCTCTGCCTCCTGAGTAGCTGGATTACAGGCGCACGCCACCACGCCAGGCTAATTTTTATGTCTTTAGTGGAGATGGGGTTTCACCATGTTGGCCAGGCTGGTCTTCAACTCCTGACCTCAAGTGATCTGCCCACCTCGGCCTCCCAAAGTGCTGGGATTACAGGCGTGCGCCACTGTGCCCGGACAGGATTTCATTCTTTTTTTTCTTTTTTTATGGCCAGATAGTATTCCATTTTCATTCTATCTTATGGCCAAATAGTATATCATACGTACACCGCATGGTATTTATCATTCTCTGGCTTGCTTATTTCACTTGGTGTGATGTCTTTCAGGCTTATCCATGTTATTAAAAAAGGCAGGATTTCCTTCTTTTTAAAGTGTGAATAGTACTCTATTGTGTGTTTGTGTGTGTGTGTCTCCCATTTTCTTTAACAATGTATCAATTTATCATTTTATCAATTTCTTTATCCATTGATGGACACTGAGGTTGATTTCCTATCTTAGATATTGTGAATAGTGCTGTAATGAACATGGGAGTATGGATATCTCTTCAACATACTGATTTCCTTTCCTTTGGATAAACAGCCAGCAGTGGGATTGCTGGATCATATGGTAGTTCTGTTTTTACTTTTTTGAGAAATCTCCATACGATTTTCCTTAGCAGCTATACTAATTTACATTCTCACCAACAGTGTATAAGAGTTCCCTTTCCATCCTCACCAGCATTTATTACGTTCTGTCTTTTTGATAATAGCCATTGCAACTGGGTTGGGATGGTATATATCATTGTGGTTTTGATTTGCATTTCCCTGATGATTGGTGATGGATGTCGAGCATTCTTTCATATATCTCCTGGCCATTTGTATGTCTTCTTTTGAAAAATGTCTATTCAGATCCTTTGCCCACTTTTTAATGGGATTATTTGTTCTTTGCTGTTGAGATGTTTGAGTTCCTTGTGTTGAATGCCTGAATTTCTTAAACCCTGTCCCCAGCCTTTCCTTTCATGGTTTTGGCACTCTACCGTGTGCCTCAATGGTAATCTTCTGTCCCAGGGACTGCAGGTTGCTCATTTGCCTTCTAGTGTTTTCCAGGAGTGCCTGCCACTTTTCTGCCCTGAGTGCATTCTGAGTTACACAGAACAGAGAGGAGCCCCTTGAATCAGTCCTTCAGCAGCCTCCAGACAGGTTAGAGCAAACACAATTCTTTGTGAATCAAGTCTGCTCTGCACCCTCGGGAACCAGGGGCCAGGTCCTGCACTGGGAATGCTGCTGCTGTCTTCAAGACAGGGGCCAGGTCCTGCACTGTGGAGCTGGAGAGGAGGGTGGATTTGGGTAGATGAAAACACCACAGGGCCTTCCTCCTGCTTTTATTTTACCTTTCTCTCCATTCCATTTTTGCTTGGTTGCTGCGAACCATTTACTGTTTCCATTATTCTGACAAAGTTGATTCTGACAGTTTTTGCTTGAATTTTCAATGGTTTTGTGGAGGATGGACCCTTGGAGCTGCCTACTCTGCCTTTTTGCTGATGTCCCAGGCCAGAAGCCAGAAATGCTTTAATGTTGCCAACAAAGTATGCTTTTGGCTTGCAGGGTGAGTCTTGGGGTTAAAGCTTTCATGCTTCAAACAGGCTAGGTGCCCAATAAAACCCTGCAAGCAATAGACAAATAAAAATTCTAATTCATAACCAGTTAACGTTTTCCTGCTGTAGCCCTTAGTTCATATTCTGTATTTATATATGATAATACGTGCTTTTAAAAGGCTTTTTTCCATATCATAGTCAATAGATACTTTGTGACTTAAGTTCTTATTTCATTCAGTAAAGAATTTATTCCACAAGTGAGTTCTATGGGTTAAGGTGTGGCAGGCCCTTAGGAAGCAAGGTGTTTATAAATGAATAGAATAGCATCTTAGCTGAGTGTTTCTGTTATCATGATTACTTTAAAAAATCTGTTTTTTGCATATTATAATCCCTTTTTTCTCAGTAAAAGACAAGCAAATATGAAGTATGTGTGTGAGAGTCTGTGCGTGTGTGTGTGTACACATGCATGTACCTATGGCATGTGAATGATTATTTTCTGTTGGTAGTGTTTGTGTTTGTTACAATGCATGTATACACTGTTGACAGTTTGGGATCTGACACTTAAAAGGAAGAGAAGTTTAATCTTCATGCAGTACTGCTTCTGGGCCATGGTCCTGGCCCTCCAGAACTAGCTGTGTTGTGGGTGGTGTGACAGATTTATTCCTTCCGCTAGGGCAGTGGAGTGCCCTCTGAACAATTGAAGATCTTGAAAGGGACCCCTAAATCCACTTGTAGTCCATGCTGAGGCTCATGGATGGGCATTATGAATGGAAGGGCCATAGGGTAGCTTTCTGTTTTAATTGAACATTCTTGTTATTAGATGTGAAGTTCAGTTGTTCTAGCTCTTGAAGGAGCTATTTGCTTTCAACCTATATTGTAAAAAATTAAAATATTTTTAAAAATCTTTAAAATTTTTGGTTCCTTCTGAGCTTTGACATCCTGGGAAAACCCTGGCTGCCCTCCTGGGTTGCACATGTCTACCTGTGCATGCAGCGTGTATCCTGCAGGAGCTCCAGGACTGCAGAGGAGGCTGTCAGCAGTGAGGTGTCATCATAGTGTGAAAGTTTTTGTATGAGGACTTGCAGATTTTATAACAGCTGAAACGTAGACTATAGCCAGATAGGCAGTTTCCAACAAACTAATAAAATCAATCATTTTGTAGTTATTTAAAAAATGTAATAATCAGAAATCTCAGCAAGTGATTTTGAGGATTTGAATAAACTGATTCTGAAATTTATGTGGAAAAGCAAAAGATTCAGAATAGTTGACACAATAGCGAAGGAGATCAACCAAATTAGAGGACTAACAATACTCGACTTCAACACTTACTTAATCAGGATAGTGTAGTCTTGATTAAATAATAGACAATTTATTTCTAACTAGTTAGACCACACAATATAGTTAGCTAATATCTGAAACATGGAACAAAAACAATTCAAGGGCAAAAGGATAGTGTGTTCAACAGATGGGGCTGGAACAGCTAGAGGCCAACACGCAAACTCTTCCCAAAAATGCACTTTAAAATAGATCATAGACCTAAGTGTAAAACATAAAATTATACAGCTCTTCATAAATTACACAGAAGGAAATCTTAATGACCCTAGGTTTGGTGATGGATTTTTTAGATACAACACCAGAGGGACAATACATGAAAGAAAAAATTGGTAAGCTGGACTTCCTTAAAATTAGAAACTTCTGTCTTGCTAAAGACAGTGTCAAGAGAATGAAAAGACAAACCTAGGAGAAAATATTTGCAGAAGTTATATGTGATCAAGGACTTTTATTCAAAATATACAAATAACTCTTAAACCTTGATAATAAGAAAACAAATAACCTGATTAAAAAATGGGCAAACAACCTGAACAGACATCTCACTGAAGATATACAGTTGTCAAATAAGCATATGAAGATGTTCAACATCATATATCATTAGGAAAATGCAAATTAAAACAACAGTGAGATACCACTGCACACCTGTTAGAATGGCTAAAAGCCAAAACACTGATAGCATCAAATGCTGATGTGGAGGTGGAGCAACAGGGAGTCTCATTCATTGTTGGTGGGAACACTAAACACTACAGCCACTTTGGAAGGCAGTTGAGCAGCTTCTTACAAAATGAAACATACTCTTACCCTATGAGCCTACAGTCATACTCCTTGGTATTTACCTAAATGAATTAAAAACTTATGGCCCTACAAAAGCCTGCACTTGGATATTTATAGCATCATTATTCATAATTGCCAAAACTTGGAAGCAGTGGAAATGTCCTTCTGTAGGTAAATTGATAAATAAACTGTGAGATATCCAAACAGTGGAATACTTCTAAGCACTAAAAAGAAATGAGCTATCAAGCTATGAAAAGATCTGGAACTTTAAATTAATATTACTAAGGGAAAGAAGCCAGTCTGAAGAGGCTACACACTGCTGTGATTCCCAAGATATGACATTCCAGATAAAGCAAGACTGTGGAGACAGTAAAAAGAACAGTGGTTGCCAGAGGTTTGGGGGAGGGAGAGATGAATAGGTGGGGCACAGAGAGCAGTGAAACTGTCTCTTAAGATACTACAATGGTGGATACACGTTGTTATACATTTGTCCAAACCCACAGAATGTACAACACCAAGAGTGAACCCTAATGTATACCATGGACTTGGGTGATAATGATGTGTCAGTGTGTAGGTTCATTGATTGTAAGAAATGTACTGGCCAGGTATGGTGGCTCACGCCTGTAATCTCAGCACTTTGGGAGGCTGAAGCAGGCAGATCACCTGAGGTCAGGAGTTCGAGACCAGCCTGGCCAACATGGTGAAATCCCATCTCTACTAAAAATACAAAAAAAAAAAAAAAAATTAGCTGCCTGTGGTTGCAGGCACCTGTAATCCCAGCTACTTGGGAGGCTGAGGCAGGAGAATTGCTTGAACCTGGAATGTGTAGATTGCAGTGAGCTGAGACTGTTCCACTGTACTCCAGCCTGGGCAACAAGAGCAAAACTCCATCTCAGAAAAAAAGAAAGAAAGAAAAGAAAAAGAAATACACCACTCTGATGGGGAAAGCTGTGCTTCTGGGGAGAGGGGGAGTATATGGCAACTTTCTGCCCTTTTTTGCTCCATTTTGCTGTGAACCAAAATCTGCCCTAAATAATAACATGTATGAATTAAATAAACCTTAAAAACGTCATGTTTGGCAGTATGTGGGGGTAGAAGGCAGGATCCGCTTATTCGTGAAGTCAGAGAACCATTGCAGTCCTAACAAGGCAAATGGTGTCTAGGACTAAGTGACTTGATTTATAGAGGAAGATCAAGGCACTGCTCTTTTCCTTATGGCCTTATCCTTGCCTTCAACCCCCAGAGTGCACTTAGCCAGGCTATGTTAAGCATATAATTTAATATTTTTAATCTTTATGCCTTATAAATGTTTCCTTCAGAATTTTTATTAGATTATAAGTAGGTGTAGTGGAGTTGCAGAGTACAGTATTCACACTAATCTCAGATGTGGAGGGTACGTCTGTCTTCCTTATTAATACTATTTTTTTGTATAATCAGTCTGTCTTCTGCATGAATCTTACATCTACTTGAGAGCGGGAGGGTTGTTTTAATTCTGTTTCATTCACAGAGGTCCCTGAGGGCCTTACTACTCTGAGTGTGGCCCATCCATTAGGAGTCTCTGCATCTCCTGGGAGTCTGTTAGAAATGCAGGGTCTCAGGCCCCACCCCCAGATATTTTGTAGCAGGATCTGCATTTTAACGGCATTCCCATGGGATTCCTATGCACACTTCTAATTGAGAAGTGCCCGTATAGGTAGTGCTGAGCCTCTCAGATTTCTCAGCCTCTGCCTGCCCTGCAGGCTCGTCTTCAGAATGGCATCTGGAAGCAGGGATGGTGTAGCTGTCTGATGTCACTGGGGGTGAGGAGCAGAGACTCTGGGCACAGCATCCTTTGGTGCCATGGACCCCCAAGGCAGCACTCCTTCTCCACCTGCTTACTGCTGTCATCTGTTCTCCCATGCTGGGGTATGGTCTAGGGACTTTCCCTCGCTGACTCAGTTCCCCTGGGTTCCTCTGCAGGATTTCTGAGTGTTTGACACATTCCCCCATCTGGCCCTTGGGGGCCACCTCACCTCCTTCCCATGGTGGTCCCCTTGTCTCGCCTCCACATTGCCCAGCTGTTACCTCCCAGACTCTCACCCCCCAACTGCAGCCGTGAGGTTTTCTGGGTCCCACTCACACCTTCGGAAAGTCAGAGTTGCCCGGGAAATGGGATGTTCAATGCCTCTAAACCAGTGTCCACCAGGTTTGCTCTGGCACAGGTTTGCTCTGACAGCAGTCCAGGTTGGCAGGCTCTGCCCCCGCTCCCCCTCCTAGACGTTCCTCCTCTCTGCTGGGACATGGGAGAGTGGGCCCCATGCTGCCTCCCCATGCCCTGCCTAACTCTCTGCATGTTCCCTTCCTTCCACCACATCCGGCTCTTTTTCTTTGCATCACGTCCTTCTGTGACCGTGCTCCAGTGAGCCTGTGGCCTCCCTGCCCTACCAGGGTGCTGTCCACGCAGGGAACAAAGAACGCTGCCCACTGGGGGGCCCTCTGTGCCAGAGGGAAGCTATCTCCTTAGGACTGGACACCCACTTATTTCTCAGTGTGCATTTGTGGGTTTTTTTTTTTTTTTTTTTTTTTTTTTTGCTATAGTGAATGGTCTTGTGTACACATTTTTGGACACTTGTCTGGTTATTTTCGTAGGATGAGCCCTTAAAACTGAAATTGTAGCTTCAAAAGAAATGCAGTGTTTTGAGGCTTAGATATATTCAGACATGTTATTAAAAGCATACTAGTAACTTGAATCAGTAAGAAGAATTCAACAACAATATGAAACTTTAAAGTTGCTAGAAGGGAAAAAAAGCAGAGATAATTAGAATAATGAGGTGTATTATCTGGGACTATTTTAATAACAGATCACATCAGTGCAGCCCAAATTTGCGTAGTGAACAAGCAAATTTTTTAGCACATGAGACTGAAAAATCCAAGAGTAGGGGATATATCTGTTGATGCAGAGGTTCCAGCCATGTCCACAGAACCACATTGCTTTTCCTTTCTTCCTGGGCTCTGTTCTCCTCTCTCTGTGGCTCCATTCCTAGACAGCCTCTACCTCATGGCCTCAAGCAGCTGCTACAATTCCAGACCTCACATCCTTTCTCTCACCTTCAGCCCAATGGGAAAAGTGTCTGTTTCTTCTGCAAGATTCCTGGCAGATCTCTCATTGACTTGACCTCTGTGGCTAGAGGGATAGAACAGCTTATTCTAGGTCCCAGCATGTGTGTGTGTGTGTGTGTGTGTGTATGTATGTGTGTGTGTGTATGTGTGTGTGAGACAGACAGAGAGAGAGGGAGGGAGAGAGAAAGAGAGGGAGGGAGAGAGAGAATTGCAGCCAAAGCTATTCACAGTAGCCCTTAGGGGTGGAGTAGTGGGGAGCAGGTACTCCTTCCCATAGTTGTGCTGTCCAGCTGGTTCCGGAGCACTGATGTGTGGCTGGTGCTGATTGCGATGTGCTGCTGTATGTGGAAAACACCCACTGTATTAGGCCCTTCTTGTGTCGCTATAAAGAAATACCTGACCCTGGGTAATTTATAAGAAAAGAAGTTTAATTCACTCTTGGTTCTGCAGGCTGTGCAGGAAGCATAGCGGCATCTGCTTCTGGGGAGGCCTCAGGGAGTTTTATTCACAGAGGAAGGCAAAGCAGGAGCAACCGCATACCATGGGGAGAGCAGGAGCGGGGGTCGGAGAGGTGCCACACACTTTTTTTTTTTTTTTTTTTTTGAGACAGAGCCTCGCTCTGTCACCCAGGCTGGAGTGCAGTGGTGTGATCTTGGCTCACTGCAAGCTCCACCTCCCGGGTTCACGCCATTCTCCTGCCTCAGCCTCCCAAGTAGCTGGGACTACAGGCGCCCGCCACCACGCCCGGCTAATTTTTTTTTTTTTTTTTTGTATTTTTTAGTAGAGACGGGGTTTCACCATGTTAGCCAGGATGGTCTCGATCTCCTGACCTCGTGATCCACCTGCCTCGGCCTCCCAAAGTGCTGGGATTACAGGTGTGAGCCACCACGCCTGGCCTGCCACACACTTTTATTATTATTTTCAATTTTTTTTGAGACAGAGTCTCAAAAGATCTCAGCTCACTGCAACCTCCGCCTCCCCGGTTCAAGAGATTCTCCTGCCTCAGCCTCCTGAGTAGCTGGGATTATAGGCGCCCACCACCACGCCCAGCTAATTTTTGTATTTTTAGTAGAGACAGGGTTTTGCCATGTTTGCCAGGCTGGTCTTGAACTCCTGACCTCAAGTGATCCTCCTGCCTCGGCCTCCCAAAGTGCTGGGATTACAGGTGTGAGCCACTGCACCTGCCCCATACACTTTTAAATGACCAGATCGTGCAAGAACTCAATATGACAAAGACGGCATCAAGCCATGAGGGATCTGCCCCCATGATCCAAACTCCTCCCACCAGGCCCCACCTCCAGCATCAGGGATTATATCTCAACATGAAATCTGGGCGGGGACAAATATCCAAACTACATCACACACGCACTTTAAAGACTTGAGGTGCATGAAAGAATGTACAACATCTGAATATTTTTTATGTTGTTTACACATTGAAAGGATAATATTTTTAATGTATTGGGTTGAAGAAAATATATTGTTAGGCTGGACGCGGTGGCTCACACCTATAATCCCAGCACTTTGGGAGGCCAAGGCAGGCGGATCACGAGGTCAGGAGATCGAGACCATTCTGGCTAACATGGTGAAACTCTGTTTCTACTAAAAAATACAATAAAAATTAGCCGGGCGTGGTGACGGGCGCCTGTAGTCCCAGCTACTCGGGAGGCTGAGGCAGGAGAATGGCGTGAACCCGGGAGGCGGAGCTTGCAGTGAGCTGAGATCACGCCACTGCACTCCAGCCTGGGTGACAGAGCAAGACTCCGTCTCAGAAAAAAAAAAAAAAAAAAAAATATATATATATATATATATATATATAGTTAAATTTAATTTCTTTCTATTCTTTTTAATGTGGCTATGAGGAAATTGTAAAGTACACCCAAGGCTTGTGTTGTGCTTCTGCTGGACAGTGATTCACAGAGGGAAGCAGAACGTGATTTGCAGGACAGTGATTGACCAGTGAGGGCCATCCAGTCCATTCTTACCCACGTGCACCTCGGGAACGCTCATGCCCACGTGAAGTACACCCACCCCCTCCCCAAGTGGGTACAGCCTTGAGTCTCCCCTGTGTATGGGGTGGGCATGGTCTGTATAGAGATCTCCCTGGACCATTTTCCCCGGCCATGTCTGAGATGGACAGGGTCCCCTCTCCAGGCCTGCAGCTTTTTCTCAGCCATGTCTTGCAGGCACAGGTCTGGAGATTGGTAGCAGAGTACCAGAGACCACTGATGGCCAGGTTTGGTGTTTCTCTGGTCCTAAGATTCCTTGAAAAATTTAATGGGCTTTCAGCGTGTATCCACAGTTCTCCAAGCTCTAAGGGCTAATAACCAAAGCCAGAATCTTCATTTCTTTGTCTCCTAGCAACAGTTTCTCTCCTCAGCCCTTATTTTTTTTTGCACTTTTTGTTGAAGTCTAACATACATGCAGAGAACTGCACAAACAGTTGAGTGTATAGCTCAGTATGTTTTTTACAAACTGAATGTCTCTGTGTAGCCGGCACCCAAAGGCAGAACATCAGTTGCACCTCAAGGTCCCCCTTGTGCTCCCTTCTACTTACTGCCCCCAAAGGTGAACCTTTCTTCTGATTTTTAGCATCCTGTATTAATTTTTCTTGCTTTTGAACTTTATATAAATGGATTCATACAACATGTATTATTTAGTGTCTGATCTCTTACACTTTCAACAGTGTGTTTGTGAAGAGCCATCTGTATTGTTGAGTGGTTCATTCATGTTTATTGCTGTAGAGTGCTCTCTTGTATGAGTGCACTTACCTACCAGTGTGCTGTTGATGGCACTAGGGTAGTTTCCAGTTTCGGGTCTTAGAGTCAGTGCTGCCGACACATTCTCGTACGTGGCCTTGGTGAGCATACGCGCCTGTTTGGATGGGTGTATGCCTAGGAGAGTGGAATTGCTGGGGCACGGAGTGTGCCTGTGTTCAACTGTTGTCGTGGCTGGCAATCGGTTTTCCAGGGTGGTGGCATCGCTGTCTGCTCCCGCCAGCAGCATGTGAGAGGTTTGGCCGCTCCTTGCTGGCACTTGGTGTTTCTCCGCCCTCACTTTGGTACCTCTGTGGCTTCTACTCTAGGGAAGTGTGAGAGACTCACTCGTCCCCTGCTTCCAGGTGTCATTTCTGCCTCATCTTTGCAGTCGAGGGAAATGTCTGTCCTCAGGTCCAGAAGTGTCCAGGAAGGACAAGGGTGGTCAGGGGCAGAGGTGGGGTATTGGGGACGCATGTCCAGGTCTGGCCCTGCCTGGTGGTGGTAAAACCTTGGTGGCTGGACCACGAAGAGGGATGTGTCCTTTCTCTTTGTGGGCCCCATGCTGACCTCCTTGGTGTCTGCAGCAGCAGCCACTGAGTAGCTGTTTGGTGAACGGGCATTCTAACGTCATTTTCTCCTCCCACTTTAGCTCAGAAGCCTAAAAATAATGAAGGGTCAGCTAATGGCTTCCCAGTGAGTCC
Organism: Homo sapiens; assembly: GCF_000001405.40. NCBI lineage: Eukaryota > Metazoa > Chordata > Mammalia > Primates > Hominidae > Homo > Homo sapiens. Next base: position 29,476,352 of record NC_000015.10, on the reverse strand, counting down.
AATAGAACTACACATAGACGTTTTCCCTTTTATGGGGTGGCAGTGGCAGGTGGTCAACTTTATGGTGGCTTCTGAAACAATAAACATATAATAAAATACACAAAATGCTTTTCCACGCTATTGAACACGTTATGTAAATAGCCAGTTTCCTGTTAAAACATTGTTATTTGGGGGGATAGAAAAGAATTGCAGATTTTAGTTATAAAAATTTAGAGCTAAAGTTTCCTTTTGAAGAGTATAATTTGCTGTCTAAAATGTATATGTGTGTATTATTGCTTTGCATTTCAGGTTGTTGGACTCTTGACATTTTGTAAGTTGGCCTTTGTTTTCACTTCAGGTCTGTCACATTTTCCCCAAATGCAATCATCTTGTCTGTGAATATTTCTTAGTGGCTCTTGTCTCATGAGCAGATCTTACTATGAACAAGATACAGATGCCAACCACTTGGGCAGGGAAGTAGGAGACCTGTCACCATGGGTCAGCTCGCCCTTCCGTAGATCCTGCTTCTCTGGAGGTCTCTCCTCTCGGGAAGGCCTGCCTGGAGAGGGTGTGCCATGGACCAGGGAGAGTGGACATTAGGGCTGGCATCAGAGGTGCTAACTAGCTTCTCAGGACCCATACCCCTCTCTGGGACAGCCTCATGTCCCCTCTGCGGGATGGTACGGCCCTTCAAGGGACCCTTCCTCCTCCTCCTCATTTCTTTCCATTTGGACATCCAGGGATGTGTCTGCCCTTGGTGTCCCCTTCCTTTTGCCCAGCACTGCCCCCTCGCCCCCTACTCCTCCTCCCTCAGCCCCTCTTGCCCACTGGGTTGTGTTTTTTCCTCTGCCCTGGTGGGAGTCAGCTTCGGGCCACCGCCAAGTTGAATGCATTCCAAGGTGCGGTGAGTGAACGGTCCTTCCAGATCCTGCTCTGAGGTTGGGACCCTGTGAGGTTGCTAAGGGAGCCGGATGGAGCACAGAGCATTTTTTAATGGGGCTGTGGTCACAGGACTCAGCCCTGTGCAGGGACCGCTGTGGCAGGGTGGGCCTTCCTGCTCAGGCCAGCAGTAGTGATGACACCAAGAGCGTGCGCAGATGCAGCCTGCTGTGAGCCTGTACTCTCTCAGCGTTCTGTCTCCAGCTCACCCCTTGGAAGCAGCAGTGATTATTGGCATCTGTGCAGTGAGGACTGGGGGCCCAGAAAGGCTGTCCGGGGTCCCACAGACCATTCTTGTCACCCCCTCCCACACACTCTCGCTCAGTGCCGCATGTCTTTGCTTGCTTTGGTGTGAACATGTGCTTTTTATGGTGGAGGGCCAGAATCTATTCTGGATCATACAATGTAGGGCACACAGGTTTCTGCAGGATAAAAATGTTCATACATTTGCCTTATATAAGGAGGTGCTTCCACATTGGGAAAATGGGGTTTCTTTCTATGAATAAAACTAGGAAAAATCAATATGTAATGAGCAAGATACGACATCTACACAAAAGATCCCCCGAAGAAATGACCTTGGCCGGGTGCGGTGGCTCACGCCTGTAATCCCAGCACTTCGGGAGGCTGAGGCGCGAGTAAATCACTTGAGGTCAGGAGTTCGAGACCAGCCTGGCCAACATGGTGAAACCCTGTCTGTTCTAACGATACAAAAATTAGCTGGGAGTGGTGGTACATGTCTATAATCCCAGCTACTTGGGAGGCTGAGGCACGAGAATCACTTGAACCCGGGAGGCGGAGGTTGCCATGAGCCAAGATTGTACCACTGCACTCCAGCCTGGGTGACGGAGTGAGACCCTGTCTCCAAAGGAAAAAAAAACAACAACAGAAATGACCTTGAACTGTGTGGCCAAGGAGGTACCTAAGTCCCCACGCAGTGACCAGGACATATAGATTGTCAGGGAGAGATGGAAGGACTGGACTTGACCATGAACCTGAACCGTAGTCATTTGTGTTTTAATGTGTTTGAGAAGCATGACAGTGTTTTCTGAAGGGCTGATCTGTGTGAACTGTCATCTCAGGGCCCCTACCCAGGAGGGGTGCCCTGACGCCGGGCGCAGCCTTTCTGAGACTTGGGGTAGGGTGGGGATGGCCCCCGCCCCAGCCTGGATGGCTTATCTTTGCTGGTTTCCCTGAACCGTAGGTAGCCTCTCTTCTCGCCCACCAACTCTAAACTTGGTGATTTAGGCTTTCTCCCTCCATTTCAGTGAGGTAGCAGGATGGGCACTGGTCTTTATACAATGAGGGCCTCTGCTCTCACTCCTAGTAACCGTCGCAAGCCCGTCTGTAACTAGGTCATAGGGTAGGGCAGCACGCACTGTGCTTCAGGGTTTGCTATTGAAGGCTGTAGATGGGGGTTTGAAGGTTGTCTGCAGAATCCATGGCTAGGTTCAGTGCTGTCTTCCAGGAGGCCCAGCTTGATGTGGGAGTCCGGACTGCCGTGGCCCACGGGGTGACCTTGGGTATGTTGTTGAACTGGAGCCTCCGGGGGCCTCCTAGCTTTGAGATGTCCTCGTTGTCATGAATGAGTGCTAGAGCAGCAGCATTCAGCCCGGGAGATGGGGCCGTGGCTGCGGCCGGGGCCCTGAGGTCAATTTGCCAGCAGCCTCAGGCGGTTTCTTGAACTGAGGACAGCCGGTGTCCAATGGTCCCTCGCTGCTGTGCCTGGTATTGACGTGACATAGAGTAGACGTCTTTCTGACAAGTTATTATTTCTTTCAAAAACATATTTTTCTGTTCACCCTGAGCACTGAAGTCTATCTTTTTGTTCAGAGGTCCTAAAACCAAGACCACAGGTGGCCTTCCGCTCCCAGGTATGTTTTCTTTAGCTCATGCGGTGTTTAAAAATGTTTATTTGATAACACTTAAAACTTGGGAGAGTTCACAGTACAGAATGGACTTTGAATTCTTTTGCAGAATTGGAAGATCCAGGCATGCTGGGTCTGGATTGCCGCAGGGAATCCTCTACATGGGGGGAACTGCAGCTGCCACCATCCCTCGGTGGCCTCCTTATTTTGTTGGAAGTGTTATGGTTTTCCAGGAAAAGAGACACCAACATTCAGCTATAGAAGAGGGCACATTCCAGCTGCCCAGGGACAGGTTACCCGGGTTAGTCAGAGCTGTAGCCAGAGAGGGGAAAGGAGGGGGTGGGAGCAGCCTGGGTATGGTGTGGCTGCAAGAAAGTCACACTTGTCATAGGGTGAAGCTGGGCCACCTGCTCCTCCTTCTTTCCCAAGTGAGATTGCTGGAAAAACACCGTCCTGTCCAACAGGTAAACCAGCTGTACAGTGAGTGCTGGTGAGCTGCCCCTCCCCTGCTTCCCCCACCCTCAAGAACCTACCCTGCCTCCTTTCCCCCTTCCTAACTGGCCTCTTGGGACTACTTTGAAGACTTCTCTGGTGACTGAGTGTACTGACCAGCCAGTGGCTGTTTTGTCATCCTTCAGCAGATAGTTACAATCTATTTTTTATTCTCTTTCTAGTAGTCAAATGTAAGTACTTGTATGCTTAAACCTAAAATCTTTAAAAAATGGATAAAAGGGAGATTCTTGTATTTATATCACATGTATTATTACACTAATTTATAAAATAACTTATAATATAATTGATTATAGGCCGGGTGCAGTGGCTCACACCTGTAATCTCAGCACTTTGGGAGGCCAAGGCAGATGGATCACATGAGGTCAGGAGTTAGAGACCAGCCTGGCCAACATGGTGAAACCTCATCTCTACTAAACATACAAAAATTAGCTGGGCGTGGTGGGGGGAGCCTGTAATCCCAGCTACTTGGGAGGCTGAGGCAGGAGAATTGCTTGAACCCAGGAGGCGGAGGTTGCAGTGAGCCGAGATTGCGCCATTGCACTCCAGCCTGGGCAACAGAGCGAGACTCCGTCTCAAATTTATATGTGTGTGTGTGTGTGTGTGTGTGTGTGTGTGTGTGTGTGTGTGTTGTGTGTTGTGTGTGTGTATAAAATATTTAATATTAACACACTGAAGCCAGAGCTGCCTTGTCTGAACAGTTCATCATGATGCCATTTTTAAGGTGGGTTTTGATTATCGAGACCTGCCCTTCCAGAGCTGTTTTCCTCCTGGTGCCACCTCTTCCTGAATTGTCCCTGCTGATGCTGGGTGAATTGCATGACAGGCCTGGCTTCAGCATTTAAGCGTCCCCAGAGTTGGAGACAAGGTAACAAAGGCAACACCATCAGGAGAGCTTTGTTCTGTAACATGAGCACATTGAGGCCTCATGATGATTCCTGCTTTGCATTTCTTGGGGGAAGATTGTTTTGGGGTGCTCCTCTCCCCAGCTTGTGGGGGCCCACTGCCCTGTTGCTTGGCCCAGCCCTTCTGGGCCCCCACCGCGTGCTGCTGTGTTCCACCCTCTGCTCCACCCCAGCCCTCAGGGCCACTCCTCCTTGGGTGACCACTGTCAGCATTGATCTTGAATCAGAGAGTTGTGCATGTGGACTGCAGGTTCTGATTCTCCCGGGGCTGCTGGATCAGGGCCCCCAAATCTCCACGTGTGCATGTGGGCTGCCTGCAGCTTGTTCAGAATCTTCTTTTTCAGAAGAAGGCATGAGGTAGAAAAAAGATTGAGAAACAATGTGTTGTAGATCAGTGTGACTAATTGTTTTCAAAGAAACACCCAGGGCCTTTGCACCAGAGGTGTGCTGTCCTACTGGCGGGTGCGGGGCTTACGTATTACCCCGGTGTATGCGTGCATTGCCTTTTGTGGCCCTTGGCCCCCGTGCTGCCGTGTGGGTTATGATGGGCATATGGGCTCTGGTGAGCATTTGCTTGGAGCTTTGCTACTCCCTTTATTCCTAGGGATCTGCCAGCCCTTCCTGCCACTTTGTAGCCGCTGTTCTGCCTCTCTGTTATCCCGGCGCCTCCCGGGGTCTCTCTGTTTTCTGTGCTTGTCTTTCTGTTCTCTCCTGTGCCTATTCTCAGCCACCTGTGCCCTCACTTTCTATTTGTAGCACATCCCAGTCCATGCTGGCTGCCCCTGCAGCTCGAGGGGCCGCTGTGTGGTCAGAAGTCCTTCTTGGAGCTTTTTCTATGTGCACATTCACTCTCTGCACAATGCATTAGCCAACAGTTGGGAAACGTTTTTACTCTTAGTGATGGAGCCTTTTCTACCAATGAAATCTTATGAGGAAGCTCAGTATGTGAAAATGGAGTTGATCTGGATGAAGGTGGGGCCCAGGCATTACAACCCTCTCCACTTAGCAACTCCCCACCCAGGACCATCAATGTCCCCTAGATCCTCTGGGGCTGTGTGGGGCACTATAAAAAACCAGTGCATTGGGCTGAGCTCTGCTTAATGAATTCAGGAGTCGGCAGGAAAATGTGGAGTGATTCCAATGCCCCACCTCTGTTTACTTAGCAGAGTCACTTCGAGCCATAGCCAGTATTTTGAGTTGGTCTAGTGAGATCACCTGTAATAGTGGTTGCTAATGTGAAACAAGGCATGACGTTTGTCAAATGACTGTGACTTGAGCAATTTTTAATTGTGACTTGGTATTAAGGAATGAACATTAATTACCAATTAAACAAAAAATTAATCTAGGAAGAGAATCAAGGAGGAACTGCTCACTGTCAGGGCTAGCATATCTTTGAGGGACTGTCTCATGTCAGACGTCTTGAAGGCAGAGCGTCCTTCAGGCTCATGAGCCCCGAGCTGGCCACTGTCAGGATGCTGTGGAAGAGTCACACGCATCACCTTGTCTGCCAGTGCTTGTCAGTTGATTGTGGCTTCCGGCAGCGTTTGTAGGACTGGGAAGGATTTCGAAGTGCGTCTGGGCTTCCCTGGAAAAGACCATATGGTTGATTAGTAGCGGCAGCCGCGGTGAAGGATGGGCCCTGGTTGTCCGAGTGACGAGTATTTGCCTGCCCTGGATTGCAACAGAGGTGAACTTGGCAGGAAGGAGGGAGGCGTGAGGTGAATGAAGTTTGCAAGGGAGCTGGCAGGAGGCTCCCCGAGACGAAGCAGGTAAATGTACTCTCACCTGCTGATTGATGAGTGTCCTGTAGCCCTTGGCAGGGCCCAGGACCTGTGGGCTTCACCTGTGACCTCAGTGGGCTGGCACTGCCTCAGGACCCTCCGGATGCTCAACCACACATAGAACAAACGTGGCAGTGGGGGGCACCGAGCAGCCCCTCTGCCAATCTTGAGTGGCTTTGCTGGATCCTGCCCGTGTTCACACACACGCCGTGACTGTCTGTGGTATGTGTGTGAAGGTTTTCAGTTAATTTGGGATCCATTCTTTGATCTTGTCTTAGGCTCCTTTTAGTGATTTAAAGAAATCTATTCTGCGGTTTTCAAGGCTGTGTTGAACATACATGATATTGAATCTGTGGCTTGCTTGTCAAAAAATCAGTGCTTTTAGCTCTTACTTTTGATGACCCAGGGGCACTGAATGTGGAAAAGGAGACAAAAGTACTTCTTTAGTGGTAAAGAAAATTCAACTATAGATAGAAATATGGAGGTGGCAGTTTACAACTTTAATCAGAGTCTTACGGGGGACCTGCTGGGTCCCTTCCAGGAGGCTGTCTCAAAGGTAGCCTTTGGAGCTGGAAGGGAGGCTTTTTAAAAAAAATTAATTTATTAAAAAATGTTTAATTGTGGTAAAATACACATATGTGAAACTGATCCTCTTAACCATGTTGAAGTGTACAACTCAGTGGCATTGAGTGCGTTCACACTGTTGCTCAGCCATCACCACCATCCATCTCTATAACGTTTTCACCTTCCCAAGCTGAAACTCTGTAGTCATTCAACACCAACTCCCTATTTCCCCTCCCCCGCCATGGCAACCACCACTCTACTTCTCTGTGAATCTGACTACTCCAGGTACTGCATAGAAGTGCAGTCATGCGGCTGGGAGTGGTGGCTCATGCCTGTAATCCTAGCACTTTGGGAGGCCAAGGCAGGTGGATCACTGGAGGTCAGTAGTTCGAGACCAGCCTGGCCAACATGGTGAAACCCTGTCTCTACTAAAAATACAAAAATTAGCTGGGCGTGGTGGCGTGCGCCTGTAATTCCAGCTACCCAGGAGGCTGAGGCAGGAGAATTGCTTGAACCCAAGAGGCGGAGCTTGCAGTGAGCCCAGATCACGCCACTGTACTCCAGCCTGGGCGACAGAGCGAAACTCTGTCTCAAACAAACAAACAAACAAAACAAAACAAAAAAGAAGCAGAATCTTGCAGGATTTGTCCTCTGTGACTGGCGTATTTCCCTCAGCACCATGTCCTCGAGGTTCATCCATTGGTGGATGTTGCATGTGTCAGCATTTCTGGAAGGGGGCTATCGGGATGGGGTGGAACCACCTCGGATGCTCTTCCAGCCTTATCCTAAGCCGGAGCCCTAGGGAAGAAAGGCCACTGCATTTGGCTGCATGGGGCTGCTCTGGTGGCCTTTGTGCAGGTTTTGTGTGTGTTACCTTAACGTTGGAAGAACTTTTTAAAAAATCATATTAATATATTTTTTTTGTAGCTCCACAGTTGCTTGAAGCCCTGAAAACTGGGGTTACATAAGAAAATTTTCAACAGTTTCAAAACAGATTTAATTATCATATAATTGTTAAAAATGTATGTGTTGGCTAATGATTAGAACTATATTTTAAAATCATATTCAGAAGTTTAACAAAAATGCATCCAAATTAATAATTGAAAAGCAACTTCAGACACTATTAAAGATTTAATTAGTTTAATCAACCCTGCAAATGTTCATTTGGATTATCTGTCTTGCTTTTTTTTTTTTTTTTTGAGATGGAGTTTTGCTCTCGTTGCGCAGGCTGGAGTACAATGGGGCAATCTCGGCTCACTGCAATCTCTGCCTCCTGGGTTCAAGCGATTCGCCTGCCTCAGCCTCCCAAGTAGCTGGGATTACAGGCATGCGCCACCACCCCGCCTAATTTTTGTATTTTTAGTGGAGACGAGGTTTCACTATGTTCGCCAGGCTGGTCTCGATCTCTGGACCTCAAGTGATCTGCCCACCCTGGCCTCCCAAAGTGCTAGGATTACAGGCATGAGCCACCATGCCCAGCCTGTCTTTTCTTAATCATTCACATTTAGGTACCATTGGTGGTCTAGTGATGCAAGTTAGATCCCACCCCCAGAACCAGCTTATAAAATGAATATTTGCTGTCTTGGAATTTCTTAATTATGTTCAGTATACATTTAGAAATATTTATGGCTTTACAGTCGATCACTGTTGGAAGGAGGGTGCTCCCAGTATTGGAAACACTGTCCTAGGTTCTTTGGGGGAATAAAAACAATGCATGATGATCTTGCTTTCAAGCAGCTTGTCTTCTGTCCGGCACGTACCATCCACTTGCAGGAGAAAGAGCTGTGAGCCTTGTGCTGTGGTGCAAGGTCTTTAGGCAGCGGTTTGTTTGGCATCTGGAGGCAGGAACAATCAGAAGAGGCTTCAGGGAGGGGCAGAGCTGGAGCTAGCCATGATTGCTGGGTGGCTTTCATCCAGTGGATAACAGAGAAGGGCAGTGGGTTGTGGGTACCCCAAGTTAGGCACAGGGGAGCAGAAACAGAGTGTGATTGAAGGCTGGTAAGTCATGCTGCAGAAAGGCCAGTCTGGAAGGGGAACAGAGCTGGACACTGCCTTCTGTGCCTGGCCATAGATGGTCTTAATTGGGCTACGGATGTTCAACTTCCTCAGAGTAACGTGTGTTCCTCTAAGGAGTGATGTGATGAAAGCAGGGGGATGTGGTAGTTTCACCGGGTGGTCTCTGTGCATTGAATCTCTTTGACACAGCCTTGGAAGGGCCTATAACTAGGACAGCCCAACCACAAAGCACTGCAGCCTTCAAAAGCATCCTCTTAACCTGCATCTCACACTGTGTTCCCATCGAACACTCAGGTGGCCGTTTCCTTGGCGTTTTAGCTGAGCCACCCTGGAAATGGAACAGTACTTTATTCTAGCCATTTAGTTTCTGAAGGGAACAGGCATGTTCTGCCTTTATTCATCCCTGTTTACTGATAGATGAACAGACCACAAGTCTGGCAGTTTGCATTTTGCATTTTGGCAGTGACTTGGATTTGAACTTTGGGTGGAACACTACCTAAGCACATCTTTAAAACATGGCTTCCTTTCTTGTCCATTGTTCACTCCAATAGCCTGAGAGGCATCTCGATTTCTCCTTTTCCTTTAGCCCTGCCCATCGCTTTGCCGCAGGACACACCCAGGCTGGATTCCCTCCCTCCACCCCTGCTGCTGTTCCTCTGGAGGAGCTCCAGTTTTACTTGGGGGCTGCAGCATCCTCCCCTGGGCCCTCCCCTGGGGCCATCAGCATCCTCCCCTGGGCCCTCCCCTGGGGCCATCAGCATCCACCCCTGGGCCCTCCCCTGGGGCCATCAGCATCCTCCCCGGGCCCTCCCCTGGGGGCTGCAGCATCCTCCCCTGGGCCCTCCCCTGGGGGCTGCAGCATCCTCCCCTGGGCCCTACCCTGGGGGCTGCAGCATCTTCCCCTGGGCCCTTCCCTGGGGGCTGCAGCATCCTCCCCTGGGCCCTCCCCTGGGGGCTGCAGCATCCTCCCCTGGGCCCTCCCCTGGGGGCTGCAGCGTCCTCTCCTGGGCCCTCTCCTGGGGGCTGCAGCGTCCTCTCCTGGGCCCTCCCCTGGGGGCTGCAGCATCCACCCCTGGGCCCTCCCCTGGGGCCATCAGCATCCTCCCCGGGCCCTCCCCTGGGGGCTGCAGCATCCTCCCCTGGGCCCTCCCCTGGGGGCTGCAGCATCCTCCCCTGGGCCCTACCCTGGGGGCTGCAGCATCCTCCCCTGGGCTCTCCCCTGGGGGCTGCAGCATCCTCCCCTGGGCTCTCCCTTGGGGGTGCAGCGTCCTCTCCTCGGCTCTTCCCAGGGGGCTGCAGCATCCTCCCCTGGACCCTCCCCTGGGGCCATCAGCATCCTCACCTGGGCCCTCCCCTGGGTGCAGCAGTGTCCTCCCCTGGGGGCTGCAGCGTCCTCTCCTGGGCTCTCTCCTGGGGGCTGCAGTGTCTACCTTGCTGGCTGGTCTCTTTTCTGTCTTTCCTGCTTCTCTGCTGACCATCTCCACCCAGCAGCCAGAGTGACCATGACAGAAACATAAAGCAGACATCATTGTTCTCTTGTGTAGTCTCTCTCACTGCTTTCTTGCTCTCCCCTCCTTTCTTCTTTAACCTGCCCTTTGAGGCACTGTTGCTCGGAGCTGCTCTCACTGGCCCTTCCTGCTGAACTCATGCCTCGCTCCATCATGCCATCATCTTGGTTTTCCTGATCCTCAAACCATATGCTTCCAGCTTCAGGGGCTGGTTGCCCTCTCTGCCGGTACAGAGAACAGCACCTGGTACATAACTGGCACTCAGTAAATATTTGTTGGATAAATGAATGAACCTGGCAGTTCATCAGTATTTGGCAGAGCCAGGCCTGGCCCAATCTAGCTTCAGCAATGCCAGATCTCAGGCCACAAACAAAGGAGCTACCTGCTTCCTCGAGACCTTATCAAATCTGAACATTGTTAGGTATACCCTGATGTCTCGAAAGAAGAAGTCGGTCAGGTATTAGGACTAATTAAATGTTAGTGTTAGGCAATTTTTATTATAAACTTGATAGACTCTTCCTTTTAAAGAATTATAAAAATTATTTATAACTGTCATCCCAAAGAACTAATGATTTATGTTAAATATCTTTATGTTGGGGTTTGATTGTTGATTGTATTTATAATGGACCATACAATTTGAGAATCAAAGACTCAGAGTCAGGAAGCCTTTAGAGTACATCCAGGATTGCCTGGCTGCGGTCAGGACTTAGCAAATGGAAGTTGTTATTTTCATCACTGTTACTCTTTTACTGTAGGGTATCAGAAGGTGTTTATGGTCCACTTAAGTCAATCCTCTGCAGAGTGCACAGTCCTTCAGTGGCATTTCTGATGTGTGGGCACTCCGTTTCCCTGAGCTGGGGATGGGGAGCTTGCAGTGTCACGTGGCTCAGTTGTCAGGCAGCTTTAACTAGAGCCAAATCTATTTTTGGACAATGATTCTGTTTGCCTGGCTCTTCCTGGAGAACCAAGAAATGTCCTTACTTCCCTTCCAACATTGAAGTTCTGCAAATGGAGAAAACCACTTCTGCACCCCATTCCCTGCATAGCTCTTTTTTCTGCTTGCACATTTGAAGGCTGGTCACCCAGTTTTCATCTGGTGGCTTCTGGGCATCTTGTCACTTTGGACATGGCACCAGTGCTGAGTGGGGGTTATATCGGGGGCAGACATTGGGTGGTTTCCACTATGGCCTGGGCAGCTCCCAACCGCATCGTCACTGCCTCAGGTGAAGGGGCTGCTCCTCCTCTAAAGCCCCATGCTTTTTTCCTTTCCACTGTGTCCTACAGCTCATGGCAGTTAATGAATTGTGGTACCAAATTGCGGAACATTTGTAAGACTGATAAATTCATCTGTTCGCTTTAAAAGTTAGCATTCCAGCCTGTTGAGATGATCTCATCTTGATTGGGAGGCTCGTCTCTGAGGGTACAGGCCCGATGGTGTCAGCCTGTTTTAAACAAGTTCCCCGTCCTGCATCCAGGCTGGGCCGGAGCTCTGTGGCTGGACCAACTGCTCCTGCTGTTTCCGAGGTTGTGCCATGAGCGGCCTCGCTGCCCCCTGCCCAGGGGGCCCCTCCACATCGCCTCCTCTTCATAGGGTCCACGAGCGACTGTGTTAACTTCTTGCTGAAATAAAGGCCCTCATCTGCTCAGCATTTCTCTAATATGCCAATCTCATAACCTTATTAAAAGAGAAATCAAGATGCATTTGGCCTGGCACTTGCTTCCTGAAGTACTCACGAGCCTTCTGCTCTGATAGTCCCCTCTCAGATCTGGCCTGTGATTGACATCAGGCTTATTGGTGTGTAGCTTCCATGATTTGATTTTCTCTTCATCTCCGCCACTCTCCATCATGTTTTAAAATTAATGCTTAAAAATCTGTCTAGTATATAACAGAGTCAAAGTGAAATTGTGTTGAGAAGCTGGTAATGAAAGTGGCTGTTCTTGCCCCATGCTGTGCAGGTGCCCCCAGTTGCAGGGACACCCACTTCCACGTTTCTCAGCTGTCCTTCTTTTCTTTATTCTTTTCTGTGCAAAAATAGCATTCCTTATCTTTTTTTTTTAGTATCATGGTGAAATATCTATAACATAACATTTACCGTCTTAGCCATTTTTAAGAGTACGGTTCAGTGGCAGTAAGTACATTCTCATTGCTGTGCAGCCACCACCGCAATCCATCTCCAGAAGACTCCCTCTTCCTCAACTAAAACTGTCCCCATTGAACATGATCTCCCTTCTCCCCGGCCCCTGGAACCCCTATTCTCCTTTCCATCTCAATGAATTTGATGACTCTGGGCAACTCATATGAGTGGCATCTTGCAGTATGTGTCGTTTCATGGCTGGCTTATTTCACTCAGCGTAACATCCTCAAGGTTTATCCGTGTTGGAGCATGTGTCAATATTTCCCTCCTTTTTGTAGCAAAATAATATTCCATGGTGTGTCTGTGCCACATTTTGTATATCTGTTCTGCCATTGATGGACACTTATGTTATTTCCACCATGCAGCTACTGTGAGTAATCCTGCTGTGAACATAGGTGCACAGATATCTGTTAGAGCTCCTGCTTTCAGTTATTTAGGGTATGTACCCAGAAGTGGAATTGCTGTGTCACATGGAAATCATTTCTTATTTTTTAAAATAATTCACCTTATCTTGTTCTCAGACTCATATTTTGTTGGGTAGCAGGAAAAAAAAATCAAAAACTTGCCACATTGATAGTTCCTTGGTATTTTGGTTACTTCCGTCTCTCTCTCTCATCTGTGCATTTTTAAAGTTTTGCTGCTGTATAATTTACAGACTGTCCTATTCACCTATTGTAAATCTACGGCTCAATGATTTTTTAATACATTGTATAATTGTGCAGCCACATGCCCAGTTTTAGAAAACTCCCATCCCCTAAGCAGCCCCTGGACCTGGTGAAGATCGGTTGCTGAACTCAGCCCTGGGCCGCTGAACCTTTCCTGATACTTTCTCCAGGGACTGGGTTTCAGTATCCTCTGAGGTGTGTGGTCACAGTGCTTCATGAGACAGGTGGAAGTGCCTGGGCCAAGCCTTCTTTCCAACCCCTGGTTTCCAGCCTGGTGGGTGTCTCTGCAGCCTGCCTCCTGGGGCCCCAGTGGCTCCAACCCACAGGCTCCTAAGTTCTGCAGGGGAATCAGCCTGAGCCTCGTCACTCCCCCTCCATGTACCTGCCATCTCAGTCGCCATTCCTATGTCCATGTTAAGGCTTTGAAAAGGCTGTTGGACTCTCCTGCCCCTGGAGGCACCTCCTCATCTTCTTGTCCGAGTGTGTCCAAGGTTTCAGGAGGCAGGAGAGAGGTAGGTGCACAAGATCGAGTTATCACTATTAACTGGAACTTCCTACCCTTCATTATTTTTAAAAACTATCAACAGGAGTAGAAACTACATATCTTAGGAGTCTGTTTCTGATTTTATTGTAGAGGGTTCTCACTGGTGGGATTTCTTTTTTCTGTGATAAGCTACAGCCACCTGCCCAGAGCCTGGTTGGGTTGACACTGTCCTCTGGACATAGGGGTCATGCCCAGAGAGAATATTGCTTTGCTGAAAAGGTTGTGATGGGACTCCTAGTGATTCTCAGAACTTGCAGAGTACACCAGACACTTGGCCACCACTTTTCATCTTGAGGAATTTAATTGTATTATTATTATTATTATTAGTTTTGAGATCGAATTTCGCTCTTGTTGCCTAAGCTGGACTGCAGTGGTGCGACCTTGGCTCACTGCAACCTCCACCTCCTGGGTTCAAGTGATTCTCTTGCCTCAGCCTCCCGAGTAGCTGGCATTACAGGTGTGGCCCACCACACCTGGCTAATTTTTTGTATTTTTAGTAGAAACGGGGTTTCACCATGTTAGCCAGGCTGGTCTCAAACTCCTGACCCAAGGTGATCTGCCCGCCTCAGCCTTCCAAAGTGCTGGGATTACAGGTGTGAGCCACTGAACAAAGGAGAGTAGTGGTTCCTCAAAAAATTAAAACAGAATTACCATGTGATCCAGCAATCCCACTTCTGGGTATATACTCAAAGGATGGAAAGCAGAGGCTCAAAGAGATATTTGCACAGCCATGTTCATAGCAGCATGATTCACAATAGCTAAAACATGGAAGCAACCCAAGCGTCCATTGATGGAAGAATGGGTAAACAGAATGTGGTTTACACCTGTCATGAAACATTACTCAGCCTTAAAAAGGAAGGAGATTCTGACACATGCTGCACCATGGATGAACCTTGACATGGTGCTGAGTGAAATAAGTCAGTCACAAAAGGACGAATAACTGTATGACTTCACTTTATATGAGGGACATAGAGTAGTCAAACCCACAGAGACAGAAAATAGAATGGTGGTTGCCAGGGACGGGGCTAGGGAGGAATGGGGAGTTGTTCAGTGGGTGCAGAGTTTCAGTCTTGGAAGACGTTCTGAAGATGGGTGGTGGTGATGGTTGCAAACACAGTAAATGTACTCAATGCTGCTGAACCATACACTTAAAAACTGGTGAAAATGATGGCCGGGCACGGTGGCTCATGCCTGTAATCCCAGCACTATGGGAGGCCGAAGCGGGTGGATCACAAGGTCGAGAGTTCCAGACCAGCAGGGCCAAGATAGTGAAACCCCAGCTCTACCAAAAGTACAAAAATTAGCCTGGCACAGTGGCAGACACCTGTACTACTCGAGAGGCTGAGTAAGGAGAATCGCTTGAACCTGGAAGGCGGAGGTTACAGTGAGCCAAGATCGCACCACTGCTCTCTAGCCTGGGCGACAGAGCAAGACTCCGTCTCAAAAAATGATAAAAAAATAAAAAACTGGTGAAAATGGAAAATTTTATTTTCTGTGTATTTTATCATAATAAAAATCAACACCATCAAATGAAAAATTACCTTTCTTGAGCAAAATATTGGGATATTTTGGGCCATCAGAAATTTTTTTGAGAAGCAACTCATGTTTTCTGGTGTGTTGATACTGATATAAGCATTGTTTTAGAACAGTTTCAACAGTTGTATTTGGTTAACAAAGTCATGTGACAGTAGGTTTAAATAAACTTGGCATTTATAAAATGAAGGGAAATAACAGTCATGGAGGCTTTCTGTGACACTACATTTATCACAAACATCACACAGAGCAAGGCAATACATTTACAAAATGGGATAGTGTTGGGCATGTCCAACATCCATGAAAATAGATAAAATATTGATGTCTTACAGTCATCCTCGTGTTGATGCCGTAGTTATTGTCTTGAGAAAATCCCATTTGTATAGAATAAATGTTCTATAGTGAGGCACTATAAGAAAATTGTAACTTGACAAGCTTTTTGTTACATGAAGACTAAAAACAGGTCAGAAGATAACTGTAAAGCTGAATCACTTTTCTTCCTGCTAGAGTTCGTAGAAAATTGACTTCTAGGTTTTATTCACACCACCAATGGCTTACTAATTGGAAAAGACGTGATAGTGGCTTGGATGTTATTCTCTGTTGTGGTAAGCCAGAACATTTGGTTTTGTAGTTAGAATTTAGAATTGTTAGCTTAGAAGAATCCTAATAATCTTTTTGTTATTGCTAAATTTCTCAAATGTGTTAATGACTTGACTCCAGTTAGATGTGATGATTTAAGAATTGTGTTTTTTCTTGTTGTTGTTTTGTTTTGTTTTTTGAGACAGAGTCTCACTCTGTCGCCCAGGCTGGAGTGCAGTGGCACAATCTCGGGTCACTGCAGCCTCCGCCTCCGGGCTCAAGTGATTCTCCTGCCTCAGCCTCCCAAGTAGCTGGGAATACAGGCACGCGCCACCGTGCCGGGCTAATTTTTGTATTTTTAGTAGTGATGGGGTTTCACTATGTTGGCCAGGCTGATCTCGAATTCCTGACCTCAAGGTGATCCACCCACCTTGGCCTTCCAGAGTGTCGGGATTACAGGCATGAGCCACCGCACCCAGGCAGACATAATGATTTAAGAATCGTAACTGACACATACATTGTTTCATATTTTTAAAGTTAAAGGCTTAGTCTGAAATAGCTGTCTTTGTTGTTGTTAAGAGATAGAGTCTTGCTCTGTCACCCAGGCTGGAAGGCAGTGGTGCGATCGTGGCTCACTGCAGCCTCAAACTCCTGGGCTCACAGGATCCTCTTGCCTCAGCATCTTGAGTAGCTGGGACTACAGGCGTGCACCACCACACCCAGCTATTAAAAAAAAAATGTTTTTTGTTGTGACATGGTCTTGCTGTGTTGCCCAGGCTGGTCTTGAACTTCTCATCTCAAGCAACCCTCCTGTCTTGGCCTCCAAAAATGCTAGGATTTCAGGTGTAAGCCACCTCATCTGGCCTGAAATAGCTGTGTTTAGGTGTTTATACCTCTATTAGAAAGTAGATCACTTGATAACTTTTAATGAAGCATGATAATATTACCATAGCTTGCAGGTAGTGGTGTTTGTAGTAACAAAGGGAACTAACCTATCAAGTCAAGTAATTAACTGAATTAGAAGCTGTGTTAATGGAAGAGTCACCTCCCAAAGGTTGGATTCCCCACATAGAGTGTGAGAAGGGAGTCCATGGGCTTTCTGGGCCAAGTTTGTGCTGCATGTGGGGCTCACAGGAGAAGGCCAAGGCACTATGCAAACCTTGGCTTCACTCCCTCCTGGCTTACAACCCTGCAGAGTCACCTAACGTTTCTCAATGTCAGTGTAGTTAGTCTCTGAGGGAGTTAGGGATAATAACTGGCTGTTGGCGATAATCTTTATATAACATCATGTACAACTCCTAGTTTGATTAAACTACTGTACCTGTGAAGACTGGAGAATTGAGGACCTCTTACAGTAAGGGTGAGAAATAATCTATGAGGATGGTGGAACTGGCCTTGCTTACATTGCTCCCTAGAGAAGAGTGCCTGTCCTCAGGGCAGATGATGGGACTCATCTCTCCTCCCAGGAAATGTACCCTCCCAGGAAATGTCACACCAACGATTTCATAGAGCTGCCACTTCTCCACAGGCCATGGGCCAGATGACTGTCCTTGCACCCCATCTTTGAAGGTCTCTTTGAAACTGCATTCTTAAGAAACAGCTGGGTTGCTCAGAAGGACCAGGACTGATAGTCTGGCTGGGGACGCATGGAGTGGTGCGGGAGGCTGGCTGAGCCCCGCAGCAGGAAATAATGGAAATCTTAGCTTCTTGGGACCCCTGTTGATTGGATGGGTCGGAGAAAGAGTCAGTGGGTGCAGAACAATCCCTTGTCAACCCTGTGTGGCAGCTGGCCTGGTGAAGTTTGCCTGCCCTGGAGATTGGGTCTGTTCCTCTTGCTCTGCGCCTGGGAACATGTGGGAATCAGCACCGGACACCTGCTGAATCCACGCCTGCCATTAGCAAGTCCTAGCTCTGGATAAGTCTCCTTTGTGTGAGGGAAAGCAAACAGAAAATGTACCAAGGAGTCTGTGGAAAAAATACTACCCCATTAAGGAAAGGGAATGGTTTCCTGAAGAGTCAGAGGAGACGTATTCTGCTGAAAGTGAACGTGAGTACAAACCAGAAAAAAACGTTTGTGTTCAAGCATGTGTTATCCTCAGCAGAGAATCCTCCTTTTTCATATAAAAATGTACTATTAGCTATGATTGTTTGACATTATGGTGCTGGAGAAGTTGGGTCGACTGAGGATCCAGAGGAGGCGTGACCATGACCTTGGCTTATCTCTAGTGCATCACTCCTGGGTCACCTCCAAGTCCAGGGCAGGGATCGGAAGCTCCAAAATTGGGAGGAGGGGCAGGGAGGCTTTGAGAAGAGCTGGAGGGATTGGGTAGGGGGCTTGGTGGGCTCAGGATTGCTTTCCTTCTCTACCGTGCCCGTGGCTCTGCGATGGTTAATTTTATGTGTCAGTTTGCCTGGGCTAGGGGTGCTGGTAAAACATTATTCCTGATAGTGTCTGTGAGGGTGTTTCAGGAAGAGATAAACATTTGAATCAGCAGACTGAGGAAAGAAGATCTGCCCTTGCCAGTTTGGGCATGCATCCTCCAATCTGTGGAGGGCCCAGATAGATCAAAAAGGCACAGGAAGGGCAAATTTGCTGTCTCTACTTGAGTTGGGACATTCATTTTCTCCTGCCTTCGGACATCGGTGCTCCTGGTTCTTGGGCCTTTGGACCCTGTCCTCAGGCCTTTAGACTCAGACTGACCGACATGCTAGCTATCCTGGGTCTTCCTCTTGCAGAGAGCAGATCATAAGACTTCTCAGCTTCTGTAATTGTGTGAGCCAATTCCCATAATGAATTTCCTCTGATATATGTGTCCTATCAGTTTTGTTTCTGTGGAGAGGCCTGACTCATACAGGCTCCAGCTCCTTGCCAGGCCTGGGCTCTGTGGGCTGAGACAGCTGGTCCTCTTGGTTCGGGTGTGAGGAAGCCGTGCCTCATCCTGCAGGCTACAGGCAGTAGGTTCCCACTGGCCTGCAGTGTTCTTATTTGGAATTTGGGGTTCGTGTGGTCCTTGATGGAGGCAAGCAAAATCAAACTGCAAATCTGGAACCCAAGGGGCAGCAGAAGTTTCTCTCGAGTGTGTCTCTCCCGTGTGACACTTTCGACTGTTTTGGGGGACACTTAGCAGCTTCATGCTGATGGGGAAGTGAGGCCTCCACTGCTAGTTAGGCCCTCATTAACACAGCCAAAGGAACAGGCAGTATAACTGGGCCCTGGCAGCGGGTGCCAGCGCTGACAGGACAGGCTCTGTCCAAGCCTCAGGGCTTCTGTGACTGCAGCTGAGCCTCTGCCCCGAGCACCTGTCTCTCGTGATGCCCCTTTCCAGCAGGCACCAGGGCCAGGGCCTGCCTTCCTGCACAGTGCAGCCCCTTCCCACCATGGAAGACTCTGCAAGGGACACAGAAGATGTTGCTCTCCTGAGAGCTGTGGATGGATCCTTAGACTAGGACCTTGCTCATGCTTGTATTTTCATTTCTAAACGTTGAGGCTCAAAGCTGTTATTCAGTACAATTTGAAAATAAGCAAAGACGTCATTTTCTTAGCTGGCCCATGCCTGCTCTGCACCAAGTGATGGCAGGGGCAGGGACATTCCGACTGGATGTGTGAGAGGGCTGGGGTCCGGCTGGCCTCTCAGGCATCTTCCCCTGGGAACCATGCCGGCTTCTGTGCTTCCTTTCCTTTGGGAAGTCGTGCTCCTTTTTGAGAATTCTAGGGAAGGCAGTTCCTTCTGCTGGAGCCACTGGGGAATGCTGCATATGTCACAGAACCGTGTCAAGAACACGGGGCCCTGTGAAGGTGCACAACCTGTAGTTTCCTACTCTTATTACCTAAAAACACACATTGTTTGCTCATTTCTCTTGAAGACCAGACCTAACACTGAAGATCTTCCATCAGATTGGCCCCTATGCCTTCATCAGCCTCACTGCATAGTGTACCTGTTTATAGACTTTTTACGCTAACCAAGTAACTGATGAGTCCACATGAATTATGTGTTCCAGCCTCCTGCCTTTGCACACACCACTCTTTGCTGATCTTACTCCTCAGGATCTGAAAACTTTCCTCCAAGTAGCCATCCATGATTGACCTGTGGGGCTTCTAAGCTCTCCTTCCGTTCTATATTATTTGTATTATATTAATTTGTGTTCATCTTGGTTTATACATATTTTCTCCAGGGTTTCGTAGGTGGCACTGTCTCCCCTCTGCGGCTGTGAACACCTGGGAGGGGGCACTGTCCCACATGCTCCTTGCACCTTGCCAACCCCTTCACAGGGCCTAGTGCCCTGCTCAGAATCAGCTTGTGGAATTTGGCAGCCGACTGACTTAGAAAGTTAGGGCAGGTTTTGTTTCTGTTTCAGACAAAAAATAGCCTTGACGTCACCCCCATCCCTTTGGTGACTGTGACTGTGTCTGTCTCTTGATTCATGTTGCTGCTCTCCCTCTCCTCCTGCACCTGCCCCAGCAACTTCACTACCCCTCCTCTTCCATGCAGTCAGATTAGTGAGCATTTCTCCTGCCATGCCTCAGTGGAAAGAACATGCAGTATTATCCTGACAAAATGAAAACAAACCAGCTGTATGGTATTGGGTCAAGATTTACTATTAATACTATACCAATAGAAATGATCACTGGAAATGATATCACCAAATTCTCTACATCAGCAGTCTCCAGCCTTTTGGGCACCAGGGACTGGTTTCATGGAAGACAATTTTTCCATGGACAGGGAGGGGGTGGGGATGGTTTCAGGATGATTCAAGCACATTACGTTTATTGTACACTTTATTTCTGTTATTATTACATTGTACTATATAATGAAATAATTATGCAACTCACCATAATGTAGAATCAGTGGGAGCCCTGAGCTTGTTTTCCTGCAACTGGACAGTTTCATCTGGGGATGATGGGAGATAGTGACGGATCATCAGGCATTAGCTTTTCATAAGGAGCCACAACCTAGATCCTTTACATGCACAGTTTACAATAGGGTTCATGCTCCTATGAGAATCTGCTGCTGCTGCTGATCTGACAGGAGGCAAAGCTCAGGTGGTAACACAAGCAGTGGGGAGCAGCTGTAAATACAGATGAAGCTTCGCTCACTTGCCCACTGCTCACCTCCTGCAGTGCGGCCTGATTCCTAACAGGCCATGGACTGATACTGGTCGGTGGCCTGGGGGTTGGGAGCCCCTGCTCTGGATTCTAATATGTGAAAACAAGGTGTTGCAGTTTTATGGAGAAGGGAGAACTGGCTGTGTGGCAAAACATTGTTAGGTCCTCACCTAATATCATACACAAAAATAAGTTTCCTATGGATTAAAAAGTAAAAGCATAAATATACTGTTAAGAAATATGTATGATCATGTAACTGATCCCAAGACAATAATAGTAGTAATAATGGCAGCTGTATTAGGTATCAAATGCTGTGTAACAAACTATTCCAGAACATAGTGGCTTCTACCAGCAACTACTTACTCAGTGGGTGATTTGGGTTGGAAATTCAGGCTGGGCTTGGCTGGGTGGCTCTCTTTGCTGAGCTCATTCATGGTCGTGCATTGATGGCCTCACATGGTTAGTATGGCTTGCCTGTAAGCTGGGGCGGGCAGGGGTGATGGGCTGCATTGTCAGGATGGCTGCCTGTAAACTGGGGTGAGCAGGGGTGATGGGCTTTGTAGTCTCATCCCCCAGCAGGCTGGGCTTCTTCACATGGAGACAGCAGAGTTTCAGGAGTTGTAAGAGGCAGGCTCCTGTGTGTAGGTGACTTCACGTTTGCCACAGCTCCATTGGTCAGAGCAAATCACACAGTCAAGCTGAGCTACCCCAGGTGGAGACGGATTTCCTCTTTCCATGGGAGGACTGTCAACGTGTTAGGCCTTTTTTGTGTGATCTGCCACAGCCACTGTTCTAAGTGCTTTACGTGTATAATGCATTAGTAATCTCCTGCTGCATAGCAAATCACCCTTAAATGTAGCAGTTTACAGCAACGAATGTGTATTACTTCCCAGTTTTGTGGGCCAGGAATCTTGGCACAGCTTTGCAGGTTGCCTCTGGCTGAGGATCTCACTAAGTGTTGGCTGGAGCTGCGTCATCTCCAGGGACCACTGGGGAGTATCTACCTCCAAGCTCACTCCGTGGCTGTTCGCAGGCCCTGGCCCCTGCTGGCTGGACCTGCAGGGATCACATGTGAATGCCATTATAGGAGGTGGGGGGCATTGGGGCCATCTCTGAGGCTGTGTGCCACATACTAACTATATGGATTAAATGCATTCTCATTATCCTGCACGTTCAATCAAGGAAATTGAGGCAAAGAGAGGGTCACTGAGATAGTGAGTGGGGGAGCTGAGTCTGGATCCCAGGCTGAAGGGCCATGACACTCTACTTGCAATGGAAGTCATAATAAGGGGAAAGATTGATACAATTGACCACACATCCATTAGCATCCTGTGTGTGTCAAACAGCATCAACAGAATTGGTAAATCAGGACATACGCTGTCCACCTGCCAATCCATCCCTATTATACTAAAAGCAGTCATAAATCAATAAGAAAACATTAACATCAAATGGAAAAAATCTGCAGTGGACTCTAGTTGGCAAGTCACTGAAGAAAAATAAAAGGCAAATAGAAAAGTACCAAACCTCACAAGTAATCAGAGAAATGCAAATTTAAAAAATTCTTTTTTGTTTTTGGGTCCACCAAACTGGTGCAGTCTCATAATTATTCTCAGTATGGGTGAGTGCTGGAGGATGAATACTCTCATACTCCAGTGGAGGAAATGTCAAGTGATGGAACCTTCTGGAAAAGAAGTGTTTGTGACCTTTGACTCAATCATCCTCTTTCTAAGGGTTTATATTAAAATCGGAGATGTCAGTATCATTTGTATGTAAAGAGACTCACTGAAGCTTTACTTATCATAGTTGAAAATTGGATGCAGCTTGAATATCTTAATAATAGCAGGGTGGTTATACTATGTCATTCCCAGATTCTGTGGCCATTAAAACCGTGCTTTCAAAGAATATTCAGTGGCCTGGAGAAGGTCTCATGTTATTTTAAATGAACACAGCAAGATTCCTGCTATACAGTAGGATTCCAATTTTGTACAATGTGCATGTACAAAAAAAAAGTCTGATTGGAAACACATCAAAATATTAGCAGCAGTGGTTATTTCCTGGTGGTGATATACGTTATTTCTTTTCTTCTTTTCTGTGTGTTCTCCACTTCCTTCCTTGAGGATGTATTATTGAGATAATTGGACAAGAAATCAACAGGAAGTGTGCAGCCCAGCCCAGGGCACTCTGGCCGGTGGGGGTGTCTATGCTCTGTATTTGCTGGGGCAAAGCTAGCAGGTCCTCCCCAGGCCTTCTGTGCAGACCTCTGCGAAGAATCCTGCTCAGCAGTAGATATTTATTGTATTTTAATATCAGGGCCAAAAGCTACAGTTCACTTTTCAGTTAAGTAAATGTGTGCTTTTCATCCCTGGGTTAGTACACTGCTTGTGAGGCACAGTCCTCCTCCCCTCCGCCACTTCCAGGACAGGGCTGTGAAATTGTCCTGCCGTGCCTTGCAGCACCGTGATCACTGCACCACAGTAACAGTCCTACCGGCCTCTGAGGCTTAAGTGCAGATTCTTAAGAAGTTATTACATTCTCTCCCCCTGCACCGGGGTGTTCAGTGAAGGCCGGTGACTGTGGTGTGGCATTGGCAGGCCACTAAACAGCCGGGAAATTTCTGATCTCCTTTTTTATTGTGATAGAAGACTATTTGTGGTCAGTTGCCTCGAGGTGATTTTAGAAAGGGCAGGAAGCAGGGAGGCATTTCCTTTCATGTTTGCTCGTTACTTGGCTCTGCCTCCTCCGGTTTAATTTCCTCTCGGCCTCTCTCAGCTTTTCCACTCATTTCTGCCTGCTTGTCCTGCATCCCCTGCCGCTCAGCCGGCCTGACCAGGTCTCCTGAGGCCTTCTTTCTCTTCCTCCTGCCCCTCCACTGGGATATGGCTGCTCTTTACTCCCCCCAACCCCCCACCCTCTGCTTTTGGGTTTTGCTTTAAGTGTTATGTTGAGACACCAGTTAAATATATTCCTTCAGATATGAGAAATGCATTCTGTATTTTAAAGATGAGAGAGCTCCCAGTAGCAGAAAAGACGTGGATTTGGGCAGCATGCTTGCAGAAGCATCTCTGGAGCCTGGAGCGCAGACTCACACCTACCCTGTGACGCTAAAGGATTCCCGTCTGTTCTTCTTAAGAATCTGCACTTAGGACTCAGAGGCAGGTAGGACTGTGACTGTGGTGTGGTATAATTGTCTCTGATAGGCCAGATACTACCAAGAAAACAGAAGCAGATGAAACAGCCAAGCAGCCCGTGTTCTGCTTATTCGCCACATCACATTAGTTGAGCCCCATTCCATACCATGTGGCATGAGGCCTCCTTCCTGGTGTTTCAGAGGCTTCTGGGAGCTGACGAGGGTGAAGGGCTATGGCTTCCCTTCTCTGGTTACTGCTTGCCCCAAATCCCTGCTCTCTCAGGATTCCCAATATCCACTTCCCCTCTTGCCTGCTCTGGGATGGGGAATGGGAGATGGGGGTGGGTGAGGGGCTGTCAGCACCAGGTGCCAGTGCTGCTGAGAAAGCAGATGGTTGTGGGTAACACTAGAGGCCACTCATCATTTGTGCCTTAGTGTCAATAAAGTGTGTGTTAAACATTTCTGGGTTTGGCTTAGGGAATTAATTGAGAGTTGTCTATATAGAAAAGTGTGTAAAATGTGGCTTAGAAAACATGCATTTTAAATGAGTAAAAGTTAACAATATAAAAAGGCATTTGATGGTCTAGAACATTTTTTTCAGGAAAAAGGTTTTAAAACCCTTTAGTGAATACACATTTACTTAACTGAAAAGCGAACTGTAGCTTTTGGCCCTGATATTAAAATACAATAAATATCTACTGCTGAGCAGGATTCTTCGCAGAGGTCTGCACAGAAGGCCTGGGGAGGACCCTCTGGCTTTGCCCCGAGCGTTGCCTCCAAGCTAGGCTTGCCAGTGAGCAGGACTTGCAGGGGGGTGGGGCCCCTAAGGTCACTGGGATGAGCAGGACAGTGGCTGTGATAGGAGTGGTGGCCCCTCGAGGGAGCCCTGCAAGGTTCCGGTGGGGAGGGGGCTTCGCTGCCTGCAGTCTTAATTCCTCACTGATAGTGAAGACCCTCCCGTGGTGGGCAGAGGGGAGCTGCTGGGCTGTTCTTGAACCATCCTTTCATGCATTTCAGTCACGCCCCGAGTCATCCACAGCTGCCCTGACCTCTGCCTGCTCTCTGTGTCCCTGTATGGACTTGCCTGACTTGTGACTGGCCCCTCTCAGCCCCTCGCGCCCCCGACATGAGCTCTCTGTGACAGTGGTCTGGGAGTGCCTTTTCTCTGTGGGGTCGGTGTGCTGTGTCTGCAGATGCTCAGCTGAGCCACCTGCTGGCCTGGTCCTGCAGACTCCTGTGGGAGAGGCGAGAAGGGGTGGGGAAGGATGTGGAGAAGTCCAGGGTACCTAACAGGCGAGAGGCGAGGGCCGAGGGCCGAGGGCCGGCCAGAGAGCTGCCACCCCCCATCATCAGCGAAGGACCAGGGAGACCGGGGCACTCTTTCTAGACCCCATAGGGATTGGGGTGGGGCCACCAGAGGCTCAGTGGGAACAACTGCAGGGAGTGGACAGTTACTCTTACTTATTTGGAGCTGTTAACACTTCTTTTTTTTTAACCTTTATTTTAGGTTCAGTGCAGGTTTGTTATACAGGTAAATTCGTGACTTGGGGGTTTGGTGTACAGATTATTTCCTCACCTGAGTACTAAGCATAGTACCCAACAGTTTTTTTTTTTCCTGAATCTCTCTCTCCTCCCACCCTCTTCTCTCAAGTAGGCCCCAGAGTCTGTTGTTCCCCTCTTTCTGTCCATGTGTACTCATTGTTTAGCTCCCGCTTTTAAGTGAGAACATGCAGTATTTGGTTTTCTGTTCCTGCATTAATTTGCTAAGGATAATGGCCATCTATGTTCCTTTGCAGGAACATCATTCTTTTTAATGGCCGCATCATATTCCATGATGTATATGTACCACATTTTCTTTACCCAGTCTACCATTGATGGGCATTTAGGTTGATTCAGTGTCTTTGCTATTGTGAATAGTGTTGCAGAGAGCATATGCATGCATGTGTCTTTATGATAGAATGATTTATATTCCTTTGGGTTTATCCTCAGTACTAGGATTGCTGGGCTGAATGGTAATTCTGTTTTTAGCTCTTTGAGGAATTGCCACACTGCTTTCCACAATGATTGAACTAATTTACACCCCCACCTGCAAAGCAAGCAGTGGGGAAAGGGCTCCCTATTCAATAAATGGTGCCGGGATAGCTGGCTAACCATAGGCAGAAGACTGAAACTGGGCCCGTTCCCTTCACCATATACAAAAATCAACTGAAGATGGATTAAGGACTAAAATGTAAAAACCCAAAACTATAAAAACCCTGGAAGATAACCCAGGAAATACCATTTTGGACATGGAAACTGGCAAAGATTTCATGACAACACCACCAAAAGCAAAAATTGACAAATGGTACATAATTAAGGAGCTTCTGCACAGAAAAGAAACTATCAATAGAGAAAACAGGCAGCCTACAGGATGGGAGAAAATATTTGCAAACTATGCATCTGACAAAGGTCCAATATTCAGAATCTACAAGGAACTTAAACAAATGTACAAGCAAAAAACTAAGAAACTCATTAAAAAGTGGGCAAAGGACATGAACAGACACTTTTCCAAAGACATACGTGCAGTCAACAAGCCTATGAAAAAATGCTCAATATCACTTATCATTAGAGAAATGCAAATCAAAAGCACAATGAAATACCATATCACACCAGTCAGAATGGCTTCTATTAAAAAGTCAAAAAACAACAGGTACCGGTGAGTTTGTAGAGGAAAGGGACTGCTTAAACACTTCTTAATACAAGTAAATATTAGGATTTCCCAATTTCACCATAATGTGAATGTGTATTTAAAAGATAGAGAATTATAGTACTCTACAAAATGTTTGTCTAATTAAAACCATGAAGTGGACCTTTGAGGATGAGAAAAATAAAGTCTTGAGTCTTAAGCTGCCACATTGTTCTGTTAACAAGTTTGGTGTAATTTTGTTGTAACAAACTTCTATTTTCTTCTTTAATATTAAAGTTTTTGTCTTGTTCATCTTACTCTGCTTATTCTTCTGTGCTTCAGAGTGGTTCTTTAGTGTGACTAACATGTTGGTTATTTATTCTGCTGAGGTTTTTGTCCTATAAAGGACATAAAGGGTGATCATTCACATTCATCACATTCCGAAAGCAGAGAAGGGTAGGTATTTGTGCCTGCACTTCACCTGCCAAGCTCCTTCTTCTTCCTGTCCCTGTCTTTCTATCCAGTCAGTGATCAAGCCTTCATCTTCCACCTCCCTGGGCCTCCCCAAGCTGACCCCTGTCAGCACCATGGCCAGCACCTCAGCTCAAACACATCGTTTCATGGAGGTTGTCCTGTCCCTGGTTGCTTCTTTCTCTGAGCTTCTCCTAGTTTGGATGTCACACCTGCCTTCAGATGTCTCTTTATGCTGCCTTGCCTCCTTTGAGCTTGGCAGCTTCACAGAGACCCCTCTGTTCTCATTAGGTCAGTTTCCCTGATTAAGGGAAAAGCTGAGTCTGGCAATTAAGCTTTAAATGTCCACTACTCTTTCTTTCTCATTCAGACCATTCTTCAGTGATCGCAACATTCTCTCTTAACTCTTTTGAGCCATTTCATGTAGATGCAGTAACAGTGTTTGTTTCTAAGGAAGGAGGTGCTCCATCCCAGGCTGGAGACCTTCAGGCCAGGGGTTGGGAAGAGACCCCTGGTTGGAGCTGCAGGTGAAATGTGTTCTTGGAATCAGGCTCCTAGACCCAGGGGCTCCAAGACCCAGATTTCATTTGTATCTTTTATACTTTCAGATTGATTTTTCAAAACTAATTTAAAATAATACAAGATATTTAGAAAACAGGATGGAAAAAGCTGGATTAAATTTGATTCACCTGGTTGAGCAATCTAATTTCCATCTCTACCGATGTGATGTGATATTTATCATATGGAAGAGTTTTCAAAAGCTCTTGCATGTGAACTGTATTATTATTGATTTGAAAAATTTAGCCTCTGCATTATTGGTTCGTCTCGATTTGTTCTTGAAACAAACCTTGTGGTCAGTTGATGGTTTCTCTGCCTCACAGTAAGTATGACACTTAGTTTCATAGGTTAGTGTCAACATTCAGTACTAGGACACTGTAGAAAACAGTCGCTTAAGTGCATTTAGGGTACAGTACAGTGAGGGCTTTATGACCTGGGCATGGTTTTAAGCAACAGGCAGTCAGAGCTGTCCTGGGTACTCATCCTGACGTTCTGGAAGTAGGTGAATTCCAGTTATGAAGATACTTGTATCAGGACTGAATGTTTGGGAGATATCTGCCAGGGAGATTCTTGAAGGTCAGTGGTGTGTCTTCGTTTTAAATCCACAGAATCCCATCATAGGTGAAGCACTGGAGCCCAT
Organism: Homo sapiens; assembly: GCF_000001405.40. NCBI lineage: Eukaryota > Metazoa > Chordata > Mammalia > Primates > Hominidae > Homo > Homo sapiens. The sequence goes on along the minus strand of NC_000015.10, from coordinate 29,448,264 downwards.
TGAGGCTCCCTCCCCGAGGTGCTGTTGTAGGAGGGCTTGTGTCAACGGAGAATGGTGACCCACCTATAGGCCACTGTTTTTCAAGATGCTCACCTGGTAGCATTAATTAGAAAGGAGAAAGATCTTGTTGGGCTTATTAAGTTCAAAAAAATTTAAATAATTGGAAATTGCTTAAGCCCTTTTTTTTTTGAGACAGAGAGTCTCGCTCCATCACCCAGGCTAGAGTGCAGTGCTAGAGTGCACTCAATCCCGCTCACTGCAGCCTCCACGTCCCGGGTTCAAGTGATTCTCCTGCCTTAGCCTCCCAAGTAGGTGGGATTACAGGCACTTGCCACCACGCCCAGCTAATTTTTTTTGTATTTTTAGCAGAGACGGAGTTTCACCATGTTGGCCAGGCTGGTCTTGAACTCCTGACCTCAGGTAATCCACCTGCCTTGGCCTCCCAAAGTGCTGGGATTACAGGGGTGAGCCACCACGCCCGGCCAAGCCCATTTTTTAAAGTAAATTTAAAAATATTCAAAGCCAGGTGGGAAGGTCACTTGTGCCCAGGAGTTCGAGACCAGCTTGGGCAACATGGCGAGACCCCCATCTCTACGAAAAAAAAAAAAAAATCAGCCAGGTCTGGTGGCATGCACCTGTAGTCCCAGTGGCATGCACCTGTAGTCCCAGCTACTCAGGAGGCTGAGGTGGGAGGATGGCTTAAGCCCAGAGGTTGAAGCTGCAGTGAGCTGCGATTGTGCCACTGCACTCCAGCCTGGGCAACAGAGTGAGACCCTGTCTCAAAGAAAATAAAAAAATTCAACCTTTTGCATGGGATGTGAAGGACTAGCCCAGTCAGACACACAGGAGCTGGGAAGCAGCCTCAGCCTGGCGAAGACTGTGCTATGCAGAGCTCCCTGTACTCTGTTTTTTATGAGTAAAGGCATGCCCACTGATCAGCAGAGGTGGTAGAAGGGGCCTGTTCTCATCTAATCCCAGAATGACTTCTTTTCTCCATGGAAATCTTAGCATTCTTGATTCATTGTGCTTTAAAGGTTGGACTTTCTTTTTTGATTTATTGGATTACAGTCCCAATTTTTAATATTCAATTAAAATATTTTAATTAAAAATTATTTGATTTGTGTTTTAAATAACAAAAGGAATTTGCTTGCTGTAAGAATTTGTGGTTGGCTGAATAGTGACCCCCCTCCACAAAGATGTCCATGCCTTAATCCCTGGAACATGTTAGGTTATGTGGTAAAGGGGAATTAAGGTTGTGGATGGAATTAAGATTGCTGGTCAGTTGACCTCGAAAAGGGATGTAATCCTGGATTATCTGGGTGAGAGAAAGTCCCATAAGTGGAAGAGGGAGGCAGAAGAGGAGAATCAGAAGGAGGTGTGACTGCAGAAGAATGGCTCAAGAGATACCATGCTCCTGGCTCTGGAAGTCAGGAATGGAGGAAGGTGGCTGACAACCAAGGAATGTGGGTCACCTCTAGGAGTGGGAAAAGGCAGGATAATGGATTCAGCCCTAGAGTCTCCACAGGGAGACCTGTTTGGGACTTCTAACCTACAGAAATGCAAGATCATAAATTTGTGTTGCTTTAAGCTGCTGACTTTGAGGTAATTTGTTGTGGCAGCCATACAAAACTAATGCACAGGTGAAACAGTATACACGTATATCAAGAAAAAGCCATGATCTCACTCCCCACCCCATGGTGCCACTGGGGACCGAGGCTCCTCCTCCTTTCTGCTGGCCAACTTTGGCATGTTGGCTTTGCTCTGTGCGTATTGTCTCAGGATTACTGCAGGGCTTCTATTTCTCCAAGTAGCGTGTCTGTCTTCCAGGCAGCAAGAATTGGAAACAGAAACGTGGGGAACCTGTTCCAGGAAAAAAAAACCTTCCAAGAACCACCTAGCAGACTTCCCCCCTCACCTCTTTAGTCTGAATTGGGTCACATGGCCACTCCTAAGCCAGTGTGGTCTGGGAAAGGAGTGTTAGTTGGTGTCTTAGTCCGTGTGGGGTTGCTATAACAAAATGCCTTAGAGTCGGTAGCTTAAAAACAACAGGCATTTATTGCTCACAGTTCTGGAGCCAGAAGTCCAAGATCAAGGTGCTGGCAGATTCAGTGTCTGAGGAAGGCCTGCTTCCTTCTGCATCATGCCTTCTTGCTGTGTCCTCACTTGGTGGAAGGGGCGAACTAGCTCTCTTCGGCCTCTTAATTTATAAGGGCACTGTTCGAGATATAGAAAAACACAGTTTTTCCAGCCCTCACTCTCAATAATTTAGAATGCTTCTCTGGTCGCCCAGATGTGTGTGGGATGTTTTCCCATACAGCAAGCAATTCTCCAGCAGACATCAGCTGGGTGTCCTCTAAGTCAGTTCAGTCCTGACACTGTCTGCCTGGAATTCGCATCAGATCCCACAGGTTGAGGGCTCAGATGCTTCCACTCTAGATGGCAGTTGCAAATCCCAGGTTGTGATCTGTACCTCTGACTGATGGTCTATAAATTGGGGTTCTCACAACTCCCTTCTCCAGGAGTGGGATGGCTGGCATGGCTCAAGAACTCAGGGAAACATTCTTGCTTACATTTACCCAATTATTATAAAGGATATTACAAAGGATACAGATGAACAGCCAGATGGAGGAGATGCACAGGGTAACCTCTTATTTGTGGAAAGGGGTGTGGAGCTTTCTCTGGGCGCCACCCTCCAGGAACCTCCATGTGCTCAGCAACTGGAAGCTCTCCAAATCCAGTTATTTTAGGTTTTTATGGAGGCATCATTGCATAGCTTGATTGATTACATCATTGGTTGTTGGGTGATTAACTCAACCTTTGGCCCCTCTTCCCTTCCCTAAGGTGAGGGGTGGTGGTGGGATTGTGGGCCTGAAAGTTCCAACGCTCTAATCACAGGGTTGGTTCACTTGGCAATCAGCCCCCATCCTGAGGCTGTCCAGAAGCCCCTCACTACCACTCATCTTATTAGCACACAAAAAGACACATCACCTTGGAGATTCCAAGTGTTAGGAGCTGCATGCCAGGAAACAAGAAGAGCAGATATATATTTCTTCTTGTAAATCCCAGTATCTCGCACTAATTCCATTCATGAGGGCTCCACCGTCATCACCAAATCACCTCCAAAAGCTCCACCTCCTAATACAATCACATTGGGTGTTAGGATTTCAACATAGGAATTTTGGGGGGACCCAAACATTTAGACCATAGCAGTTGGGCACATTGCCACCCCAACACATCTGCTATTCTATGAGGAAGCAAGGTGTCAGTATTGGGCTGGCAGCCCTGTTTCTTTTAGTCTTTGTCCACAGTCTGATACATCCATCCTTAAACCTTATTGGTACCTGCACTTCCTCCCTTTTCTAGAGCCAGGGTCTCAGCCTGAGTGGCCGTGGACCGCCTGCCAGTGCCCCCCTCCAGGGACTGTGGAGCCTCTCTAGCCATCTTCATCTCAGGGCTTGTCCAGTAGACCACGCATTTGTGAAAGGAAAATGAAATCTGCCGGCCAGGTGTGATGGCTCACACCTGTAATCCCAGCACTTTGGGAGGCCGAGGTGGGCGGATCACAAGGTCAGGAGTTCGAGACCAGCCTGGCCAATATGGTGAAACCCCGTCTCTACTAAAAATACAAAAATTAGCCAGGCATGGTGGTGGGCGCCTGTAGTGCCAGGTATTCGGGAGGCTGAGGCAGGAGAATCGCTTGAACCTGGGAGTCGGAGTTTGCAGTGAGCTGAGATCAAGCCACTGCACTCCAGCTTGGGTGACAGAAAAGAAAAAAAAAAAGAAAAAAAAGAAAAAAAGAAAAAAAAGAAGGAAGCTGTGGACCCCAGACTCACTATGCCAAAGGGAAAGTTAAGCTTGAGAACTGAGTCATGCAAAAAACCACTTTCCTTTTTATCCCGCACCCCGCAACGGATAGCCGTGATTTCACATGCTTGCTTATATAAAATGTAGATTTGCTGAGCCTGAGAAGAATGCATACTTGGCTTTTCCCCTATCCCCTTCTTTTCTCTTTCTCTTTCTTTCTTTCTTTCTTTCTTTCTTTCTTTCTTTCTTTCTTTCTTTCTTTCTTTCTTTCTTTCTTTCTTTCTTTCTTTGTCTGTCTTTCTTTCTGTCTGTCTTTCTTTCTGTCTGTCTTTCTTTCTGTCTGTCTTTCTTTCTTTTTGAGACGGAGTCTTGCTCTGTCGCCCAGGCGGAGTGCAGTGGCGCGATCTCGGCTCACTGCAAGCTCCACCTCCCAGGTTCACGCCATTCTCCTGCCTCAGCCTCCTGAGTAGCTGGGACTACAGGCGCCCACCATCACGCCTGGCTAATGTTTTCTATTTTTAGTAGAGATGGGGTTTCACCATGTTAGCCAGGATGGTCTCGATCTCCTGACCTTGTGATCCACCCGCCTCCCCCTCCCAAAGTGCTGGGATTACAGGTGTGAGCCACCGCGCCCGGCCCCTTCTTTTTATATGTAAGATGCAGATTCACTGAATGCCAATCAAAGCCTCCGAGGATGTAACCACTTGCCTCATGGGCACCCCTCTCTCCTTTTCCCCTCCTGCTTGCTCTTTCTCAGACCCCTCTTTGGAGAAAAGCCCAGGCCGCAGACCCTACTGTAACTTGTGTTTCTTTTGCTTGGGTACATCCCAACCTTGGCAAAATAAACCTCTAAAGGATTGAGCTCTGCCTCGGACACTTCTTGGGGCACACCCTCATGCTCACTTATCCAGCCCCCAGTGGGCGAGAAACACCCACCAGACCCGTGGGCCCCATGGGATGTTCAGTGTCATGGTTTCCTGGTGGGCTAGTGTATAATTACTTAATCCTGCTCCTTGGCTATTTCCTAATGTACTCATCCCCAAGGTAGGGCCTCTTCCCTGGATTTCTGGTGTTTTGGAACGCCGGGCATCTTTGGATGTCAGCACAGGGAGAGGTTCCTGGGCTTTGGAGGGTCTGGTAGGAACCTTGTCTTCCCACTGCATAAGGTGGGTGGGGAATGTTGGAAGGATTCCAATGACAGTGGTGCTGTAGGGCCCCTCCTTTTGGCTTTTACATGTGGGACAAGGAGGCTGGTGAGCAACTTCCACTGAAGAGTGACCACAGGAGTGGTGACAAATGTAGAGGCCAAGGGCCAGAACCTTTAGAAACCTGTTGCTCTGTTCCAGCAAGAGGTACCTGAGGACCTCACAGGTGCCGATCATAAATCTGCACTGTATCTCAGCATGAAAACATGCGGCTTCCCTCCTTCGCAGAGACGCTGTCTTTGGTTTGAAAGGGCTGGGACAGAGAGAGGATTGGTCCCTGCCCCTGGTTTCTGTCCAGTGAGGACTGAGGCTGTGCCCTGACAGTGCTGTTTTGGGAGCAGGCACCTCTGGGGGCTCTAAGGGAGGCTTTGTTATGTGAACAGATCAAGTGTGTGGTTTTAATTGGGGAGGGTAAAGTATGGATAGTGAGCAGTGCCAGCATTGCTGACAAGTGCAAACAGCCTTTTCATCTTCTGTTTTTCCCATTTTAAGAGGCCCCGAGAGCCCCATCGCTGAGGCTGACTTTCCAGGTCGGGGGGCACGGGGACCCTCCATATTATTGATGTGCCCTCCAATCAGGCCACTGGAGCCTCTTTGGCCAGGTGGGCTCTCGAGGGAATGAGAGGAAGTGACAGCATGCCCTGATTTGGGGCTGTGTGTGCCCTGATGGGGGCTTCCCTGGAACATGTGTTTTCCTGATGATTGGGACAAGTTGCAGAACAGAACTGGTTCTCGGCAGAGTACTCTGCCCACAGAGTTCCCCCTCTTTGATATGAAAAATAAAACGTGATTTCTCCAAGAATAAAAATTAGAATCAGGGTTGTGTTCCCTTTTTACACTCCTTAGAGCCTCTGATCATTTCCAGCCAAGGAGCATGCGGCTGTGTTTCCCAAAGATAGTTGCACACGGTCTTCCCAAGTCAGAGTAGCTTGCTGGAGGCACAACCCAGTCTTTACCCAGATGGCGATGGGGTGGTTCGAATAGTTGGTTTGGAAAATGATCTCCACTCTGACCCCATACCAGTTTTTATAACGCTTATCTGATTTTGAACATACTCTGTTCCTGGTGCTTCCTACCCATCTATTAACAAGGGGTCCGTGCTGGGAGGGTCACTGTGTGCAAACGCTTCCATTAGGAATCCCAGTGAGGAGGCTTTTCCTTTCCCTTGGTGCTTCAGGGGGACAACAGCAACAGAGGTTATAAAACAAGGAGCATAGATGCTGGAGAGGAATTGGGAGGGAGGGATGGAGAGAGAACTGGGTTGGTATTGGCTGTCCTGACTTTGAGAGGCTCATGGGAAATGTTGGGTGGACACATGGGTGTGGTGTCTGGAGCTCAGCAGATGGGCCTGGACTGGAAAGGAAGACTCAGAGCCATCACCACAGAGATGGCGGTGAGCTATGAAAGTGCGTGAGCTCACCTGGGCAGATGAGGAGGGACAGAACCCCAAGGACTCCACCATATGACAATGCCAGCAAAGAAACCAAGAAAAAACTGGTGATGGTGTAGATGGAGTCAGGAAGCAATACAGGGCAATTTGGGGGGATTATATGGGATGATGCATGTAAATACTTGTGTAATTTCTGATAATGGTAGTAGATGTTCAGTAAGTGGAATTAAAAAAATATCGTCTATATGCATATATGTACATAAATGCACACCCAGTATAATTCATAACGTATATTCTCACACACACACACGTGCGCATAACTGTCCCTCAACAATTGCAGAACGAGAGCTGGGGAGCAGCGGGCTTAATGCTGTAGAAGTTGGTTAGCAGTGTCAAATGCCATGGAGTTCTGAGAATGGGTGATGGGATTGGGCATTTGGGGGATTATTAGTCACCTTCGTATGACTACCACCATCCATCCACAGAACGCTTTTCATCTTCCCCAACTGAAACTCTGTATCCAGTCACCATTCAACACGAATTCCACATTCCCTCCTCTCCCCAGGCTCTGGCAACCACCACTCTACTTCCTGTCTCTAAGAATTTGACTACCGTAGGTACCTCACAGAAGTGGAGTCACACATATTTGTCCTTTTGTGATCGGCTTATTTTGCTCAGCACAGTGTCCTCAGGGTCCATCCATGTTGTGGCATGTGTCTGAATTTCCTTTCAAGGCTGAATAACACTCCATTGTGTGGATGGACTCCATTTTATCAATGCACGCATTTGTGGATGGACACTTGGTTTGCCTCCACCTTTTCACTATTGTGAGTAATGCTGCCGTGAACATGGGGGTACACATGCCTCTCCCTTCTTTTGTTCTTTTGGGTATATACCCAGAAGTGGAATTGCTGGATCATATGGTCATTCTGTGTTTAATGTTTTGAGGAACTGAGGAACGTTCTTTTTTGGGATGGGGAGACAGTGTGGCTGTGTTTGCTCATGGGTGGGAGGACTGAGTAGAGACAGAGTGGAGGCAGGGGAGGGGATAACCCCTGGAGCGGGCCCTGGAGGAGCCAGTGGTGCTGGGATTCAGGAAAAGGAGGGAGAGCGATGATGGCAGCCCTGAGGCAGAGGATGGTGACAGTGGAAGAGGCAGGGAGGCCCCTTGTCATCCTGGGCCCAGCCGACCCTGTGGTGAGAGGCAGGACGGGAACCACAGGTGAATTGAGTATGATTGAGGAACAGGAACACACAGAATGGCAGCTGAGCTAACGTTGGAAACTGGATATTTGTGGTGACATTAATTGCGGTTTTCTCCAGTAAGATGTGGAAACCTGGGAGTAACCATTTTCTTCATGCTAATGTTGGAAACGAGTGAGGGTTGTAATTTTATAGGTGAAAAGTTAACTCAAGTCTACTGCAGAAAATTTTATGATCAATGCATACTATTCTATGATATGCAGAATAAAAAATATTTCCCCACATGTAGGATGATGCAAAAATGATGTGCTTTGGCTGGTATCTGGCATTAGAACAGGAAAAGGAAGTGAGGGGACTCCTGTATTAATCATTTAACACAGAAGCGGGGAGTTGCTCAAAAATCAGCATCTCATGTAACCATCATACATTTGTCAAAACTAAAAATAACTAAACTACAGACTTTTTTGGGATTTCACCAATTTTTCTACTAATGGTCTTTTTATCCAGGGTACCATGTTTCATTTAATCATCATATCTCTTGAATCTCCTCTAATCTCAGTTTCTCAGTCTTTCCTTGTTTTTCATGACCTTGACACTTTGAAGTATATGGATCAGGTATTTTGTAGAATATCCCTCAATTTGGGTTTGTCTGATGCTTTCTCATTGTTAGACTGGAGTTACGAATATGAGGAAGACCACCACAGAGGTAAGGTACCCCCCTCATCACATCATATCATGATGTCAACATGTGACTTACTACTGGTGAGTTAACCTTGATCACCTGGCCAAGCTGGTGTCTGCCAGATGTCTCCTCTGTGAAGTCACCATCTTTCCCCTCCCTTACTCCTTGTTAGAAGCCAGTCACTAAGTTCAGCCCACACTCAAGAGGAGGAGGATTAAGCTTTGCCTCCTGGGGGAGAGCGTGTCAAAGAATTAGTGGACGTGAGTTAAAGCCATAGTGATTAATAAATATTCTGGGGGAGATACTTCCAGGCCTTGCAAATGTCCTGTTTCTTCTTAAAATTTCAAGCACTGATGTTAGCATTCTAGAGTGGATCTGGGCCCAGCAGCAATCACCCTGGTGTTCTGGGGGTGACTTTCTGTTTCCCTCCTTTGTTTTTCACATTTCTGATTTGGAATTCTTTTTTAAGGAAAATTGGTCTCTTCCTCCATTGTTAATTTAGTCATTGTGACATTAATATGGACTCCTGTCTATTTATTTTGGCCTTTAGGTTGTAATTCAATAGTGTGGGTATTTATTTTGTTGCTCAAGTTATTTGACCTTTGGCCATTTGGCTCCTGCTTCATCTTCTCCCACCCTCTACTGTTTGTGTGTGTGTGTGTGTGTGTGTGTGTGTGTGTGTGTGTGTGTGTGTGTAATTCCAATTTTCTAGCACTATAAGATGCTCCTGGTTCATCTTACATTCTGATGCTTTCCCTGCCCCTACCATCAGCTGCTTATGTGTTTCTCCTTTTATCAGAGAATGTCCTCCCATAGCTCAGAGTGATTGGATCGTCTGAAGCCTTGGTATTAGAAAACCAGGGTGCTAGTTGAGCTCCTTACTATTGGGTATCATTGCTTCTATGCTCTATTAGGGGACAGAACTAGGAAATATATGTATTGCCAGTTCTCATCATTTGCAGCAGTTTTGTTTTATGAAGTCATCATGGATACTCAGTTAGTGAATACTGAGCCATTGCCTTCAGGGGAAATACACATGTACATGGTTAAGTTCCTGTTGCCTCTGGCCTCATTTTCCTCAACTGGTTAGTACATAACCTTGTTTCATGTGTGTTTCTGTTTAACCTGTTTGACCTGTTCCTCTGTCTCATGGCATGCATTTCAGTCCTGCAATTCTATCTTCCCTTACGGGTGTTAACAAAAGACCAGTGAGATCTGCGGAGGCAAAAGGATAACTTTATTTTCTAAAAGCAATCTGAAGATTGGGAGAGACAGCCTTCAGCAAAAAACAAAAATGTACTCCAAGGAGAGACTGGGGATAGAAGGTCATAAAGGTGCAAACCACAGGATAGCTGGGGATTCAGGTACAGGGGCCGGGTTGGATGGTCTTTAAGGAGGACATCACAAGTCTGTCTTCATGGGCTGGCCTCAGGGGGTCTCTGGGTGGTCAGCTGCGGCATTTCCAGCTACACTCTATTTCAGCACTGACAACAGGAACTGGTTTGACTGGATGGTAGAAAGGGAGGTCCTGTGACACTTTTACAATATATTTCTGAGAACACAGAGAACATGACCTTTTCCTCACCCAACTATGGCCACCTGGCTCTGCTTTCGTTTTGCACACGTCAGTTAGCCACGGGGAGTCCATTTTGACTGTCCACTGAGGACATACTTTAACACTGGGGAGGCTGCATCTGTGATCTTTGTAAAGCGGTCATTTGTGGAGGCCTGCTATGTGTTGGGGACAGTGCAAGGCACTTCCCCTTCATTATTTCTGTGATCTCCATCCCAGTCTCAGAACTGTGGATCATCTTTCCTTTTTTGAAGATACAGACACCAAGCTCAGCTTGTGATGTGTAGGTCTACACAGCTGCCCAGGGCCGGAGGCAGGATGCGGATCCAGGTCTCTTGTGTTCAAGGCTGGAGCTGCTGAGTTTGACTGTCCAGGTGGGGTCCTGGCAGCCATATTTTTAACTTACTGAGTAGCTGATACATTGGCTTTTAAAATTTGTGTTGAATTCTTTTGACTTGCCCTCCTTGTTTGTAATTAAGTAACTGACATTCCTGAATACCACGGTCAGGTTGAAGATGAAGCCAAACTGTGATGGTCATTTTCAGAATTGATGTTTAGGACTGGATGGGAGCGTGGGTTCTCTGCCATTCAGGAGGACACCACTTTTTTCACTAAAATCCAAGTTCTGATTGGAGCTGTCTTACTTGAAAATGTTCTGGGAATTCATGTCCTTGCTGGATTACCAAGGGGATTTGCATTTACTTTGGAAATTCAAGCACATTTTATCCAACCTACAGGCACTAATGAAAAGCTAATGAACTGCTGAGACACTGTTTCAAATAAATGATTACAATCGACAAGAGAAGTACAAACATGACCCTGATGAAGGATAATCAAGAGCCAGGGGAAAGGGGTGATTTTATTAATTATCCAACCTCTCAGTCTAGTTTCAGAATGGTGAATAAGAATAGAAGTTGGAGATGCAATATTATATGAAGTGTTCTGTTACTTTTAAAACAGGCCAATTAATAGAAGACAGTGTTTTTAGGATCATCTTGAGCATGGTTACTGATCTCCTCTTAGAATCTAAATATCAGCTTATTTTAGTAATTTAGACGTTTACTTTTTAAATTTTTACATTTTATAGCTAGTTGCAACAATATTGCAGTTATGTTTTTTTTCTTTAAATGTGAGCCTTTGGCTTATGTACTTGATAGGGAAAGCTTTATAGTCCATTGTAGACTTTAGGCTTTAAGAAATCATTGTTTACTGGAAAAAGCCATCATTTCTTTTCAATGACCTGATTCTTCCCTGGCCTTTTGCACTAGTGGGAGATGTTCGGAAGGGATAGGAAAAGTCAGGGACAGCTTCATGGACTTTGGTTTCGGATAACTAATGAAGTGGAATGTAACGTCTAAAAGACAATTTAAGATTGAAGCAGGAAGTTGTATTGTCATTTTTGTTTGGCCCCCACCTCCTGTCCATTTGATCTTTTTGGGCCTTCTGAGTTCTTGGACAGGAGGTTAGGGGTCAGCATGGAAAACAAAGTAAATATGACCGTTTGAAATTCTGTCTAAAGACTGGATTGATATTTCAAAATATAACATCGTTGGAAATTCCGTAATGTTACAGATACGTTTGAAAAACATTTTCTCCCAAGTAATTAATACTTAAACGAGTGGAGAAGTCATTTATTGGTTTCTCTTCATGATTCAGCATTGGCATCAGTGTTCCCTTGCATTTTGTTTTCAAGCTTCCGAATGCATTTCATTTGAGGGTATCCTAAAATTACAAAGTAAAACCTGTTTCCAGAATTTTCTTGATACTGGGCAGCCAAAATTAAATTTAGAAGTAGATGATTTTTGTAGGCTGTTATGACTTCAGCTGCCCTCTATAATGCCAGTTTCCAACCTTTTTGTTCTCGACTGAATATGTAATACATATTTTACATCTGAACTTATAAAAGAAATCTCTGCTCACAGAACACCACTTTTGTCTGTTTTATATATTAGATTCTGCATAGGAATGTCTTTGGGGAATAAAAAGTTCTCTTAAAGTTTAAAAACGATTGACCCCAGTGCCAGATGGGCAGTGCTGTTTTCCTTCAGGAAGTCCATGTCCTCTGGAGGGTGAGTAGAGGCGCTTCCTCAGCGATGGGACCCAGGGCTCTTTGCAGGTAGACGAGACCTAATGGAGTATTGCTAACATATAAGATAATCTGAGTATGTTACACATGAATTAAACAGCTACATTTTTCTTCTCCAGGTCAGTGTCAGGTGTTTTACAATATGATTCCTGACATTGTAGAGAAAATGACAAATGGCAAGATCTCCGACATCTGAACTGCCCGATGGAATGGCAGGAACTCTGCATGTTCTCACCCCAGGAGTGAAATCACCAGATAGGATCATTCCTTGTACACCTGAGTTCTACTTTGCCCAGATCCCAGATCTAGCTTTGTTGCCATTGGCTGCTCTAGTACATCGGTTGACTCATCAGTAGCAAAGGGCTTAATGGTTCCCTCAGTAGATGCCTGTGCTCTGCTGTCATGTTTCATAAAAATAGCATGAGCAACCAGGCCTGAGGGACTTCCCAGGATGGAGGTCTTCCATCTTCCAGCACTAAAACCGAAAACTCCAGGGCAAACTGGGATGAGTTGCTTACCCAGATGTGATACTTACTTTCAACCACAGTGAAAGAGCATCTTTAGAGTTCCATTTACATTTTGTGTGTGTATATATATACACACACACACACATATTGTATATATATACATATATATGTGTGTATATATATGTGTATATATATATGCAGCAACATTCTCTTGAAAGAATCCAAGGGCCTTATTTTTATGTCCACCTTTCCCTCCCACAGAGTTTGATTAGAACCAAATAACAATTTATAAAACTACACTATAAAGATGGTTTGAAGGCTTGGGTAAGTTTTATCATCCCCTAAAAAGGATATTAACAAACATAAAAATTAAACAAGCAGTGCTGAAAATTTGCCCCAAGCATCACCCAGGATGCACTATGCTGGTCAAACATGGTCCCCACTGCTCATTCCTGGGAGTGCCAGGCAGATGTACCAAAATGTGGGTCCAGCTGCTTCTTTAGGAGGGTGTCCTCATTTGAAATTTATATTACTTCCCCTTTGAGGGTTTGCAGACTGGGAAGACTGCTCCCACCCCGGAGCCAGTGGGGAGCACAGAGTGGATGCAGATCTCTGAGCTCACGTTTCTTGCTGTCTTAAAAACACAAATGCCAGACAAAGGCAGACTTTCCAAAAAAGAAAATGGGAGGGAAAAGTCACTGAAAGAAGCAAACACGTTTGTCAAGCAGGATGGAGTTAGTAGGGCGCAGCCTGGAGAGTGATAGGGAAGAGGGGAAAATGGGGAGGAAAGGAAAACAGGTGTACAGTACTCTCAAAACAGACCACAGTTAAATAGTTGCAGGAAACAAGTCTCACTGGGTTTAGAGCAGTTTCTCAACCTGGATCATAGCTGAGATTCCCTGGGAGCCACAAACTCCCATTTTGAGAAACTCGAGTCTTGGAGTCTGCCTAACACTCGGGCCATGGTCTGCCATGCTTTCTTCTTGATTGTTTTACCAAAATTCCATTTTGAAATGTTAGTTTTTAACACAAGACTTTTTTCACCGTCTAAGGCATTGTTTCTCAAGCTTCGTGAGACTCCATGTGCACTGCCACCGCCCTGCCCTGCCCCAGTGTCCTCTGATCTCTGCTTGAGGAGCATGGATGAGCTGTAAGGTTTAACTCCAGTGGAAGTAGTTTGGTTATTCATGTGTGCTCTATGTATGTATGTCATGTATGCTTCAGGTCAAACCTGCGAGAGTGAGATTCTTTTCTCCTTCATGGTTTATTTTGCACCATGTGGATGTGTCTGTGTGATCTGGGTATTCTGTAATTTGCAGCACATGACCCTTCCAGAGACTCTGAGTCTGATTTATGATACATTGCACAGCTGTGGATTAGTGTGGGACACTGAACAGGTGAAGGGATGCTGAGGAAAGGCAAGGATGTGGTTTTAATCACCCAAACATCCAGTAATCACATAGCTTCTTATGTGAGGCTTGTTTAGGAAGGCGAAGGAAACACTTTGCAATGTTGACCTATGCACCAGGGAACATCTTTTTGAAAGGCTTAATGAATACCAGACCTATTACAGAACAACAGTCTCTTCCAAAGCAGAGGCAATGAAATGCATAGATACTCGCTCATAGATTGCTGAATTCTGCAATCAGGGAAGCCCCATGATCCCTTTGAAAGATTGCAGGAATTCCTGAATTCCTAAAACTCAAGATATATCCTAAAGTGGCATGCCAGCTAGAGCCACGGTAACCACACAGTCGTTAGTTCATTCAGCAGATTTCCTTGGTCATCCGTTTCTAGGTACTGTTGTACACTCTAAGCTCACATTCTCTAGGATAGACAGAGGGTAGACAGACAAACAAATTGACAATGTAATGCTGGGTAGTAAGAAGTCTTACAGCAACAAATACATAGAAGCAGGGCATGGGAATAGAGTAACAGGGTTGGTGGTGTAGAGCCATCAGGTGAATGACGTGCTTTTTGGTTCTTTATGAGAGGATGAGGGTGGTTCGCTTTAGGAAAGGAGAATGCACAGATCCTAGGGCCAGAAGGTAGCTGTTTTTTTTTTTTTTTTTTCCCATGGAGGAGTCTGTGTTTGGTGTCTGAGAGACCTTGAGACCCCTTGAGGGACAGCCAGTAGCAGAGAAGGGGTCTGGGGAGGCTTCCCCTACTGGGAATCCCTACCAGCTGCCAGTGGGGGCTGTGGGGCCAGCCTTTGAAGCCTATTATGGGGATTCTCTCTAGACTTGTCAAGAGCCAAATTTGACTAAAAGGGACATTCTGGGAATTATTTCATCTTGGCTTGAAAGAATGCATTTTTGACCAGCTGTGTTATGTGATGGGGAATAAGATTTGTACCATTAAGTAAATTGGTCTTTCTCTCATGGATATGTGAATTACTATGAGCAGCCTTAAGAATAAAATGTAGCTAAATCACTGTTGGAGTTGAGTTTCTAAGGGTAAAGGGAATTTTCTACCATTAGTTCAAAAAGGAAAGGAGCAAACTGGGAAGGGGCACCTGTGGTCCATTTGAAACAGGACACAGCCCTTCATTGCATTATTCCATTCTGAGTATTCACTACAATGAAAATGCAACCTGAAGACACAGTGAACTGAGGTTGGCTGAGACCTACCCTCCTAGGCTAGACACTCACCCACCTGTGATGCTGTGGGGAGGAGACAGTCACAGCCACCAGTGCTGGGGCTGGGTCCAGTACACAGAGTGCCAGGACCGTCGGGGGCTGGCCCAGGCAGGTTCCTTGGCTCATGAGAGGGCAGTGGTGTGATTGAGACCTGTTTGTGCTGGGATTCAGTTGTAAAAAAGATGCCTCTTATGCTCATGGAGAACTTTACCCAGGGGAGCCTTACACCATGATAAAGACCTGCAGATGGAGGTGGGCGTGCGATGAGCAGGTAGAGAATAGGTGATTATACCCGGTGCCTGTTGGGGGTAGATGCCCAGGAGTGAGGCTGGAGGCAGGAGCCAGGGCTGGACCAGCAGTGGAGCCGGCCAACTCCAGGCCTGCAGGGAGAGCTGAGGGCTCCTCACAGCTGCGTGGATCTCAGGGTCTGGGGAGGCTGCAGCAGGGAGCTGGGGGAGGAGGGGAGGGGTGAAGCTATGCTGGGACAGAGGTGTCTGCCAGGCCCTGTAGGTGTGGGCTGCCATGCTGTTTCTAGCCACTGGTCAGGGGCACTGCCCTGGGCATGGGCTCCTGCAGCCTGAGTCACCAGCTGCAGCCGGATTCCCCCAGTGTGCACTGGGGACCCAGGGTCCTGATCCCAGCAAAGCTTACAGTGTTGGGGAGAGGGTCTGATGGGAACAGCACTAACCAGCCAGAGTAAGATGATCAAACATGGTGCAAATGTGGGGAAGAAGACATCAGAGCAGTTCTTCAGGCCAAGCCACTGGGAGGAGATGACGTTTAAGCCCAGGCCAGGATGGTGACGAGGCATCCGTGATGTGGAAACCTGGTGAAGAGCCTCCTAGGCAGTACAGACCCATGCTCAAGAGCTCAGACATGGCAGGCGTGCGGGGCAGACAGAGGGCCTGGGAGTCTGAGCCTGGTGTCTGGGGCAGAGGTGGGTGAGACCAAAGCCCAGGGCTGTAGGTGGGATTTATTTGAATTGCAGAAAATTGGAATTGAGGTTATAAACAAGAAGGAACAGGCATTGTCTGAAGTGAGCAGAAGTCTTTTGAATTAGAATTAGACTCCATGAGTTGAGAGAACATGTCACTAATTTTATATTTAACACAATCCACTTTGCCTGCCTATTTAAAGGTAAGTGCATTTTGCAGTGATATGGCCTATTACAGCCCGAGAGCCATTTTAGAGCAACAAAGGATGAAATCTCAGGCAATTTGTCCTGGTTTTGCTAACTATCAAAATAGCCTGTTCACATTGAAAGGGAATGCAAATGCCACGGCGTTTCCATTATTTCAGACTTCCTCATCAGAGTGGTCTTGTGTTCATTTCATTAATTTGAAGAATAGAAAATGAGGGTTCTCAGACCTGGAGTGAGAGGCAAATGGATTGATCTCTCTGCCTCCACCTCCCACTCCTTTCCCCTAGAAAAACTGTTATTTAAATTTTGAGTGTGTGAACATAGGCTAAGATTTATTTTACTTTTTAATTTGCTTACTGTTTTTCCTCAAGCTGAGTTCTCTATGTTCTGTGCTTGCAGATGCCAGGGAGTATAAAATCATATTATGAACAGACTAATGAGTTTACCATTGCTTAGATCTAAAAATAATTTTAAGAAAAATGGTTATATATGTTATATAAATTTTGGGAGAGGGTTTCACAAAGTAACTTTTATTTTGTGGGTTATATTTTTGCTAAAAGCATGTCTGTAAAATGTCTCCGGGGCAAGTTATAAAATTATATTTTTAATTAATTTAAATATAATTTAAAATAAAATTACAGTTTTAGGAGAATGACTCAAAGCAGTCTAACAGTTGTACAAGATTCAAAATGACACAGCTGGATCCTACTCCAAGCAGACCTGTTTCATCAAAATTTTAGATTCATAAAAACCATAAGTTATATAGGATTCTTTACTTATCACAATAAACCATACGTGCAGGGGCCAGCGTGGCATCGCAGGAGGGAAATTTATGGCCTGGGTATAAACCGAGGCTCCCCTGTTACTGCCAGCGTGATTTTACCCGGGGTTACGTAACCCGGCCACTGGTATCCTTAGAATACCAGATTATAATTGCATTTCCCTCTTTAGGTCCTTGTGAGGATTAAACAGGTAGAGTGCCCAGATGTAAAGCTTGAAAACAGTTTGGGCCCGCAGTGTGCCTCAGCCACCCTGAATACATGCTCCTGGAATGGGGTATATTTAGGGCAAGCAGCAGAAACCAGCTTTGGGTAGCTACGCACAAAGGAGTTACTAGAAAGACATCTGGGAGGGTGGGAGCTCACCGGAGCCGTGTCAGTAAGACCAGGAACCTGGGGACCATGAGGATCTCTAGCACAGTTTCATTGGACACTGCCTCTCTCTCCTTATGTCAATCCATCCGACTCAGAGTGGTCATTGGCCCTTTTTTGGGGAGTGGGTGGTCTCCAGGATAATTAAATCTAGGTCAGATTAGGCCTTGTTTTACCGAGTGATGGGTGTACCTCCATTCCTCCCTCCTTCCTCCCATCCTTCCCCCACCCATCTCTCAATGCATTCTTTTTGTTTGTTTGTTTGTTTGTTTTTGAGATGGAGTCTCACTCTGTTGCCCAGGCGGGAGTGCAGTGGCATGACCTTGGCTCACTGCAACCTCTGCTTGCCTCCCGGGTTCAAGTGATTCTCCTGCCTTAGCCTCCCGAGTAGCTGTGATTACAGGCATGTGCCACCATGCCTGGCTTCTCAATGCATTCATAATGATCATAGTCCCTGCTATGGGCCAGGCCTGTGCTGGGAGCTGGAGATACTGCTTTGGAGAAGACACACCAGGCCTCTGCCTGGCGAGTACACGTCCTAGAGCAGGAGAGACAGGCAAAAAATAAGGAAACCATTTCATACAGAGATACATGTTTAAGATAAAACTGCAAGGCCATCGAGAGGGGCCAGGGCTGTGCTGTGGACTCGGGGCTCAGCAGGGACCTCTCTGAGCCTGTGGCCTTTGAAATGAGGCTGGCAGGATGAGTGGAGCCAGCCATGGGAGGAGCCTTTTATCAATGGGGGAGACAGGTGGTATCTCTAACTCACCTTCTGAAAGAAAGCCTTCTTGCCTTTCCCCACTTCCCACTTTCTTGTTTCCGCTTCCTCCATTCCCAGGTTTTCCCCACGGAATTGATTTCTCCTTAGAGACAATGTGTATGTGGTGGTTGAGGTCTGTAACACAGGCTTCTGGGTTTCAGAGGAAGTAAAGGTTCAATAGGTATTTGAAAGTCTGCGCCCAGCCCTATTGTATAGATGGGGTATGTGGGTGGCTTTACATCAGGCGTGGATGAATGAAGCCACCTGGCTCGCTAGGAGTGCCTTTTGGTAACGGCTTCTTGAACTGGGACTCCTTCCCTCATCCTCACCCCATCATGGAGGTGCCCTCACGCCGGCCCGGATCGGGCATTGCACAGCCCTGTTGGCATTCCATACCTGCTTCTCTGTATTCCTTTGAGAACTACGGGGTCCGTAGTTTCAGCTCATGGCTGTCCGTAGATTTCAACCACAGACGAATTTGTCCCTTCTACCGGATCCTGTCAGAATTAGGACAGAGGGGAGGAAGGACTGCAACCAGCAAAGCAGGTGATGTTTTTAATGGGTTACATGTGCTAGAGAGTATACATGTAAGTACAAAATCCCAGCTCCAACGTGGGAGTCCCAAATTCAAAAATTAAATATTGGCTGGCCATGGTGGCTTATGCCCGTGATCCTAGCACTTTAGGAGGCCGAGGTGGGAGGATTGCTTGAGGCCAGAATTTCTAGACCAGCCCTGGGAACGTAGTGAGTCTCTGTCTCTACAAAATTTTTAAAATTACCCAGGTGTGGTAGCGTGTGCCTGTGGTCCCAGCTACTTGTGGGGCTAAGGCAGGAGGATTGCTGGAGCCTGAAAGGTTGAGGCTGCAGTGAGCCAAGATCGCACCAGTGCATTCCAGCTTGGGCCACAGAGCAACACCCCATCTCAAGATAGATGGATGGATGGATGGATGGATGGATGGATGGATGGATGGATAGATAGACATCTCAAGATGGATGGATGGATGGATGGACAGATAGACATCTCAAGATAGATGAATGGACGGATGGATAGATAGACATCTCAAGATGGATGGATGGATGGATAGACAGATAGGCAGATAGATAATTAACAGTGCAGGCATAGGATGCAGGAGACCTATCATTTTGACAGCTAATGTAAAAATAGATCTGGGTATGTCAGTTGAGAGCAAGTTCAAAGTGGGCAGATCTCATCAGCCACCCAGCAAATCCTCAATGCTGCAAATTCTGCTGCCTCTCTGTGCAGTGAATGTTGTTGCTTGTGACACTGGTGATCCGTGACTATATTTAAAACCTTTTATTTGGCCAGCCTTAGGGATGACTGATAGCTGCATTTTTGTATTTCCTGGTTTCTAAATGGGATGCCGTTTCCTGACATTTTCATTACTCTCACTTTTGTGTGTGCTGGTGAATGGCAGCACAGGAAACCCTGCATTATGAAGTCTGTCAGTGCTGGCGCTATTTATTATAGAAATAGTGACACATTTGGAATTTGGGCATGTACTAAGAGGACTGGCCTTTTAAGTTCTGTTTCCTAATAATGTATTTAAACAATTCAGAAATTTTACTTTTTTTTTTTTGGGAAAAGAGCTTAAGACAGATGGAAAAGTGAAGCTTTAAAACATGGAAGTGGCTGGGCACGGTGGCTCACACCTGTAATCCCAGCACTTTGGGAGTGCAAGGAGGGTGGATCACCTGAGGTCAGGAGTTCAAGACCAGCCTGGTCAACATGGTGAAACCCCATCTCTGCTAAAAATCCAAAAAAATAGCCGTGTGTGGTGGCGAGCACCTGTAATAACAGCTACTCGGGAGGCTGAAGCAGGAGAATCGCTTGAACCCATGGGGCAGCGGTTGCAGTGAGCCAAGATCGAACCACTTCACTGCAGCCTGGGCGATAGAGTGAGACTCTGTCTCAAACAAACAAACATGGAAGTATGTTTTTTGAGTGTATCGGAGTCTCCACAGGGTGTCATCTTGATTCTGCTGTGGAAAGTGGACTTGGCTTTGGGTTTGACTTGTATTTTTCCCCAATGATTCTTAGACATTTCTGTTCTGTCATTTAACTTTCCACTTAAAAATGAATTCTGGGTAGGTCTAGGTACATACTGCAATATTTTATCTTAATAAATTGTCAAGGATGGTGTTTTGTTTATATTATGATATTTATCACTCTGTTGGTTTCGGACTTTTAAGGTGATGGGTCTGAAGAGTGTCCTAAAGGAAAAAGCTCCAGCCACCATGTAGTGGGTGTGATTTGGTGTTTCTCACCAGGCAGTCTGCTGGTTCTTGTTCAAAGTGCAGGTTTCTGGGTGTATAGGGAGACTCGTACCCCCAACCCCACTGATGTCCACGTCCTTCCTAATCGCTGGAACCTATGAATGTATTACTTTACATGGCAAAAGGGGCTTTGTAGATGTGGTGAAGTTATGGGTTTGGAGATGGGGAGGTTATGCCGGGTATCTGAATGGGTTCAAGGTAGTCACAAGGGCCCTCATAAGGGAAAGAGGGAGGCAGGAGAGTCAGAGAAGGAGAGGCGAGGATGGAAGCAGAACTCAGGAGTGCAGTGGGGCCACAAGCCAAGGGCTGAGGGCAGTCTCTGGAAGCTGGAGAAGGCAAGGAAAGGGACTCTCCCCTGGAGCTTCCAGAAGGAGCTCAGTCCTACCAACCCAACCCATTTTGGACTTTTGACCTCAAAAGCTGAAAGGTGATAATTTTGTATTGTTTTAAGCCACTGAGTTTTTGGTCATTGGTTGCAGCAGCAATAGGAAACTAACAGATAGGGCTATATCTCAGGTACCCCAAGTTGGACTCCGGGGGTTGGGGCTCAGGCAGTCTTCGTTTTCAACCCCGCTTCTCCATGATTCGTATGAACAGTGGAGGAGAGGAAATCATTGCTCTCACTTCTTTGAAAGTTGTTGCAGGATAACGATTAGGCCTGGAAAGCTTTGAGAATGGAAAAATAACAACAGCAATTAATAGTATATATACTCAGTGTTTATAAAGACATACACATACTTTTAATTATAGAGCAGAAATTGCTAGTTTGCTTTAAATATAACAAAATAAATCACCTAGGGTCAAAGAACAAAAAGAAACCAAGCACCCATAAGATAATAAGGTCCATCTGGAGGCCACATGGCTACAGTTTTCTTTGGCCTTCTCTCATCACTTATTTCCTGCAGACAGTAGGTCAAAGCCATCATGTTTAATTCTGATTGGACAATTCTCTTCTACTTCTGTATGTAATGCACTGCCCCAAGCTTTGGGCATCACACTGACCACTCGGCGCCCAGTGTGCATAGCATTTTGAAGTATTTGTGAATGTTTAGGATATATCACATACCAACTCCAAAAGCCAATGGAGTAAATGGCACACAGTGAAACAGAGAAATGGAATAAAACTTCAAAACAACTCTGGCTTATGACCTGTGAGATCTGAGAGGTGCCACATTGCAAAAGAAGAGACTGTCAAGTGCAGTGGAGGCAGACGGAGGACACGAAAATGTTACTGTGAGAAGGAAACCAGATGACCAACATTGGATTAGTGAATTAGGATATCACCTGGGGGATCTATTTTTCAACTGAGAGGAATGAGACAAGATGGGGAAATTAGGAGAGAAAAGCTAAAGGTCATGGAAGATACATGTAAGACGTCAGACAGGCATATAGGAGATGTTTTTGTTTTAGGTTTGATTCATGTAATAGAACATTTTCTGAATTTCAGTAATCAAAAAAAATCAAAGATAAGCGTTAAACAAGACAAAGCAGGCTACAGAAAATAATCACATTAATACTAGATTTTAATCCATAAAGTCAAATGCTAGAAGATAATGCAGCAACATTTGCATATTTTAGAAGGAACAGGTTGTTAAGCAAGATTCCTCTAGGCTTTCTGTATGCAAGATTTCTAAGCTCATGTATGTGAATGGGTACATGAAAGTGATTTTCAGAAATACAGTGGACTCCAAATTTCTGCATACCATTTCTGAATAAAGGAAATGACTTGTAGTGCACAAGCCAAATGAGGAAAATTATTATTAAATATTTAATACCTTTACTTGTTATTAAAATAAATCAATTATTTAATTATTAAAATAATCAATTATCTTTATGTAATAATTATATAAATTCAATAATTTATAGAATTATATAAATTTAATAATTATATTTAGTTATTAAAGATAAACAGGAAGCATTGGTATAAATACTGCAGAAGTAAGCAATTAAACCAATGAAACATAAAGTTAAGTTTGAATTGTTGACACTAATGTGGTTGTTTTGATAAAATCTGGGAGGCAGGTTGAGGTAGAAAATTTTGCCATGTTGCATAGAGACTATAGATATCTATGCTATTGATATATACTTATTAGATATATAATTTCAAACATAGATTTAAAATTTTGGTTAGAAAATTGATATATAATTTCCAAATCATTAGAAAAAGCAAACAACAAAAATTGAACAAAATAGCAAAAGACAGGAAAATTAGAGAAACAAAAATTAAGGAAATATAGTAAATAAGCTAGGAAATAATTCAGTTATGTTAGCTACCACGCTAAAGGTGTTACTTAATTTCCTCTATTAAAAGACAGCACTTTTAGATTGGGGTAAAAAGCAAAAATCAGATAGATACTATTGGCAAACAAACAAACACAAATAGCTTAAAATAACAGACCAGGGCATTGGCAAAGAGCTATCTGGCAGTGGCCAAGTAAAGGAAAGTAGGACTGTCCACGTATGATCAAATAGAATGCAATACAAAAATATAACTCCAAACAGGATAAAGAAGATTTAAAACTAGTCATAAAAAGCCAGGCGTGGTGGCTCAGCCTGTAATCCCAGCACTTTGGGAGGCTGAGGCAGGCAGATGATGAGGTCAGGAGATCGAGACCATCCTGGCTAACACAGTGAAACCCCATGTCTATTAAAAAATACAAAAAAAAAAACAAAAAACCTGGACGTGGTGGTGGGTGCCTGTAGTCCCAGCTACTTGGGAGGCTGAGGCAGGAGAATGGCGTGAACCCTGGAGGTGGAGCTTGCAGTGAGTGGAGATCATGCCACTGCACTCCAGCCTGGGCAACAGAGCGAGACTCCATCTCAAAAAACAAAAACAAAACAACAACAACAAAAACTAGTCATAAAAGTATAATCACCCCATTATGGTGTTTGCAGATCTGTCATCTGTCTGATGGGTTTTGATGATGGAAATAGAATGTACTGTGTCAGTAGAATTAGAAAACCATGACTTGGTCAGCAAGAACAAGATACTTGGAGACACAGACATGATAAGGCTTGCTGGTCTTGTGCCTGCAGTGGGAGAGACACTGGCGAGGATTTTGGTAGCAATTTGTGCAGAAGACAACTTTCAGAAAGACTCCAGTTGTAAAGAAAAGGAAATGTGTTGAAAAAGCTGTGAGCTTGAGGATTCCTGGGGCACTGCCTGGTGTGTCTCCTCTGCCTCATGGTTACCAACGGAATAAATAAACCAGGACTTTGCAGGGCCCCTCTCAGTACCTCTTCTCCCTGTTGTGGATGACCTGGTGTTGGGTCACTACAGGTCAAGACAGCCTTTACCTTCTCTTGTGCTCCTTTCACCTGAGAGGTTGGCGCCTACCCAGACTGGGCAGAATAGAGTCAATAGCAATATTAAAAGAGGAAGCCAAGTTGGGCTTCTGGGTCAGGTGGGGATTTGGAGAACTTTTGTGTCCAGCTAAAGGATTGTAAATGCACCAATCGGCACTCTATAAAAACACACCAATCAGCACTCTGTAAAAGGGACCAATCAGCACTCTGTAAAAGGGACCAATCAACGCTCTGTAAAATGGACCAATCAGCAGGATGTGGGCGGGGCCAAATAAGGGAACAAAAGCCACCCAGTCAGCGGTGGGAGCCCCATGGGGTCCACTTAGGTAGTGCAGAGGTTTTGTATTTTTGCTGCTCTTGGCAATAAAGCTTGCTGTTGCTCACTCTTTGGGTTTGCATTACCTTTATGAGCTATAACTCACATTGAGGGTTTGCAGCTTCCTTCCTGAAGTCAGTGAGAGCACAAACCCGTGGGAAGGAAAAAGTTCCAGACGCATCTGAAAGAACAAACTCTAGACACACCATCTTTAAGAGCTGTGACACTCACCGTGAGGGTCCACGCCTTCATTCCTGAAGTCAGCAAGACCAAGAACCCACGGGGAAGAATAAATTGCGGACACAATGTAAGCCTCATTTTTTTTCCCATTGAGATAGTCTGAATGTACATCATTGGAGGATGGGTGTCCACATACGTCTGTGATATATTTTTAAAGGAAAAACTGTGTACTGTGAACGGAGTCCTTAGAAAAAAATCAAATTTTTTTTTTGAGACGGAGTCTCGCTGTCGCCCAGGTTGGAGTGCAGTGGCGCGATATCTGCTTACTGCAGCCTCCGCCTCCCAGGTTCACGCCATTCTCCTGCCTCAGCCTCTGGCGTAGCTGGGACTACAGGCGCCCGCCACGTCGTCCGGCTAATTTTTTTTTTTTTTTTTGTATTTTTAGTAGAGATGGGGTTTCACTGTGGTAGCCAGGATGGTCTCGATCTCCTGACCGCGTGATCCGCCCGCCTTGGCCTCCTGAAGTGCTGGGATTACAGACGTGAGCCACCGCGCCGGCCCAAATAAACTTTGTAAACCAAAAAATCTAGGTATGAATACATTTAAACATTGCCATTGGTTTATCTTTGTGTATGGTGGTGTGGGTGAATTTTACATTCTTCTCTAGAATTTTTCATGTTAACTAAATTTAGCAGCATTAGGGTGTACTATTTATATGTATAGTCAGAAGAAGGAATTTTCATTGTGAAGGAAAAAAACCCTAACTTATCTCTCTCTGAATTCCCACTATAATTTCCTATGCCAGCATTTTCACTAACATGTATAGTAAACAACTGTGTATACAAGATGTTAAATGTGTATTCTGAGTTAAAAAGATTCCAAGGTCACATTTGGGGCAGGCGGGGTTATTCAGGGTTGAAGCATTTTCTTTCCTGTGGTGTGCATTTTAGCTTGACTGTGTTATTCTCATGTGCACCGTGACTCTGCATGAAAAGGGTATACTATGTCATGTTTTCAGACCTCGTTGACGTGGAACCCATTTTTATATGTGTTCTTTGATAAACTAATATTTTGTAAAACATTAAAGACACACTCACCTATCCCGAAATTATACATTGGATTCTGCATCTCAGATTCCATCTTGATCCCCTAGCCTTCTTAGGTACACCGGTTCCATTGGCCACAATGTCCCAAACTCTCTCCATACTTACTTCTAATTCCATGGAGTACAAGTTCCATCCCCCTGGATCCATCATGCTCAGGGGCTGTCTCAGCACTGTTCTTTCTCTCTTACCTAAGTTTCACACTCAAAACCTTTGTGAGTCCTTGTCACCTTCACTCCACCCTGGTCTACTCTTACAAAGGTATCTTTGTCCAGATAAATTTACTGATGATTTTGTAGGTGAGATGGTAGAGGGTGGGGGTAGGGTTACCTTGCATAGCAGAGAGCCAGCAACTTCCGACATTACAGAGCCTCAGAGTTCTTTGGCCTTACAGCCACTGGGATAGTTGTCTTGTACTCTACCCTTATTTAACACGCAAACTTGCTGACTTTCCCCCTACAAACTCCTAGAGTTTACCCTGCCGTTCTCTTTATTCAAGTCCAAGAATTTAACCTTTCTTTCTGCTCTGTAATTCAAAGTCCACTGCCATAGTGTTGCTGAGCCCCCGGAGAGGCAGGAGAGCAGATAATGGTATGTGGGGTCCCCATCCTGGGTGAGAGATAACCTGCTCAGCACCAGTCAGTGGCCATGTCCTCATTCTTTTTTTTCTTTTTTTCTTTTTTCTTTTTTTTTGACACGGAGTTTCACTCTTGTTGCTCAGGCTGGAGTGCAATGGCGCGACCTCGGCTCACTGCAACCTCTGCTTCCTGGGTTCAAGCAATTCTCCTGCCTCAGCTTCCAGAGTAACAGGTATTACAGGTGCCCACCACCATGCATGGCTAAATTTTTTGTATTTTTAGTACAGACAGGGTTCCACCATGTTGGCCAGGCTGGTTTTGAACTCCTGACCTCAGGTGATCCACCTGCTTCGGCCTCCCAAAGTGCTGGGATTACAGGCGTGAGCCACCGTGCCCGGCCCCATGTCCTCATTCTGAGTTCTCTTTCAGGCCTCCACCATGCTGTCTTTAGCATCTGGCAGGATGTTGGCTGCTGTCCAGGACTTAGAGTCCGTTACTCATGAAGTCATAATTGAAGAAATTAGCTGATGTTAATCCTTTTGGTATTTTGAGGGTAGAAACATCAGATTTGCTTTTTCCCATGGCACCATGAAAAATTGAGAGATCTGGGAGTTTTGGCTTAATTTAGGAGAGTAAGCTCTCTTTATATTAAAAGAAGTTAAATGTAAAATGATCAGCTGTTTTCCTGTAGGTTTTATAGATGCTAGTGTTACGTAGTTTGAGCATTGTAAGTTTCATATTACTAAGGAAAAATATTCATGTCTATGTGTTTTTAAAGTTAATTTTTATGTCATCTAATGAAATGAAAACATAGTTTAAAAAGTCAAATAGCAAATAGGAAAACCCAGTAGTTCCCTGCTCTAACTTGTGCAGAGGCAACTACTTTTAATTCAGCTTTTTTCCCTGGGACTTACTACGTCTCCACATTTCTAAATAAGATACAAATTCTGCTATCTTTGATTAATTGGTTGTAGATATCATTGTAGGTTTCTAATTATGGCAGTGAGGATTTAGCTTTTCATTTTCTCTCTGGTTCCCCTTCCTCATCCTCCAGAGTGGGTATGTTACAAGTTTAATTTAGTCAGTATTTGGATTTATACCTATGCAGATATTATTCACTGCAGAGCTGTGTAGAGTGGTATGTTCACTTTCACTAACTTACTCTTGAAGTCAGTACTTGCCTCGCCTTAATCAATAGCTCCTCTTGCAATAGCCTCTCAGTAATACTGACTCAGCTCAGCTCTAGTAGGTTATCTTTCTGTTCCCATTTTCTTCTCCAGGACTCATTTTCTTCTCTTGGGTTGGTGGCTTTCTAGGCCTGTACACAGCTGTCAGCCCGGGTTCCCTCTTTCTGCCATCTCTGGAATTCCACTGGGTCATTTTCTGCATCTCAGGTCTTCCTCATTCTGACTTTGCTGCCTTGTTTTGTGGAGCACATTCTGCATTAGTTTCACCTAAAAAGATGCTGCAGGGGCAGAGGGCATGGTGGGACCAGCCTCAGAATGCCTTCTGTTGCCTCATGTTGCTGCATTGTGGTCTGGGGCTGGTCAGTCCACAGCACAGACCTGTTTTGATGTTTTTAGGGGAACAGTCCTTCAGAATTCTGCTAGGGTGCAGGGCTGGGAAATCTGTTTTCAAGTAGCTGTCCAAATTTCCATTCCTTATCTTAGCCCTCCTTCCCAAGTGTCATATAGAGGCCAAAGGTGGCCACTATATATTGGCCTCTAGGTTGTTTATTTCTTCATAGCAGACTGAGATCTGTTAGCTCAGAAGCCCACTGGTACCAAACTCAAATTTTTACACGTCTAATTTTTTTCAAATAGCCTGAATTAGCAGATTTTTAGCCATTAAGAGCCTGACTGCTTTGCATACCCGGTGAGCTGGCCTCTGGTAAGATAGAGCCTTGTGGTTATAAAGCTCCAAGCCACTGCTACCATCAAAGCTCTCTGACCCTGGGACCCCCTGCTGTGCTGCTACAGACTGTCACCTGGCTATGTCAGCCTCCTCTCTGACCCCCTTTCCCCAGGAGTTCCCTTGTCCTCTTCCCCTTCTGGATAGACCCCTTGCTTGAAGCCTGTGGATGTCATACTGTGAGGGACTTCCCCTCCCACATAACCTTTTAAGAAAGCTTGCATGTGTTACTGCTTCCTTTCAGCATATCTACTTCCTTGATTAGCCCCCAAATCCCTCAAGCCTTCTACACCAAATTAGCCCCACTTCCAGAGGTGCCCATTGAGACTCGTGCCTGAATCTTTTGAGGGTTCTGAGGTGCACAATGGGTTGTTCTCTCTTCTCTGCTGCTGCTGTTGCTGCTTTAGGATCCATCTTTCTTAATTTGGCTAAATCAGTACTGCCTGTCTGTCCTTTTCATAACTTCCAAAGTTTGGTCGCAGTCCATATTCATTCATCCCTTTCATCAATCTTCATTTCTTCGTCCTTATTTGGGTTTTTCTCTAGGTCATTTTTCTTTTCTTTAGTGTAAGTTTGCTGGTGACAAATTCTGCTGTGATTGTCTCAGAAACATTTTTATTTTAGCTTCCTTTTTTGAAGGATATTTTCTTGGTGATAGAATTCTAGGTTGGCAGCTACTTCCTTTCAGGACTTAAAAGGTGGTTTCCATCAATTTTGTTAGAAAATGACTACCAGTCTTTTTGTTACTTCTTTGAAGGTAATATGTGCGTCCAGATCTGCTCCTTTGCTGCTTTTAAGATTTTTCCTTTTATTTAGGTTTCTTTTTCTTTTGTGTAAATGGCCAGCTTAGCTTTGCAGCGCTTACTGAACGATTTGAGATTTGCTGTTTTGTTTGTTTTAGAAAATCCTTGGCCATCATTTCTTCTACCCTGTTCTCTTTTTCTCTGAATGGGACTTGAATCACATACACTAGGCCCATTCATTGTGTCCTGTGTCTCTCTAATCCTCTTAAATTTTTTTTTCCTCCTTAGGTTTTAGTTTGGGTATTCGTTTTAATTGACCTGTCTTGCTGTTTACTAGTCTTATCTTCTGTATCTAATTTGCTGTTAAACCCATCTGTTGAGTTACTCATTTTAGATGTTGTATTTTTTAGTTTTATATTTTCTCTTTGATTATTAATTTTTACCAATTATAGTTATCTGGTGAAATTCTTCTTTTCATTTATTTTATTCATCTTTTTCTCTGTTTTCTTGGGCGTAATAACTATAATTGTTTTGAAGTCAGCCAGCTAACTTTATTGTCCAGATTATCTGGTGTTCATCACCTTCATTGAAGCAAGGACTGTGCTGACTCAGAGCTGGTTTGCAGCCCTGGTAAGCTTCAGTCTTGCTGTTGTTTGTCCTTGCCTTTTAGGGTTTTCAAATGAGAGTCTTCTATATTTGTCACAGCCCCTCTCTCTTGTGTTTCCTAATTACAATTTTTATTTTGAGGCTGCCTTCCAGTGGCTTTTTGTTAAAATTTAAGTCTCTTACCCTCAGAATTGGAAAGCTATCCCAGGGGAAAACCCAACCATGTGCTTGGACCCCAAGTCTCCAACCATAGCCCTGCTGGGGTTTCCCCCAGAACTGGCTTTCAGCAGGTGCATAGCCAGAGTTCTCAGGCTGCTGCTTGTGCCCAGAATTGGAACACTTCTAGGATAAAAGAAGCTTCAGAGTTTAGCTCCCTTCTTGGAGGGAGGTTCATTCCTCTCTCAAGCCTGTTTGAATTTTGTCACTCTCAGCCATTTTCAGAGAGTTGATTTCCATATTTTATTGAGCTTTTCCTGTTGTTCTTACTGGGGACACTGATGAGCTGCTAACTACTCCATCCGACCTGGAAGCGAAAGACCTGTGCAACCACGAACTGCCTTTTAGAATTGTGAATAAGACATATAACTGTATTCCCCTAGCTGCCCTAGCCTATTTATATAGCACCTTCGGGTAGGTGGGATCTGGCATGCCAACACAAATTCTAAGTCATGGTGCCTGGAATACTGTGTTAGAAGGATTCTAAGATGGCTTCTGTACTCTGCACGGAGGGTGTGGTGATAGATGAGCCTTGTCCTTCTGGGTCGAGGAAGGGAGTTGCCACCTGTTTGCCACTCCTGTGTTAGTTAAATGCTACCACTTTACTACTTTCTAGATATCTGGATAAAGCCCTTAAAGAAAAGGAAAGCATATTGCATTAAATGCTAATGCATTTGTACATGGGGAGAGCTGGTAAGCAGGGGGTGCTGGATAAAAGGTTTGGTTTTTAATAGTGCTGATATTAATGTTTTGATAAAATACTGGGCTCCTTGTGCATTTGTAGTTTCTGATGTGCATAACTTAGACTTCACAGTGGACTCCATGATAGTGGGTCTTTAAAACACATTTGCTGTAAATTCTGAACAAATGACCTCAATCATTATTCTAAAATGTTCTAAATGGCTTCTATTCTTACAGTTGTTAATATGCAGCATATTATTCCATTCTGATATTTTGCTGAGCAAAACATAATTGCTTTGTGGAATGTAGCTCTACTGATGGTGTGATCAAATGTTAAAAACAGAACTGTAGAGTTTTCCAGAAAATGCAATTAAAGAAGCAGTGAATGCCCATGACTCCACTCCTGTTCATAACTATACTTTTCAGACCAGATCTGTTAGAGAAAATCAAATCTTGATTTGAGATGATTTATATGGAAAATAGCCATGAATTATATTTGCAAGATACATACATATATATTTCAGCCACATCAACATTTCTTTTTTTACGTAGATTATTATTATTATTATTTTAAATTTTATTATTATTATACTTTAAGTTTTAGGGTACCTGTGCACAACGTGCAGGTTTGTTACATATGTATACATGTGCCATGTTGGTGTGCTGCACCCATTAACTCGTCATTCAGCATTAGATATATCTCCTAATGCTATCTCTCTCTGCTCCCCTAACCCCACAGCAGTCCCCGGTGTGTGATGTTCCCCTTACTGTGTCCATGTGTTCTCATTGTTCAATTCCCACCTGAGTGAGAACATGCGGTGTTTGGTTTTTTGTCCTTGCGATAGTTTGCTGAGAATGATGGTTTCCAGCTTCATCCATGTCCCTACAAAGGACAAGAACTCATCATTTTTTATGGCTGCATAGTATTCCATGGTGTATATGTGCCACATTTTCTTAATCCAGTCTATCATTGTTGGATATTTGGGTTGGTTCCAAGTCTTTACTATTGTGAATAGTGCTGCAGTAAACATACGTGTGCATGTGTCTTTATAGCAGCATGATTTATAATCCTTTGGGTATATACCCAGTAATGGGATGGCTGGGTCAAATAGTATTTCTAGTTCTAGATCCCTGAGGAATAGCCACACTGACTTCCACAATGGTTGAACTGGTTTACAGTCCCACTAACAGTGAAAGAGTGTTCCTATTTCTCCACACCCTCTCCAGCACCTGTTGTTTCCTGACTTTTTAATGATCGCCATCCTAACTGGTGTGAGATGGTATCTCATTGTGGTTTTGATTTGCATTTCTCTGATGGCCAGTGATGATGAGCAATTTTTCATGTGTTTTCTGGCTGCATAAATGTCTTTTGAGAAGTGTCTGTTCATATCCTTTGCCCACTTGTTGATGGGGTTGTTTGTTTTCTTCTTGTAAATTTGTTGGAGTTCATTGTAGATTCTGGATATGAGCCCTTTGTCAGATGAGTAGATTGCAAAAATTTTCTCCCATTCTGTAGGTTGCCTGTTCACTCTGATGGTAGTTTCTTTTGCCGTGCAGAAGCTCTTTAGTTTAATTAGATCCCATTTGTCAATTTTGGCTTTTGTTGCCATTGCTTTTGGTGTTTTAGACATGAAGTCTTTGCCCATGCCTATGTCCTGAATGGTATTGCCTAGGTTTTCTTCTAGGGTTTTTATGGTTTTAGGTCTAACATGTAAGTCTTTAATCCACCTTGAATTAATTTTTGTATAAGGTGTAAGGAAGAGATCCAGTTTCAGCTTTCTGCATATGACTAGCCAGTTTTCCCAACACCATTTATTAAATAGGGAATCCTTTCCCCATTTCTCGTTTTTGTCAGGTTAGTCAAAGATCAGATGGTTGTAGATACGCGGCATTATTTCTGAGGGCTCTGTTGTATTCCATTGGTCTATATCTCTGTTTTGGTACCAGTACCATGCTGTTTTGGTTACTGTAGCCTTGTAGTATAGTTTGAAGTCAGGTAGCGTGATGCCTCCAGCTTTGTTCTTTTGGCTTAGGATTGACTTGGCAATGCAGGCTCTTTTTTGGTTCCATATGAACTTTAAAGTAGTTTTTTCCAATTCTGTGAAGAAAGCCATTGGTAGCTTGATGGGGATGGCATTGAATCTATAAATTACCTTGGGCATTATGGCCATTTTCACGATACTGATTCTTCCTACCCATGAGCATGGAATGTTCTTCCATTTGTTTGTATCCTCTTTTATTTCATTGAGCAGTGGCTTGTAGTTGTCCTTGAAGAGGTCCTTCACATCCCTTGTAAGTTGGATTTCTAGGTATTTTATTCTCTTTGAAGCAGTTGTGAATGGGAGTTCACTCATGATTTGGCTGTCTGTCTGTTATTGGTGTATAAGAATGCTTGTGATTTTTGCACATTGATTTTGTATCCTGAGACTTTGCTGAAGTTGCTTATCAGCTTAAGGAGATTGTGGGCTGAGACGACGGGGTTTTCTAGATATACAATCATGTCATCTGCAAACAGGGACAATTTGACTTCCTCTTTTCCTAATTGAATGCCGTTTATCTCCTTCTCCTGCCTGACTGCCCTGGCCAGAACTTCCAACACTATGTTGAATAGGAGTGGTGAGAGAGGGCATCCCTGTCTTATGCCAGTTTTCAAAGGGAATGCTTCCAGTTTTTGCCCATTCAGTATGATATTGGCTGTGGGTTTGTCATAGATAGCTCTTATTATTTTGAGATACATCCCATCAATACCTAATTTATTGAGAGTTTTTAGCATGAAGGGTTGTTGAATTCTGTCAAAGGCCTTTTCTGCATCTATTGAGATAATCGTGGTTTTTGTCTTTGGTTCTGTTTATATGCTGGATTACGTTTATTGATTTTCACTTGTTGAACCAGCCTTGCATCCCAGGGATGAAGCCCACTTGATCATGGTGGATAAGCTTTTTGATGTGCTGCTGGATTCGGTTTGCCAGTATTTTATTGAGGATTTTTGCATCAATGTTCATCAGGGATATTGGTGTAAAATTCTCTTTTTTTGTTGTGTCTCTGCCAGACTTTGTATCAGGATGATGCTGGCCTCATAAAATGAGTTAGGGGGGATTCACTGTTTTTCTGTTGATTGGAATAGTTTCAGAAGGAATGGTACCAGCTCCTCCTTGTACCTCTGGTAGAATTCGGCTGTGAATCCATCTGGTCCTGGACTTTTTTTGGTTGGTAAGCTATTAATTATTGCCTCAATTTCAGAGCCTGTTATTATTTGTCTATTCAGAGATTCAACTTCTTCCTGGTTTAGTCTTGGGAGGGTGTATGTGTCGAGGAATTTATCCATTTCTTCTAGATTTTCTAGTTTATTTGTGTAGAGGTGTTTATAGTATTCTCTGATGGTAGTTTGTATTTCTGTGGGATCGGTGGTGATATCCCCTTTATCATTTTTTATTGCATCTATTTGATTCTTCTCTCTTTTCTTCTTTATTAGTCTTGCTAGCAGTCTGTCAATTTTGTTGATCTTTTCAGAAAACCAGCTCCTGGATTCATTGATTTTTTGAAGGGTTTTTGTGTCTCTATCTCCTTCAGTTCTGCTCTGATCTTAGTTATTTCTTGCCTTCTGCTAGCTTTTGAATGTGTTTGCTCTTGCTTCTCTAGTTCTTTTAATTGTGATGTTAGGGTGTCAATTTTAGGTCTTTCCTGCTTTCTCTTGTGGGCATTTAGTGCTATAAATTTCCCTCTACACACTGCTTTGAATGTGTCCCAGAGATTCTGGTATGTTGTATCTTTGTTCTCGTTGGTTTCAAAGAACATCTTTATTTCTGCCTTCATTTCGTGATGTACCCAGTAGTCATTCAGGAGCAGGTTGTTCAGTTTCCATGTAGTTGAGTGGTTTTGAGTGAGTTTCTTAATCCTGAGTTCTAGTTTGATTGCATTATGGTCTGAGAGACGGTTCCTTATAATTTCTGTTCTTTTACATTTGCTGAGGAGTGCTTTACTTCCAACTATGTGGTCAATTTTGGAATAGGTGTGGTATGGTGCTGAAAAGAATATATATTCTGTTGATTTGGGGTGGAGAGTTCTGTAGATGTCTATTAGGTCCGCTTGGTGCAGAGCTGAGTCCAATTCCTGGATATCCTTGTTAACTTTCTGTCTCGTTGATCTGTCTAATGTTGACAGTGGGGTGTTAAAGTCTCCCATTATTATTGTGTGGGAGTCTAAGTCTCTTTGTAGGTCACTAAGGACTTGCTTTATGAATCTGGGTGCTCCTGTATTGGGTGCATATATATTTAGGATAGTTAGCTCTTCTTGTTGCATTGATCCCTTTACCATTATGTAATGACCTTCTTTGTCTCTTTTGATCTTTGTTGGTTTAAAGTCTGTTTTATTAGAGACCAGGATTGCAACCCCTGCCTTTTTTTGTTTTCCATTTGCTTGGTAGATCTTCCTCCATCCCTTTATTTTGAGCCTATGTGTGTCTCTCCTTACCCAGATTATTGAACATTTCCCTGGGACATTGTCATTTTAGGAAGTCCAGGCAAATTTCAAAGCTGTAAGAAAATTTGGTAGGAAGAGGGGAAGAGAGTTCACAAGCAAAATACCGTACGTATGTAGGGGTTGTGATGAATGAACCCTGGTCACAATGTAGTTTGGAAATTGTAGATTTTTGTGTAGTTGTTTGGGTGGGCAGATGTCAACCAAAAGAATATTGGCAGAGCCATTTTAATATCAGACAAAATCGACTTTCAGTCAAAAAGCCTTGTTAGAGAGAGGCTCATTACATATAACAAATAGGTACAATTTTATGCTTATATACTTTTGATTAAACCACTGCAAAGCGTATAAAGAAAAAACACATAAAAATGGAGGTAGAAATCGATCAATCTGTCATGAAAAGGAAATTTCAATACATATTGATTGTTGATCTATCAGACAGAAAATTAAAAATTATGTAATAACTTAAAGAACACAACCAGGTATAATTTACATATACTGAATTCTGCAGCTTTCAGAGATGTTCTCATGTAAACAGGGACTATCTTTAAGAAATTGATCTTGCAGTTTTTTAGTTTGTAGAGTAAATATCAAAACATTTCAAAGAATGAATATCAAGGAGATCACATTCTCTGACCACAATTTAATTAAGTTAGAAATAAATAACAAAAGGATAAATGACCCTAATATATTTGGAAATTAAAAAAAGATTTTAATAACTCATTAATCAAAGAAGAAATTGTAATGCAAATGAATAGCCTTAGGTACCTAGAAAGATTGACAATTGAAAATGAATGAAGTGATCAGATTTACTTAGAAAAAGAAGAATGAATAAATTTAAAGAACACAATACATAAGAATAGGAATGAAGTGATCAGATTTACTTAGAAAAAGAAGAATGAATAAATTTAAAGAACATAATACATAAGAATAGAAATTAACGAAATAGAATATAAGGCTGCAATAAAGAGGATAAACATAGCCAAAAGGTAGCTCCTTGAAAATTCTAACAAAATAGACAAATATGGTAAGAATGTGTAAGAACAAAAAAGAAGGTACAAATAACCATTATTATGAATGAAAAGGAAGATGTAATTACAGATACAGAAGAGATCAAAAAGTTGATGAGAGACTACACATTTGATAACTCAGATGTAATGGACAGATTTATAGAAAAACGTAACAGAACTTAAGTTATAGAAAAAATACATATACAAACTTAATAGAACTGTTTTATTCTTAATGAGGAAACATTGAAAGTATTCCCTTTAAAATCAGGAATAAGCCATCTACAATCAATTAGAAATAATGAGTTTGGCAAGGTGGTTAGCTAGAAGGTTAATATACCAAAAATCAATTGTATCTTTATACTTCAGCCACAGAGAGAAAATGTAAATTGTTTAAGGACATTATTTACAATAGCACAAAAATAAGGAACTTAGAACTATATCTAAGAAAAAATATGTAATTTGAATATGCAGAAAAGTGTAAAACTTTATTGAAAGACATTAAATAAAACCTAAATAAATGGAGGGATATACCATATTGAGAGAGCTAGTCTAAGCTAACTCAATACTGTGAAGATGGCTGTTTTTTTTTTCCAAATCAGATTCAATTGATTTCATTAAAAATCCTGACAAATGTTTTTGTTGGGAGGGTAAGACTTAACAACCTAATTGTAAAATTATATGACAGAGCCATAGGCCAAGGAAAGTCAAGAGGCTCCTGAAGAATTTGGGGGGAATTTATGCTACCACGTATAAGACTCATTTTTAAGCTATAGACAGTAAGTGTAGGTGCAAAGGAAGACAATGCAATCAGCAAAACATAAGATAGAGCCTGAAGCATATATGAAACGATGCAGGGCAGGCCAGGAGCAGAATTCAGGGAGTCTACCATAAATGGTTCTGGGATCATTGGCTATCCATGCAAGAGAATCAGTGTCAGGTGGTTTAAACACTTAACTGTGAAAGCAAAACATTGGAACTTTACAGAATAAAATGTAAGATGTAAGAAATTTGGAAAGAATTTTTTAAACAAGACAGAGAAACGCCAAAGCTGAAAAATATGTTTGAAAGGTAAGTACATTTAAACATTCTTTTTATTGAAAGACATCACGAAGAAAGCAAAAACACAACTGGAAGGAGATGCTTGCAATACACATAACTGATTATGATTTCATGTAGTGAACTCCCACAAATCAATAGGATAAAGGCACAAAACTCAATAGAAAAGTGGACAAAATGCTTACATAGGCATTTCATGGAAGTGGGCATATGTAGGGTCAATAAACGTGTCAACACATGCCCCAGTCAGCATGGACATGTAAAATTCAACTGTGGAGAGAAATCGTTTACACCTACTAGATTGGCCTCAATTAAGAAGTTTGACAATGCCAATTTGGACAGAATGTGGATCAGGAGAATTCTTGGTGGGAGTGGAAATGGGTGGGACCACTCTGGAATACAGTGGAATACAACTTGGCATTCTTTTCTATAGCTGAACATGCACACATACCGTGACCTGCAGTTCTACTCATAAGCATATACCTTGCAGAAACTCCTGCCCACGTGCACCAGGATAGTCATCAACGAATAGTACATGATAGCAAAAACTGGAAACAGTGCAGATGTTCATCAGCAGAAGAATGGGATATTAATAAATTATATAGGCCAGGCGCAGTGGCTCATGCCTGTAATCTCAGCAGTTTGGGAGGCTGAGGCGGCGGATCACCAGGTCAGGAATTCGAGACCAGCCTGACCAACATGGTGAAACCACGTCTCTACTAAAAATAAAAAAATTAGCTGGGCGCGGTGGCGCACGCCTGTAATCCCAGCTACTCGGGAGGCTGAGGCAGGAGAATTGCTTGAACCTGGGAGGCGGAGGTTGCAGTGAGCTGAGATTGTGCCACTGCACTCCAGCCTGGGCAACAGAGCAAGACTCCATCTCAAAAACAAACAAAATAAGTTCTGTGGTCTAACGAAATGGACTGTTGTTATACCACAGTGAAAGTGAATAAACTATAGCTGTGTGCAACAACATGATAAAGGAATCTTAGGAACGTGAATGTTCTTAGCCTGGATGACCCTGAAAGCAGACTGAGAGCAGGACTAGCAGGAATCTCTCTTGTTTGCGCAGAGCACAGTCAGGAAGGCAGAGGGAGGCAGGGAGGAAGGATAGCTAGTCCAAGTGTGTTACCCAGTTGGCTACGGCGGGTGATCGTGCTGGCTCCTGAGGGGACTGGAGTGCAGTTACCGAGCACATTTCAGGCTTGCCTCCCCGAGACCCGTCGCCTCAAGTCTCTGTTGCCCCAGGGCTGCTCCTGGGGCAGCCCTGCTCTGGCTTCCACCAGAGCAGCCCCTGCAGGGGAGTGAGACCTGCAGTGCAGGAGCCAATTAGTTCTCTGCCTGTGAGACCACATGAAAAAATACTATGTTTTTTCTATGACACTGTTTTTGTAAAGTGCAAAAACAAGCAACACCAAACACACTGTCTTGCGGAGATGAACTAAGTATGCCAGAAAAGTTTCAGAGAGAAAGGAAAGGAAATTATCAATGCAAATTCAAGAATGGGATTCCACAAGCATCTAGGTAGGGGACCTTATTTTCAGCAAAGCAAACATACAAACAAAGAGACAGGCCTTAGAGTTCTCTGCTATGATAAAGCAGAGGGCAGGCACGCAGCATCTGCAGTGATTGAGGGGAAAGTCTGTGAATCCAGACCTGCGCTAGGGCGACCTGCTCTTCAGACGTGATGATAGCTGAGCAGGCGAGCAGTCCATATTGGTCCTGGGAGCCCTGAAGATATGCTCAGGTATCGGGGGCTTTGGGGACCCTCACAGGAGTCTCGTGAAGATGTCATTCAACGTTTGAGCTATTAAGTTAGCAGCTTGAGTTGGTGGAATCATGGCTAAGCAGAACTAATGCAGAACACTGAAACTAGTTATAACTGGAAAGTGGAAATTTAAAAAACATCGAAAGACACAGAATATAGCCAGGCGAGGTGGCTCATGCCTGAAGTCCCAGCTACTCGGAGGTTGTGGCAGGAGGATCACTTGAGCCAGGGTGTTCAAGACCAGCCTGGGTAACACGGTGAGACCCTGTCTTTAAAAAAAAAAAAAGAAAAATAGGCCGGGCACGGTGGCTCATGCCTGTAATCCCAGCACTTTGTGAGGCCAAGGTGGGCAGATCACTTGAGGTCAGGAGTTCGAGACCAGCCTGGCCAACATGGTGAAACCTGTCTCTACTAAAAATACAAAAATTAGCCGGGTGTGGTGGCAGCTACTTGTAATCCCAGCTACTCAGGAGGCTGAGGCATGAGAATTGCTTGAACTCAGGAGGTGGAGGTTGCAGTGAGCCGAGATTGCCTGGGCAACAAAGCGAGACTCCATCTCCAAAAAAAAAAGAAAAATTAATTTTTATAAAGGAAAAAAGATACTGAGTATAATATGAAAACAATGTAATATGAGTTTGAATCTAAAATTCTAGATTATACTAGCAAAGAAAGAGATGTGGGATGTGTGAAGGGATGAAACCATAATTGTATTAAAACCCTTGCCTACCCTGAAAACCGGAGACATGTGGGTTAAAGAACAAGCTGAAAATTTAAAGCTACTTAACAAAATTACAACCATGTAGGCACATAACAAATTCCTAAGCATTGGAAGCTAGTTTGAACAAATTAACTGCAAGAAGTTATTCTGGGGACAATCTGGGAAATTTGAATAGGAATTGGGTATGAAATCATACAAAGATGATCTATTAATAATTAGTATATTTTAGATGTGTTAATGGCCTCACAGGTTATATAGAAAAATGTCCTTGTATTTTAGGTATGCATATTGAAAAACTTAAAATGTCATGGTTTGTAATTTATCTTGAAAAGCAAAGAAAAAGAGATGAAGCAAATATAGTAAAATTGTTAACGTGACAGGCTAAGTAGATGGATTGAACATTCTTATTTTTGTACTTTTCTATTTGAAAAATTTCAGAATATAAAGTTTAAAAATCATCAAAGGCTTGAAAGATGAAATTGGGGGAAATCTCTCAGAAAACTGAACAACAACAAAAAAAGACCAGGAAGTTGGAAATAGGGAAGACAGTAAATGAGAGGGTCAGCCAGAGAATATAAATAGGCTTTGCAGAGACCAAAGGAAGTAGAATCATCATTGCAAAATGATACAGGAGTTATTCTCAGAACTGAAAGGAGATTGCAGATTCAGATCAGTTTCTCATACTTCACCCAGTGAATAAAAACAAAGACCGTCTCACCATTGTAGAGTCCTGTATATCCCCATCAGGAACCGGCATCCATCCCACCAGGGCGTTCCTCCTTTTGGGATCTGTTACCCCTACAAGCCCAGGATTTCCCAGCTCCTGAGCCCACACTTTCCCACCTTATTTTTCTTCATTCTGTGTAACATGCCATGTGGTTTCACTCTTATTTTTGTGTCTCCCTCCTCTGCTGCTCCCCAGGATGTCATGAGGGAGGCACTATGCATGTCTTTTTTTTAAACTGCTGGATCCCCTGTGCCTAGAACAGTGCCTGGTAAACAGCTGGTCCTTGCCAGTATCTGCTGATGAATCAGACCACTCTGGAGCCACCATGGAGATCAGCACATATTAGATCGTTGCCTAAAAAGTTCTGAGACAAAATAATCTGCAACCTAAAATTTCTGTCCTTACATGTTAAACGTGTAGGGTCCCTCAGATTTCACCTACTGTAAATCCTTTCTCTGAAAGTTAGTGGAGGATATGGTCTATCAAAAAATGTGGGCCAGGTGCAGTGGCTCAGGCCTGTAATCCCAGCACTTTGGGAGGCCGAGGTGGGTGGATCACCTGGAGGTCAGGAGTTCGAGACCAGCCTGGCCAACATGGTGAAACGCTATCTCCATTAAAAATGCAAAAAAAACCCCAAAAAATTAGTGGGGTGTGCTGGTGGGTGCCTGTAGTCCCAGCTACTCGGGAGGCTGCGGCAGGAGAATCGCTTGATTGGGAGGTGTATGTTGCAGTGAGCGGAGATCGAGCCACTGCACTCCAGCATGGGTGACAGAGAGACTCGGGCTCCCCCCAACCCAAAAAAATGGGGAGCAAACCACTCTGGTTTGCTGAGATATGTCCTTCTTGGACCCAGGTCACCTGCTCCCTCCTTACCTGGCTGTGCCCTGGCCTGGTGCACTATGGCTCCTAGGGACTTCCCTGGGTCTTCGACTCCCCTTCGCCTCTCTCCTGGGCTAGAGCCTCTGTTTTCTTGAGCCCATGTCTTCTCTTTTCTTGGTTTGCTCCCTCATTTTTTGATAGACTTCATGTGCTCATACATGGTGAGGGAGACCTCAGGGCTGTTGGAGAGCTAGGATGAATTTTTGATAGATATACAGTCGTACACCACACACCAACGCTTCCCTCAATGACGGACTGTGTATACAATGGTGGTCCCATGAGATTCTAATACCATGTTTTTACTGTACCGTTATTATGTTGAGATGTGTTAAATACAAAGTACTCACCATTGTATTACAGTTGCCTACAGTGTTCAGGACAGTAACATGCTGCCCAGTTTTGTAGCCTGGGAGCAGTAGGCCGTACCATACAGCCTAGGTATGTAGTGGGCTTCGCCATCTAGGTTTGTGTAAGTGCATTCTGTGAGGTTCACACAATGATGGACTCACCTAAGGGCGCACTTCTCAGAACATAGCTCCGTTGTTAAATCATGTGTGACTGTGTAGAAGATGTAAGTGAAAAATGAGGCAATTAACCCCAGTTACATATTGTGATGTGATTTTTTTTAAAGGCACTGTAATTGTAGTACTCCTTGTGGCTCAGTTATGGGTGACATTTTACGTAGTCATAATAATGCCAATACTGAATGCTGAAATATCAAAAGGTGGGTTGTTGCTATATTTGGATTGGGAAAGTGAGGAGGAGAGGGAGAGCGAGTGTGTGCATTTGGCTGTGTCTGCTGTGTGTTGGAGGGGAAAGTGAGAATCCTCAATTTTCATAGTCAGAAGTCAGTCAAAGCATCAAGTTTAGAAATGTGAAAGTAAACTGAAGAAACAAGCAAAACTATTTGTTGTAAGTGGCAGCTTCTCTACAGAACAATTTTGACTTCAGATTGTGTAAGAATGACTAGATCAGAAAAAATGAAATACTTTTAAAAATATATTCATATATTTAATATATTTTTTAATATTCTTTTTTTTAATTTTTGAAACAGAGTTTCGCTCTGTCGCCCAGGCTGGAGTGCAGTGGCATGATCTTGGCTCACTGCAACCTTTGCCTCCCAGGTTCAAGTGATTCTCTTACCTCAGCCATCCGAGTAGCTGAGATTACAGGCACCTGCTATGATGCTTGACTAATTTTTTGTATTTTTAGTAGAGATGCGGTTTCGCCATGTTGGCCAAACTGGTCTTGAACTCCTGGCCTCAAGTGATCCACCCGCCTTGGCCTCCCAAAGTGCTGGGATTACAGGCTTATGTTTATCTTTTCATAAGCTTGTTAAAAAATATATTTTTCACATACGTTTGTGATTCCAAATGTTTATAGAATAATAGGTCATGAGTATTTTGTATTTTTATACAATGGAGTCCCATTCAGCCATTAAGGTGATGTCAGTGAATACCTACAGGGTGTGCCATCATGATCATGACACATTATATGGTAATGTGGAAAGGTTATTGACAACATGATGACCCAATTTTTATAAAAACCGATTTAAATAGAACCCAGCCACATGTTAACAGGAGTTAGAGGAGAAGCCGTGTGAATGTAGATGGTTTCATTATTTCCTTCAGCTTATCTGCCTTTCCTAACTTGTTCTATATTGAACTTGCATTGTTTTGGTTATAAAATAAAGGGGAAAAGTCAGCACACTGCCCCTCAGGACCGTGCTGCCTCCGTGGGGCTGTGAAGCTGGTCAGGAGCATGGGCACAAAGTCTCCCGCCCGGAGGTGGGCGCTGGCCAACCTTGTGCGTGCCGACAGCCTTCACTCTCATGTGTGCCATGGCACCAGGCCCTTGCTCCGGTGGGCACTGTGCAGATGAAACAAGCGTGCTCTGGGCCCCCAGGACCTGCTGAGCAGCCAAAGGCAGGTGCATGAGTGAGCGGCACTGTGGGGTGCTGGTGCCGTAGCCCCGTGGTCCTGTAGCTGTTTGCTACCCAGTCTGGGTAATTAGCTGTTTGGGGGTTGAGGGGGAGGCAGAGGTGACCCCACCCATGGAGTGACCTGGATGAAGCAGGAAGGGTAGGCAGGGACCTTCTGAGCTGGAAGATGTGGGACTTACTCCAAGGGATAAAGAAAGCCCCTAAAGGGCACAGTGTCATTGAGTGGGGCGAGTGACATGGTCAGATTTTTTTTTTTTTTTTCTGGAGACGGAGTCTTGCTCTGTCACCCAGGCTGGAGTGCAATGGTGCAATCTTGGCTCACTGCAACCTCCACCTCCCAGGTTCAAACGATTCACCTGCCTCAGCCTCCTGAGTAGCTGGGATTACAGGCATATGCCACCATGCCTGGCTAATTTTTATAGTTTTAGTAGAGGCAGGGTTTCACCATGTTGGCCAGGCTGGTCTCGAACTCCTGACCTCAGGTGATCTGCCCGCCTCGGCCTCCCAAAGTGCTGGGATTACAGGTGTGAGCCACCACGCCCAGCCAGGTTTGCATTTTAAAAAGATGATTCTGCAGTGTGGAAAACAGGTTAGAAGTGACCAGGAGTCCAGGCAGGGAGGGCTTTGTAGGGCTCTTACAGTAGCTCTCCTGCCAGGTGGCAGCCAGGTACCAGGTGGAGGGAGGAACTGGGGGCCGGGGCCCAGGGTGAGCTGGTCAGTAGATGTCCCTGATTTGGATGGATTTGAGAGTGAGATTGGGTGGGGGAGGGACGTGGGGTATCTGGGACCCTGACAGGCACATCTGGGTGAGTGGGGCCTCCTGTGGAGGTAGGGCAGGCTCCAGGAGCACTGGCTGTATTGAGTTAGGCTGCTGGGGAGGCATCCGTCATGTTTCCATCAGGCCAGTGGGTGGACACAGGGATCTGGGAGGAAGAGAGGCTGAGAGAGGCTTAGGGTACCCTGGAGGATGGAGCCAGGGAGGGAACAGGCTCTCCCAGGATAGATACTGCGAGGAGGGGAGGGGAGGTATGGGGAGATGATGGGCCGAGGGAGCCCTTACTAACGAGCAGCTGGGGAGTGTGAGTGGGGGAGGAAGCAAGGGGGCGGCCAAGGCAGGAGGGTGTTCCTTCTGCAAAGCAGGAGTAAGATCAGTGTCAGCCTGCTGGGTGCTGAAGGGGGTTCCTGGGACTCAGCGACCCAGAACTGACCAGACAGGGGAGTTCTGCCTGTGCCAGTGAGGGGAAAGGGGAGCAGGACTGGGGAGTGGAGACGGCTATTACAAGGGTGCTGGGACCACTTAGTCAGATGGGGGGGTTCCCTTCATGTCACCAGCATGGCACGAGTTGTCCATATCCCTACTGTGTTTGGGGATCCTAGAAGTGTCTAAACCCAGGGATGGACATAGGTGATGAGTGAGGGGCATAGACTGAGTCCCTTTCCCAGGGTGTGTCTTTTCACCGGGGCTATCATCAGCGGGAGTGGGCGGCACTGGATGTACTCCTGTGCCCTTGCAGGAATCCAGCCTCGTGCCCCCTTCCTCCCCTGTCCTGGTGGCCCTCTGCCTCCTCTCAGAACCTCGTGGGGACAGGAGATGGGCTCTGCACTCCAGTCTCTGTGGGTGGCGCTGCCTGGTGTGAGCAGAGATGGCAGGAGGGCCACCTGGGTGCAGTACCTGCAGCAGGGAGGAGGGAGAGCAGCCTGCGGGCCCTGCAGCGGCCAGCCAGGGGCAGCAGAGCAGAGCACAGC
The DNA here is from genome assembly GCF_000001405.40 of Homo sapiens. Classification (NCBI taxonomy): domain Eukaryota; kingdom Metazoa; phylum Chordata; class Mammalia; order Primates; family Hominidae; genus Homo; species Homo sapiens. The sequence continues at coordinate 29,403,906 of NC_000015.10, read as the reverse complement.
TCCCAGGCTGGGGCAGAGGGCTGAGAGTGTGCGGATTCAGGCAACCCTTTGGGGGTGCAACCAGGCTCCCTTCAGGGTACAACTGGGCTCTCTGGGCAAGAATTCCGAGAAGGGAGCCTGCTTTGGGGCTAAGTCAGGAATGGGAGCACAGCCTCTGGGTCTGAGAACAGGTTGGTCCTGGGAAAAACCAGGCAGAGGCACCTCTAGGGAACAGTCCTGGATTTGAGAGTTTGCATAAATAGTGTGCGGTTTATGACATTAGTACAGTGGCCTTTATTCATAATGATTTGGAAAAGAAAGAGCAATTTGTCTACCAGACAGCTTCAGTTCCTATTGTATAGTTCCAGTGGATTTAAAAGTTGATGTGAGTCTGTGAATTTGCTTGCATAATTATACTCTGATAGCTTTTCATTACACATAATGCAATTTTAATGGAATTAATGTTCTGTATCAACAAATACATTGTTTTTATTATTGTGCCATGAGGAGATTTCTAAAAGAAGAGAATAAAAGTCATTTGCAAATGGTTTATGTAATACTCTTTTTCAAGCAGGGCAATCTACCTTCCCACTTCATACTTTTTTCTGACAATGGGTTGAGAAAGGGAGGGGGGCAGAGGCTCTTGAATACGTTTGGGTCCTGGTTGGAATTTATTCTTGTAGCTTGCATTTATGTCTGAAATTCTCATTATTCTCTATCAAGGAGCAGCAGCCCACATAGAAGTGTACATGGCCACCTGGCTAACCACTTTCTGTGCAGATCAGGCCCCGTCCCTCCCCTACACACCTTGTTGGTCATCCTGCCACCTTGGACCCCGTCACTGTGCAGGGATTCTGGTTTGCTGCCTCTCACTCAGACTGGCCGCCATTGTTTCCAGAGCCTTTCCATACCTGTTCTGAAGCCATCGGCCCTCACATTGAAGTGGTGGAATTTGTCTGGCCCCGTCCACCTCTCCCGCCTGCTGATGGGAACATTAGAGGGAGTTAGTACCCACTGGCATGGGTTATGCCTCCTCACTTAGGAGGCAGAACCAGCTGTCGCTGGCTTGGGTTTTAATAGTGCGTTTTCTCTGTTGTGTATCAACCATGGGAAACAGAAAAATAAAGAGGAAGCCAAAATCTCACTGTCTGGAGATAACCATGGTAACTTTGAGATGCAGCTGCTGATTTTCTTTATGTATTTGTTTGCTTCTCAGAAGGGAAATTATGCACTTTCCACACCATTTTGCAACCTGCTTTTCCTTCTTCTTCTTTCACTTAGTGTGAACGTTTCTACATGGCATTAAATATTCTCCTGTGGCTGGGCACAGTGGTTCACACCTTTAATCTCAGCACTTTGGGAGGCCACAGCGAGGGGATCACTTGAGCCAGGAGTTCGAGACCAGCCTGGGCAACATAGTGAAACCCTCTCTCTACAAAAGATACAAAAATCAGCCGGGTGATGCATGCCTGTATTCCCTGCTATTCGGGAGGCCGAAATGGGAGGATCACTTGAGCATGGGAGGTGGAGGTCACAGTGAGCTGTGATCATGCCACTGCATTCTAGCCTGGGCTACAGAGGGAGACCTTGTCTCCAATATACATATATACACACACACACACACACACACACACAATACAATATACATATATATGTGTGTGTATATATATATATATTCTTCTATAATATGATTTAATGGCAGCAACTAGGAAGGACCCAATGAATATATGTAATTCCCTCTTGCTGCACACCTCGGTTGTTTCCAGTTTCCAAAATACATAATCCTTTGGTTAATACTGGGAATTCTTAGAAGTAGAATTCTAGGTTCAATGGTATGCAGAGTTTTAAATATGCTTAACATAATACATGCATGGATTAAAGGTTAATATTACAGAAAGTTACACATTTAAAAGCAAGTTCCCCCTCGCCTCCTCCTTAATCTAGTTTCCGATTGTTAGGTTTCTTGTGCGTCGTTCCAAGAGAGCAATGTTTATGTAGTAAATGCATTCATCCATTCCTTCTTGTTTACACAGAGATCCTTCAGTGCACACTGGGCTGTGTCTTGCTTGTCAGTTATTTATCTTCGAGATCATTCCACAGTGGCATAAATAGATCTACCTCAAACTTTATAATGCACATATTCATGTTCTATGTAAATACCGAAGTCTTTTTAACTAGCCCTTTATTGCTACTCACTGGTTCAGGTTTTTGTAGTAAACGTCCTTGTGTAAATAGGCTGGCCTGTTTCTGTTAGTATATCCACAGGTTAAATTCCCAGGATTGAAACCATTGAGTATGGGTATGTACAGTTTTTATTTTGAGAGATGCTATGAAATTGTTCCCAAGGAAGGCTACATCAAATTATGCCAACATAAGAAATGTTTAAGAGGAACTTTCTTTCCCCTCTGCCCTTTGCCATCACTGGGTTTTACCAAAACTTCACCAAAATGTTTCCAGTCTCGTTGAAAAAAATACTTATCTTATTGTTTTCACTTGCTTTAGAAAATTCAGTAGGTCTACGCATTCTGTTACATGTTTATTGTTCATTAAAAATCTAAACATCCTATTCATCGTATTCAGCCATTTTTTTCTGTTGTTTCTTTTATTAATTTATACGAGCTCTTTGTAAATTAAGAAAACCTTTTGTCTGTTTATGTATTATAAATATTTTTCCTATTTGAAACCAGCCTTTGGTTTTATGGGTTTTTTTTAACCATAAATGTGTTCATTGGCCCTTTTCAGAATAATGCTACATTAAAAACCACACCAAAATGCAGTGCTTGACAGTAGCGAGCCATTATTTTCTCCTCTGGGTTTGCAGGTCAGCTGGGGTGGCTCCACTTTGGGTTGCAAGCTTCTCATGGGGTTTGTGTCTGTGCCATCTGTCCATTCCGGGGCCCAGGCTTGAAGGGGCAGTGGCCACCTGGGCAAGGAGGAGGGCAAGAGGTAGCACGTAGTGCATCAGAAGGCCCGGGGCGATGGCATGTGCCACTTCCACTCACCACCAGGCATATCCCATGGCCAAGTTTATTCTGGGATGGGGACGGGACTCCACCCACTCTGCAGGAGCCTCCGACCTCACACGTCAAAGGCACAGACTTGTTCTTCTAATGCAGATGCAGAGAGGCCCTGGGATTGAGAACACAGATTCCTCCTACCACAAACAAATGTGGGTTTTTTTAGCCATAAACGTATACATTTTAAATTTATTAATTGTTTCTATTATGTCTTAAAATTGTGTGGTGCCTTAAAAGGCTTACTTCAAGATTCTTTTACAAATTTCTCAAATATTTATGTTTTAATTTATATTTTACTCTTTGATTTCTCTGGAATTTATTTTAATGTTGAAACGTAGAGATTAAGTTTCATTTCTTTCCAAGTGGCTAGCCAGTTGCCCTAGCACTTCTTATTGCGTAGATTTTCTTTTCCCCTTTTTGGTATTTTAATTAGAGTTGCATGGAACTTATACATTATTTAGTCTTTTTGTTTAAAAAATGAATTTCCCTCCCATCTAGTCATGAAGTCTTTTAGGTTCCCCAGTAGATGTTTAAGGATTCCTTGATATTGCTCCTGCTCACCTCTTATTAAATCTGTGTATTCTAAGATATTCTGCCTTTTTGCTTACCATTATAAATGGAATTTTTAATTGTATTCTCTTTTCTAACCAGTCTTTGCTTGCACATATGTAGGAAAGCTGTTTGTCTATAGTTTAAGAGCTTGTGTCCTAACCCTGCCCATCATTGTAACGTTGGGCAAGTCACTTAATCTCTTTGTGCTTTAATTTTCACATATGTGCACGGGCACAAGAGTCACACATACTAATTAGGGTTGTCAGGATAAAGTATAAAAACTTAGTAAGTATATCTGGCATATATTCAGGGCACAATAAATATTGATCCTGTTGACCTTGAACAACATGCGTTTAAACAGCATAGGTCCACTTATATGTGGATTTTCTTCCACCTCTGCCACCCTGAAATGGCAAGACTGAGCCCTCCTCTTCCTCCTCCTCCTCCTGAGCCTACTCAACAAGAAGATGACAAGGATGAAGGCCTTTATGATGATCCACTTCCACTTAATGAATAGTAAAATATATTTTCTCTTCCTTATGACTTTCTTAATAGCATTTTCTTTTCTCTTTATTGTAAGAATACAGCATATAGTACATACGACATCCAAAATGTGAATGTGTGTTAATCAACTGTTTATCTGATTGGTAAGACTTCCAGTCAACAGCAGACTATTACCAGTTAAGTTTTGGAGGAGTGAAAATGTTATACATAGATTTTTGACTGCACAGGAGGTTGGTGCCCCTAACACCCCTCTTGTTCAAGGGACAACTATATATAGTATTATAATTTTCAACATATTGATTTTGTAACCAGGTAACATACTGAATTTTCTTATGGTTTCTTATTCTTCTGAATCAATTCCTTTGGGTTTTCTAATTAGGTGATCACTTTATTTTCAAATAGTAATGATTTTGCTTCTTCTTTCCAATGTTTATAACTTTCTTTTATTTTTCCTTTTTAGTGTTATTAGCTAGATATATTAGTTTTCTATTGTTATGTGGCAAATTGCCACAAGCATAGCAGGTTCAAACAGCTCAACCTTATTATTTCAGAGTTTCTAAGGGTTGGGACTCTGGAGTGTTTTAATTGGGTCCTGTCCTCAGGGTCTGCAGGCTGAAATCCTGGTGAGGCTGGAAGCATCTTCATCCAAAAGCTTTACGAGGGAAAGATCCACTTCCAAACTCCTTCAGGTTGTTGGCAGAATTCATTTTGGGGGTTGTGTGACTCAGCCCTGCTTCCTTGCAAGCTGTGGGTGGGGAAGCTCTCAGCTCTTAGAGGCATCTCACCACATGGCAGCCCACTTCTTCAAGGCCAGCAGCACAACTTCTTACACCTCAAATTGGGACTTCACCAAGGGCCCAGAACCAAAGGTCTTGCCTGATTAGGTCAGGCACACCCAAGAGAACTTCCCTTTTGATGAACTCAACAGCAAACTGATTTGGGACCTCCCATCCACCATTGTCAGGCAGCGTAACCTAATCACATACATATTCACAGTCCCACCCACGGCCCAAGGGAGAGGATTACACAGGGCAGGTACACCAGGGAGTGGGGACCTTGGGGGCCATCTCATAATTCTGCATACCACACGAGTACTTTCAGAATCATTTTGTTTTATTTTATTTTATTTTTGAGACGGAGTCTCGCTCTGTCACCCAGGCTGGAGTGCAGTGGCGTGATCTTGGCTCATTGCAACCTCCGTTTCCCGGGTTCCAGTGATTCTCCTGCCTCAGCCTCCCGAGTAGCTGAGACTATAGCCATGTGCCACCACACTCAGCTGATTTTTGTATTTTTAGTAGAGACAGGATTTTACCATGTTGGCCAGGCTGGTCTAGGACTCCTGACCTCAAGTGATCCGCTAGCCTCGGCCTCCCAAAGTGCTGGCATTACAGGTGTGAGCCACTGCCCCCAGCCCTAAGAGTTCTTTTTTAAAAGAGAGGATGGAGATCAAATTCTATTGGACGTCTTCCATGCATCTACTGAATGAAAGAATTTTTCATTTTCGTCACATTAATATGCAGAACCATCTTTTCATTCCTGACGTGAACCCCCATGTTCTTCATTCTTTTAAATGTACTGCTGAATTCTGTTTTCTAACCTTTTATTTAAAAATGATGTACCAGTAAAATTATCATTTTAATGCACTGTCCTATGAGTTTTTGGCATTTAAATTTGTGTGTTTATATCTAGTATGTGTAGTAGATGAGGAATGCTAAGTTTTTGAGTCTCTGTCTTTCATGTTTGGTTTTGTTTGGATGTTGGCCCTTGAAGTCAGGGAGAACCTGCTTTGTGAGGGGAGGGAATAACTTAATGTAACTTTTGCCAAATAAATAATGAGGGGGAAGGAGTTAAATATCTGAAAGAGTCCAACAATGCCTGATACATGGGGGAAATTCATTAAATATTGATCCAGCACAGGAAAAATAAAATAAAAACAATGTACTTCTGTTTAAAAGCCACTGGTCTGTTCCTTATTTTTGTGATATTTTACAGGTTTGTGATTGTTACACTGACCTTTATAAAGACAATTTGGAAGTTCCCCCTTTTTTCCCTCTGTGCTCAGAAAAAATTTAAACAGCTTTGGAAATCTTCATACGTAGAAGTTTTTGAAGACTTTGCCTACAGCTGTTTGAGCATATTTCCAATTTCTTGGTGTTTATGGGAACAGTTAGTGTTTTGGTCTTTTGGGGAATCAATTGTAGTAATTTAGCAAGTTATCTTTGTCATCCTGGGTTTTGAATTTATTTGCATAGAGCCCATGCTTTGTTTATTATACTTTTTGCCAGTTGACAGCATCGCACCTCTTAATGATGTACATTCTCTACAGCCCTGTAAGTGAGGACCACTGTTCTTTCTAACCACTGCTAGCTTGACAGGCAGCAAGGGACCTCTTATTCCACTTTGCATTTTATTGATTACTTACTTATAAGGTGTTTTTCTGAGTAAATTTTTTTTTCCTTTTTTTAAGATGGAGTCTCACTCTGTCGCCCAGGCTGGAGTGCAGTGGCACAATCTCGGCTCACGGCAACCTCTGCCTCCTGGGTTCAAGACATTCTCCTACCTCAGCCTCCTGAGTAGCTGGGACTACAGGCACATACCACCATGTCTGGCTAATTGTTTGTATTTTTAGTGGAGACAGGTTTCACCATGTTGGCCAGGCTGTCCTCGAGCTCCTGACCTCAAGTGATCTGCCCACCTCGGCCTCCCAAAGTGTTGAGATTACAGGTGTGAGCCACCCACTGTGCCTGGCCTCTCAGTAAATTTTTTTGAGGAGCAGTTGCCTTTCTGTGAGTTTTAGCCAGTAACCTGGGTGGTTAATTATTTACATTTAATATTTTAATCATCTTGTAATGTATTTTGGTTTGTGGGAGGGAACTAATTTTAATTTCTCTATCTGCTTATTTATTTACATTTAACAATTATCCCAGAACCATTTATTGAATAGCCTTTTCCCCCATCAGTTACTATGTCACTCCTTGTATAACTGAATTATATAAATTAAATTGTAAAAACTAATTTAATGTGTTCACATGCAAAAAAAATGAAGTTGGACCCTTAACTAACATCCTATACAAAAATTAACTCAAAATGGATTAAAGACCTAAACATAAGAGCTAAAGTTATAAAACTCTTAGAAGGAAGCTTAGGGGAAAAGCTTTACAACCCTGGGCTTGGCAGTGATTTCTTGGATATGATGCCAAAGGCATAAGCAACAAAAGAAAAGTGGCAAACTGGACTTCATCAAAATTAAAAACTTGTGCATCAAAGGACACTATTAAGAGAGTAAACAGGCAACCCACAGAATGGGAAAAAGTACTGGAAAATCACATATTTCATCAGAAATTATTATCCAGAACATATAGAAAACTCCTAAAACTCAATAACAAAAAAGTAAAGAACACAATTCAAAAATGGGCAAAGGATTTTTGGCAACATGGATGAACCCAGAGGACATTATGCTAAGTGAAATTAGCCAGACACAGAAAGATGAATACTGAATAATCTCACTTGTCCGTAGACTCTAAAAAAAAAAAGTCAAACTCATGGTAACAGAGAGGAGAAGCGTAGTTGCCCGGGGCTGGGGGAGAGAGGGGAAAGGGGAGATGTTGGTCAAAGGGTATAAACTTTCAGTTATAAAAGAAATACATTCTGGAGACGTAATGTACAGCATAGTGACTATACTTAATAATAATGTGCTGTATATTTGAAATTTTCTGAAAGAGACTTCATATGTTCTTATCAAACACTCAGAAGAAATGGTAACTAGTGAGGTGATGGATATGGTTAGCTTGATTGTGGTAATCATTTCACAGTATATGTATACCAGAATCATGTTGTACATTTTATATACAGTTTTTATTTGTCAGTCATACCTCAATAAAGCTGGGAGGAAAGCTTCAAAGATAGGCAAAAGGCTTGACTAGGCCTTTCTCCACAGAAGAGATACAGATGGCTAATAAGCACATGAAAACATGCTCAACATCACTAATCCTTAAGGAGATGCAAATCAAAATCACAACAATGGCTGGCGTGGTGGCTCACACCTGTAATCCCAGCACTTTTCGAGGCCCAGGCAGGAGGATCGTTGGCACCCAAGAGTTCAAGACCAGCCTGGGCAACGTGGCGAAACCCCCATCTCTTGAGAAAAAAAAATACGAAAACTAGCTGGGTGTGGTGGCATGCACCTGTAGTCCCAACTACTCGGGAGGCTGAGCAGGGAGGATTGCTTGAGCCCAGGAGGTTGAAAGTGCAGTGAGCTGTGATCACGTCACTGCACTCCAGCCTAGGTGAGAGTGAGACCCTGTCTCAAAAAAAAAAAAAGAAAGAAAAAAGAGAAAAAATCAAAATGACTACCACTTCCTACCCATCAGAATGGCTATTATAAAAATAATAGCCATATGGTAATTCTATTTGTAATTATTGAGGAGGTTTATACTGTTTTCCACTCTGTATTATTACAAATAGAATTACCATATTTCACTTCTGGGTACATACCCAAAAGAATTGAAAGAAGGGTCTCAAAGACATATTTGCACACCTGTGTTCATAGAAGCATTATCCTCATAGCTAAAAGGTGGAAGCAACCCAAGCATCCATCTGTAGACGAGTGGCTCAACAGAATGAGGTCTATACGTACAGAATACTATTAGACTTACAAAGGAAGGAGAGGCCAGGCGCGGTGGCTCAGGCCTGTAATCCCAGCACTTTGGGAGGCCGAGGCGGGCGGATCACGAGATCAGGAGATCGAGACCATCCTGGCTAACATGGTGAAACCCCGTCTCTACTAAAAATACAAAAAAAAGTAGCCGGGCGTGGTGGTGGGCGCCTGTAGCCCAGCTACTCAGGAGGCTAAGGCAGGAGAATGGCATGAACCCAGGAGGCAGAGCTTGCAGTGAGCTGAGATCACACCACTGCACTCCGGCGTGGGCGACAGAACAAAACTGTCTCAAAAAAAAAAAAAAAAAAAAAAAAAGAGATTCTGACACATGCTACATATGGATGAACCTTGAAACCATTATCCTAAGTGATAGAAGCCTGTCACAAAAGGATAAAACTATGATTCCACTCATATAGAGACAGAAAGAAGAATGGTGGTTGTCAGGGGCTAGAGTGGGGGAGGGAATGGGGAATCGGTGTAAATTAATGGATACAAAGTTTTAATTTTGCAAGATGAAAGGTTTTCTGGAGATGGATGAGGGGAATGTTTGCACAAGGTGAATGGACTTAATGCTACTGAGTGTACACTTAAAAATGGTTAAATGGTAAATTTTATGTATGTACATTTTACCACAATCTAAAAAACAAATAATTTTTTAAAACCCTAATATATGCCTAAGTCTCTTTCTGGACATTATATTCTGTTCTTTACAGGTCTGTTTGTTCTTGAGCCACTTATAACTATTGTGGCTTTCTAAACTGTTTTTGTTCCTGGGAATTTTTAACTTAAAATAATGAAGGGATGAAAATTGTGTCCAGTAATACATAAACCTCTTTCCCTCCACATAGTTCAATGACATTGTTTCTTCTCTACTATCTGAAGGAAAAATTTTTCCTTCAGATAAATTTTTGAATCATTTTGTCAACCTTCAAAGAATCCCATTGGGATTTTGATAGAGATTTCACTAAATTAATTTATGAATATAGAGAAATTAACATTTTTATTATCTTTAGGTTTCCTCATTTGGGAACATGGTATATACGTCCATTTACTAAAAATCTTCCTTCCTATGTCTCAGTAGAGTCTTGTAGTTGCCTTTTAAAAAACCTTATACATTCATCATGAAGTTAATTCTTGGATAGTTTTTAATTTTTTTGCTTTTGTGAATGGAATCCTTGTCTTACAGTTTCTTACCAGCATGTAGGAAAGCTACTGAATTAGAAAGGCTTTGGATGGGAGTAATATTTTTTTCCAGGGGAAAATGGAGGGAAAGAATAATTTGGGATAACATTTTGTTTTTTTGAAAGTAAAGTGATTTGAGAAATATAGTTGCTGGGGCTAAAAGAGTAAATAAATAATAGGATATGTGGAATACTTTGGAATTTATAAAGAATTTTATTAGCTAAATAAAGTTTCATATTTTGATAACTTATAACATTTGTTAATTTAAAAAAAAATAAAAGTAGCCTCTATTCATTGCTTTATTGGTGTATTTATGGGACCAATAAAAACACCAGGAATGGGGGATTTCCTTCTGATTCTGGCATTTTGGCTGAGTAGGCACTTTGAAGGATGCTTCTCCTATAGAACAACTATACACTGCAAAAGACATGCTCCTTGATGCATTGCAGATCATCAAGGTCCACTGCCCTACTCCCAAACAAATAAATAATGAACTGAGGCCAGAGTGGCAGGTGGCTGGAGTCACAATGACAGGGAGCAGCGTCAGGCGGTATGTGGCTGGAGAAGGGACTTGCCCTGAGCATGAGTGTCCACCATAGCACTGCGGCTGAGCCTGGTGCCCACTGCAAGGTAGGGGCTTGGCCTGGGATTTCTACTGTGCTGTGAGCTGAGGCCCTTGAGCATCACAGTGTTTCCAAATCCTGGGTGCATTCCTGTTACTGGCAGAACTATGCCTCTCTAGGGAAAAGTTTTCCAACTTGGCTCCACAGAAGTTCACTGATGAACAGCAAGCAATGCATGCACAGTCAAACACTTCCAAGCGCTCAAGCATCAAAGAAAGCAAATCACAATGAGACAACAAAGGGCAAACTTTGATACCCTCCTGGGACAACATGTCTTGGAATCTAGAACATTAGTGTATGAAACATTTAAAGAAATTATCAACACAGTCATATAGATGAGCACACAACAAGGAACTATTTGAAATAAATAGTTACATTTGGAAATAAAAGAATTTCTAGATATTGAGATATAATCACTGAACTTTTCTAAACAAGTGCAGTTATATAGTTCAACAGCTGATTAGACACAGTGCAGAGACAATTGATGATCTGGAAGACACAGCTAAAGAAAGTAACCAGAATGAAGTCATGAATGACATGTGTGGGGAATATGTGGAAGAAAAACTAAGACATTTGGAGGATGGAATGTGAAGGACAAACATACAGCTACTGGAGTCCCTGGCAAAGAGAATAGCGAAGATACAATATCTGAAGAGATATTAGCTACAAAATTTCCAGAACGAATGAAAAATATAAATTCACAGATTCAGTAGCACAGTATCTCTCAAAGAAGATTAAAAAGAAATCCACACCTAACATACCAGGCAAAAAGTTCAGAATACTAAAGGCAAGGAGATGATCTCAAAAGTCTTTAGAGAATGAGGACAGCTGACTTGGCTGCAACAATGGCAGTCAGAAAACAGTGGAATAATAGTTTCAAACTGTTGAGAGATGCAACTGTCAACCTAGGGTGTTTCCAGCGTAACTATTTTTCAAGCATCAAGGCGAACGAAGTAAGCTATTTACAGATAAACCAAAAACGGGAGTTTATCACCAAAAAATCTGCTCTAAAGGAACTTTAATCGGGGTCGGGGGTGGGGGGGGTCATAACTTTTGTCATGACAATCTAGTGAAGCCTGTGGATCCCTTCTCAGAATAAGGTTTTTAAAAGCATGAAATAAAACTATTACAGGCCGGGCACAGTGGCTCACGCCTGTAATCCCTGCACTTTGGGAGGCCGAGGCGGGTGGATCACAAGGTCAGGAGATCGAGACCATCCTGGCTAACATGGTGAAACCCCTTCTCCACTAAAAAATACAAAAAAAGGCCGGGCACAGTGGCTCACGCCTGTAATTCCAACACTTTGGGAGGCTGAGGCGGGCAGATCACGAGGTCAGGAGATCGAGACCATCCTGGCTAACACAGTGAAACCCTGTCTCTACTAAAAAATAGGAAAAAAAATTAGCCAGGCATGGTGGCAGGCACCTGTAGTCCCAGCTACTTGGGAGGCTGAGGCAGGAGAATGGCGTGAACCCGGGAGGCGGAGCTTGCGGTGAGCCGAGCTCGTGTCACTGCACTCCAGCCTGGGCGATAGAGCCAGACTCTGTCTCAAAACAACAACAGCAACAAAAAACAAAACCAAAAAAACTATTACAAAGGAAACAAATTATTTTGAAATTTTTAAACTAAAAATATTTTAAAATGTATTATAATAATATATGTGCTACCTAATAACCCACTAAGTAACAAAATCCAGCAGCTACCCTAATGTCAGAGTAGATACCCGTAAGAGGAGGCAGCATCTTACAGGGCAGGCCCTGGACAAATGAGTTTGTTACCAAGCACTTAAGAGAGAATGTGCATCAAAGAAGCATGCATTGCATCAGAACAGACCATGGTGTATTTCACCTTTCAGTATCTTTTGACTCATGAGTTATTTAGAATATTTTAAAACACTTCAACACTAAGGAGTTTTTTCTCTTTCATGAGGTGATCTTTGTCATCAATTTATAGTTTTGCTTCTGCTTGAGAAGATAATGAAAGCTGCAGAGTTCTTTTTCTATCAGTAGGTTGAGAAGAAAGGTAACTTTTCTCAGGGACATTATGAGTGTGATGTGTTGGTGCAGCCCCTGAAGGGAAATGGTGTGGAGGATGTTTGGACCACAGCCTGGGATGAAAGGCTGGGAGAGGGAATGGTGAGTTGGAAGTTGCCCTAAGGAGAGGGGGCAGAAAGCATGGACAGGGTGGGGGTAGCAATGAGTGTGTCCTCAAAGGTAGAGACAGATGGTAGAGGCCTGCATGCCTCGTGAGCCTTCTGTGGCCCCAGCAAGACTCAGAGAAAGAAAGCCACACCCAAAGCAAGGAGAATTGACGGAGGGTGAAGTAGGAAGATCAGCTGCTCCAGGAGGCTGTAGGAGGAATATTGCACAGAGCTGCAGTCCAGGAGGTTTGGAAGATGGGGGGTTGGTGGACTCAGAATATTATTTGCTCTGTTTTTGCAACAATTCTTTCCACACACAGTGAATGCTGGCTTCTTAGTGGTAAATTGATATCTCTGTAGCTATTGGGCACCCATCTGCCATATGTTTCATGAAAGTAATTTACTTGGCTTTCAAGACTGCGTTCTAGAAGGACTTGCTTCACTATCAGTTGCCTTTGGACCAGACTTTATGATCTGAAGAACATTCTTGATTTTAGGAAGTAAAAGAACTTTTCAGTGTTAGAGGACAAGATTTAAAGAGCTAATTTATTCCAGACCTCTGTGTCCAGGCAGGGTACCAATCAAATGGGCAGGTCTTTGACTCTAAGGATGCCATTATTTCCCGGCAGCCTGTTATCCCTTGTCATCAGCCTCAACAGCAGGAAGTTCTGTCTCTGTTCTGATTTTATCTCTTGCCTCTATTAGGCTGGGTGGGGAAGTGGAGAAAAGAGCGAGTTGGCGTCCTTGTGACAACTCATGGTGCTCGCAAGGTTCGGCCTCCTCTCCTTGAGCAATATCATGCCTTTTCCAATCTATTTGGCTTTTTTTCCACAGCTATTTAATTCTATGTTACTCTTCCCCAACCCTCTTCGTTTTCTCCATATTCTTTGTGAACTGTGGACTCTGAATAATGATACCTGTAAATTAAACGGGATGAAGGTTTCATGATGCGGTAATTTCATGGCTAACTAGATTCATGACCCTTTTTCTCATGAGAGTGGTGCAAAATCAACCTACAGGATTACTGACATGTCAGAATGTGCAACATAATCCTTGCTGGTAGCTGGAATTGAGCAAAAACAGTTCAAGATCCGATGGTTTCAGAGCAGAGGCTCTGAGCTGCTTTTACATCAACCGCCCTTGGTCTCCAGTGGGCCAGAGCTGGCCTCTCCAGGGAGGAGGCACACCAGCACCTGGGCCGTGAAAAGCCTCCCTCAAGCCATTCTGCAGGCCCTCCGTCATTAGGGTTAAGCCTCCTCTCCCTGAGCAATATCATGCCTTTCCCAATCTATTTGGCCTTCGTATTTGGACCTGTGTCAGTGTTTCCGGTATCAGGGAGGGGTGGGGGGAGTGAAGTCTGTGCTGCCCCTCCTGGAGAGGTCTGGGGAGAAAGCAGATGTTTTGAAAAAATGATCCAGTGTCCCACTCCCGAAGAAACAAATAAACAAATAATGAATTGAGGCCAGAGTGGCAGGTGGCTGGAGTCACAATGACAGGGAGCAGCGTCAGGCGGCATGTGGCTGGAGAAGGGACTTGCCCTGAGCATGAGTGTCCACCATAGCACTGTGGCTGAGCCTGATGCCCACGGCAAGGTAGGGGCTTGGCCTGGGATTTCTACTGTGCTGTGAGCTGAGGCCCTCGAGCATCACAGTGTTTCCAAATCCTGGGTGCATTCCTGTTACTGGCAGAACTATACCTTTCTAGGGAAAAGTTTTCCAACTTGGCTCCACAGAAGCTCACTGATGAACAGCAAGCAATGCATGCACAGTCAGTTCCAAGCGCTCAAGCATTGGTGTTGGGAGCTGTGTCAGTGTTTCCAGGATTGGGGAGGGGTGTGGGGAGGGAAGCCTGTGCTGCCCCTCCTGGAGAGGTCTGGGGAGAAAGCAGATGTTTTGGAACAACAATCCAGTGTCCCACTCCGGATGTCGTAGTGTCTTAGTCTACTTAGGCTGCCATAACGAAATAGCATAGACTAGGTGACCTAACAGAAATTTATTTTCTCGCAGTTTGTGAAGCTGGAAAGTCTGAAATCAGGGTGTCAGCAAGCTTGGTTTCTGGTGAGGGCTCCTTCCTGACTTGCATTCTTTTTTTTTTTTTCATAGTTCCTGAATATTTTAATTATTATTATTGTTTTTTTAAATTATACTTTAAGTTCTAGGGTACATGTGCACAACGTGCAGGTTTGTTACATATGTATACATGTGCCATGTTGGTGTGCTGCATCCATTAACTCGTCATTTACATTAGGTATATCTCCTAATGTTTTCCCTCCCCCCTCCCCCCACCCCACAACAGGCCCCGGTGTGTGATGTTCCCCTTCCTGTGTCCAAGTGTTCTCATTGTTCAATTCCCACCTATGAGTGAGAACATGCAGTGTTTGGTTTTTTGTCCTTGCGATAGTTTGCTGAGAATGATGGTTTCCAGCTTCATCCATGTCTCTACAAAGGACATGAACTCATCCTTTTTTATGGCTACATAGTATTCCATGTTGTATATGTGGCATATTTTCTTAATCCAGTCTATCATTGATGGACATTTGGGTTAGTTCCAAGTCTTTGCTATTGTGAATAGTGCTGCAATAAACGTGTGTGCATGTGTCTTTATAGCAGCATGATTTATAATCCTTTGGGTATATACCCAGTAATGGGATGTCTGGGTCAAATGGTATTTCTAGTTCTAGATCCCTGAGGAATTGCCACACTGTCTTCCACAATGGTTGAACTAGTTTACAGTCCCACAACAGTGTAAAAGTGTTCCTATTTCTCTACGTCCTCTCCGGCACCTGTTGTTTCCTGACTTTTTAATTATGGCCATTCTAACTGGTGTGAGATGGCATCTCATTGTGGTTTTGATTTGCATTTCTCTGATGGCCAGTGATGATGAGCATTTTTTCATGTGTCTGTTGGCTGCATAAATGTCTTTTGAGAAGTGTCTGTTCATACCCTTCACCCACTTGTTGATAGGGTTGTTTGTTTTTTTCTTGTAAATTTGTTTGAGTTCTTTGTAGATTCTGGATATGAGCCCTTTGGCAGATGAGTAGATTGCAAAAATTTTCTCCCATTCTGTAGGTTGCCTGTTCACTCTGATGGTAGTTTCTTTTGCTGTGCAGAAGCTCTTTAGTTTAATTAGATCCCATTTGTCAATTTTGGCTTTTGTTGCCATTGCTTTTGGTGTTTTAGACATGAAGTCCTTGCCGATGCCTATGTCCTGAATGGTATTGCCTAGGTTTTCTTCTAGGGTTTTTATGGTTTTAGGTCTAACATATAAGTCTTTAATCCATCTTGAATTAATTTTTGTATAAGGTATAAGGAAGGGATCCAGTTTCAGCTTTCTACGTATGGCTAGCCAGTTTTCCCAGCACCATTTTTAAATAGGGAATCCTTTCCCCATTTCTTGTTTTTGTCAGGTTTGTCAAAGATCAGATGGTTGTAGATGTGTGGTATTATTTCTGAGGGCTCTGTTCTGTTCCATTGGTCTGTATCTCTGTTTTGGTACCAGTACCATGCTGTTTTGGTTACTGTAGCCTTGTAGTATAGTTTGAAGTCAGGTAGTGTGATGCCTCCAGCTTTGTTCTTTTGGCTTAGGATTGACTTGGCAATGCAGGCTCTTTTTTGGTTCCATATGAACTTTAAAGTAGTTTTTTCCAATTCTGTGAAGAAAGTCATTGGTAGCTTGATGGGGATGGCATTGAATCTATAAATTACCTTCGGCATTATGTCCATTTTCACGATATTGATTCTTCCTATCCATGAGCATGGAATGTTCTTCCATTTGTTTGTATCCTCTTTTATTTCGTTGAGCAGTGGTTTGTAGTTGTCCTTGAAGAGGTCCTTCACATCCCTTGTAAGTTGGATTCCTAGGTATTTTATTCTCTTTGAATCAATTGTGAATGGGAGTTCACTCATGATTTGGCTCTCTTTTTGTCTGTTATTCAACATATGCAAATCAATAAATGTAATCCAGCATATAAACAGAACCAAAGACAAAAACCACATGATTATCTCAATAGATGCAGAAAAGGCCTTTGACAAAATTCAACAGCCCTTCATGCTAAAAACTCTCAATAAATTAGGTATTGATGTGATGTATCTCAAAATAATAAGAGCCATCTATGACAAACCCACAGCCAATATCATACTGAATGGGCAAAAACTGGAAGCATTCCCTTTGAAAACTGGCACAAGACAGGGATGCCCTCTCTCACCACTCCTATTCAACATAGTGTTGGAAGTTCTGGCCAGGGCAGTCAGGCAGGAGAAAGAAATAAAGGGTATTCAATTAGGAAAAGAGGAAGTCAAATTGTCCCTGTTTGCAAATGACATGATTGTATATTTAGAAAACCCCATGGTCTCAGCCCAAAATCTCCTTAAGCTGATAAGCAACTTCAGCAAAGTCTCAGGATACAAAATCAATGTGCAAAATTCACAAGCATTTTTATACACCAATAACTGACTTGCACTCTGAATGGTCTGCCTCATTGTGTGTGTGCGGAGAGCGTGAGAGCTCGCTTTCTCCTCGTGTAGAGCTACCAGTCCCATTGTGAAGGCGTCATCCTCATGACCCAGTCTAATCCTAATCACCTCCCAGAGGCCCCATCTCCAAATACCATTACATTGCGGGTTAGGGATTCAACATCTCCAATTGGGGGGTCACATACATTTAGTCCCTAACAATTGTTTTCTGTTGCTGTGTAGCAAATGACCATAAACTTTGCAGCTTGACACAACACTCACTTAATACCTCATAGTTTTCTTGGGTTAGG
Organism: Homo sapiens; assembly: GCF_000001405.40. NCBI lineage: Eukaryota > Metazoa > Chordata > Mammalia > Primates > Hominidae > Homo > Homo sapiens. The sequence goes on along the minus strand of NC_000015.10, from coordinate 29,386,490 downwards.
AGTCTGGACCTTGCTTAGTAGAGTTGAAACCGGAGGAGTTCCCTTATCCGCCTCACCGGGCGTGTGACAAGGGTGTGGTTCGCTTCTTCGGTGCCCCGCTGTTCAAACTCCAAGGGGGAACATGAAGATGGGTAGGTTTTGGGGAGTGTTTTGGGGCTCCATCTCCACGGCATCGTCTAGGGTTGAGTGTTTGCAGGTCCCAAAGCCTCAGTGGGTGTGTGTTACAGAGTGCTCTTTCAGTTTTGCCATCTGCAGGCAGCTTGTGTTAATCAGCTCAGTTAGACCCTCTGCCTTATCACAAGGACAGAGGGCTTTCTGTATCCTGGTTCTTGCCCTAGTGTACAGGAAAAATCAGATCACACATGGGCTTGGAGGATGGGTGCGAGGTTTAATTGAGTGGTGGAGGTAGCTCTCAGCGAAGTGGATGGGGAGCAAAACGGGGATGGAGTGGGAAGGTGTCTTCCCCTGGAGTCAGGCCGGCCAGTGGCTGGACTCTCCTCCGACTGCCCTCGACCAAATTCTGTGTCATCCCGCCGTCAGTGGCCTGCCAGTGTCTGCTGGTGTCTGTTGGTGTGCCCTTCTCCTCCTTTCAACATCCAGCTGCTTGTGTCCATGCCCACTATGGTCTCAGATTTTTATGGGCACAGGATGGGGGGCATGGGAGGCCAGAGTGGTCTTGGAAGATGCAACATTTGGGCATGAAAACAGGATTGCCCGTTCTCACTTAGGTCCATGGGCACAGGCCTGAGGGTGGAGCCCTCGCCAGGCACCCCACCCTTCTCTACCCAGCATTTCCTTGCCCCCCTCCCATAGAAGAGTCACCTGGCCAGGTTTCACAAGGCTGCAACCAGAGTGTTGCTGGGGCCATGTTATTTGAACATGTCCCTGGGGGAAGACCACAAGAGTGACAGCCCATCATATTCTTACTCAGGGGAGAGCATTCTGTAAGGCCAGGGGTCACCAGGGGTCATTTTAGAATTCTGCCTGCCACGCCAAGTTTAATGGCTTTATTCTTTTGCTTTGTGTAGGAGAATTTGATCCATTCCTAGTTGTAGTTATTAATGATACTTGGAAATGCACATTGTCTTCAGTGAGCAAGTCACCCGTGTTTGTTGAAAGTCAAATTCTGTGAGGGGATTTGTGGAATGATAGCTTTGCTTATGGGAATGGGGAAGGTCAAGAACTCTCCCTGTAGCTTAATAAGATAAAAGCAATATTAACTTCCTTCAGGCTTAGAAGTAGGTGGAGTAGTGGCTACGATTTGGAAGTTTTATGTACTTCCAGTGAAATTCCTGCTACAAGCGACTTAGTCACTGTAGAATTTTGATAGTTTAATACACTTCAGCTGAGAAGAGGTCAAGGCGTTCAATCTGAGTTTATTAAAGATGCCTGCAGGACTCTGGTGGTAGTTTGGGGATCTGATGGGCCCCCTGGGCTCTTGAATTCCTAGGCTCTTCGTGAGTGAGGAGGGTGGGGCCATGGTTGAAGAACGGGTAAGATTTCATCTGGTAGACATGGGAAGTAGAAGACGCCATTTTCTAGGGGATGTTTCTTCTCACCATCTGTCCAGGCTTAGTCTGCGTGAGGCCAGTGTTGGGGCGTGTGGAAAAATGGAAGACACTTTTTGGAAGTTTCATCCTAGGCAGATGGCAGAGTCAGAGCCAGAGCCCCGGAATGTGGCCCTCAACTTGAGGGATAAGAAGAGTCGGGGGCTGAGGCTGGGGCCGGGAGGGCTGGGGACAGGAAGGGAGTGCTGGAAGATGGGGGCTGTCTCGGAGGTTGGGTGTGGAGGGAAGACAGCCCACAGAGCTCTGTGGCTTGTAGGTGAGTCACACAGTGGCTGCTGTGCAGTTTCCTCCCTTGCCAGCCTCCCTGGAGGTGCCCAGAGTGGCCTGGACAGGAGTGGGGCCACCAAGGGAGGTGCCTCCAGTGCTGGAAAATCAGGGACCTAGCTTTGTGGTCTAAATTGTCAGGCCAGGGTGATGCGGTTTGTTTGGTGGAGGCATCCAGGATGGCTTCAGTGGGGAGGGAGGAGGTGGAGACAAGAGCGAGTGGACAAGGCTGTCATCGGGCAGGTGAAACAGGAGCGTGCCGGCAGAGGGCAGAGAGATGAACCGGGAAATGGAGGGTGCTGAGCAGAAGAATGGATCCTGCTTAGTGACGGAGTGGCCCCTGAACTATATACCATGAGCTCAAAACATGATGGCATTATGGTCAGAAATTTTGAATTCACAAAAAGAAGAAAGTGGGTGTGGAGGAGTGAAGTCAGGGTCTGAAATGTCAAACATGAAATGATGGTGAGAGCTCCGGCGGGAATGGTCATCTCCTTCCAAGAAAGGCCGGTGTCCTCTGACTGTGAAATGACATGGGAACATGGTGTGCCCACTGGGTTCAAATGTTGGGTACAGAAGGCAAGAGAGAGGTTTCAGGGGCATTTGGAAGGAGAGTTAGTGAGACACAGCCCCTGAGAGACACGAGAGACATTGGTCAAGGATTTCCCTAGGGCTGGAACTGGACTGCGAGGCAAGGAGCCTGGGTGGCATGGCCATGGGAGGGGACCCGGGCGGTGGGAAATGGCTGTAAATAATGTCTGTCGCCGGTAACTGTGTTTGGAGGACTTGTGAGCGTTGCAGAAAAAATACACGTGTGAGAGGCTTGGGAGCAGAGCCCTGGTGTGCGTGCTTTGGTTCATGTTTTTGTTGTTGTTTTGTTGTTTTGTGGCCAGATGTTTTTGATACTAGACTAGCATGGTGCAGGATGTGATAGTGGCTGCTGTGTCTGAGACCTGGTTCTGCCCCCTGTGGAGGTGGTTGAGGGTGAACTGCAGTCTGTGACCAAGGGTACCTTGTGAGTTTGTCAGCATCATGCCCTCCTCCCGGGTCTGGCCAGTGCTTTTGGAGTCTCAGGGGACATGCAGCCAAGCCCTTCCAGCCAGTGCCCGGATGCCTGGCTTGTGCCCACAGTGGCAAGCGTGAGCAATTTGTCTTCACAGGAGACCTGGTCTGCAAACACCTTCCTTTTAATTCGGCCTTCTCACATGCTGCCCTGTTGAGTGAGCCTTAGCCTCCTGTTCCTCCCTGGTTGGACATGGGGGTAAGGGAGAGGGAAAGATCTCCAGGATTTCGGCTTGAGTGACGGGGAAGAAGAGGTACTCTTGTGGAGAGCAGAGGTTGCAAGAGGAAGTGTGGGCTTCTGAGGTGGAGGCTGCAGCTGCATTTTTGGACATGTTGGGTTGGACAGATGCCAGGAGCAGAGCCTGTGGACGGTGTGATGCCGTGGCCATGGCAAAGCCCTGGGCTGAGAATCACCTGTGCAGATACCAGTGGATGGTACTCGAGGAGCCTCAGGACAGCCACCACAGAGCCCTGGGGAGAGGAGACAAAGGGCTCAGGAGACAGGTGTTGGGAAACCAGGAAGAGGTTGGGGAGAGGGAGGAGGCCAGGAGGGAGGCTGTGGAGGAGAGCGGCCCCTGGGAAGTGGGAAGAACCGCAGGGGAGTGAGAAGCCACAGGAGCCCAGATGGGAGGGAGCCTCAGCCCTCAGCCGGGTGATGGGGACCGAGCTTTGTCTGTCGCACTTGGTGACTGCTGGGGAACCTTGGGAGAAGTTTCCTTGGAGTTGTGGGGCTGAAGCCAGATAGATGGTAGTGGGTGGGAAGTGACTGTGTCTTCATGATCCATTGGCCCTTCCTGGACACCAGGAAATCAGGAATGTGGGGATCAGAGCCAGTGTCATCCTCAGGTTGCCTGGCCTCAGGAGGCCGCCTAGGAGACAGGCAGGCCAGGAGCTGGACACAGGGCTAAGCAGTGGTTCTTCTAAGGGACAGAAGTCACAGTGTATTCATGTGATCAGGACAGTAGGGAGGAGGCAGGAGAGAGGGGATGACTTCTGGTGAGACCCCAGGCAAGGTCAAGGGCAGGACTTGGCCTGGGAAAGGAGTGGGCTGCTTGGAGTCAGGGCCTAGAAAGTTCTGGAGCCTCATCAGAAGACACTGCCTATGTACGGGTGAGGTGGGAAGCTGTGATGAGTGAAGGGGAGGGGCTCGCAGGGGCTGGAGGGGAGAGAAGGGTGTGCATCAGGGGAGCCAAGTGTGTATAGGGCAGAAGGAGCCTGCAGGGTCTGCCATGCCCAGGGTCCATGCAACCATGGCAGGTGGCCAGGTGGCCCGTGGGTGGGGTTGCATTTGCCTTTTCCCCAAATAGTGTTCTCTGTGATTTTTTTTTTTTTTTTGAGATGGAGTCTCGCTCTGCCTCCCAGGCTGGAGTGCAGTGGTGTGATCTTGGCTCACTGCAACCTCTGCCTCCCAGGTTCAAGTGATTCTCGTGCCTCAGCCTCCCGAGTAGCTAGGAATACAAGCGTGTGCCTAGCACAGCCAAATCACATCGAGGACCAGGGTGGGGTGTTTCAGAAAGCCTGTCACTCTCGGGCCACCTAGTGCAGTGCACAAAGTGACCCCTCCATAGCACCCTGGTGCCCTGAGAGACCAATGTGCCTCTCAGAGTGGGTGCAAGCTGTGAAAATGCAGCTCATGGTAGCCCCGCCACTGTGTGTGTGCTGTGTTCCACACGTCCTTCTCCGGGTTGAAACGGTTCACAGTGTTTTGATTGCCCATGCAAGGTTTCGGAAGCATCTCACCTTCCTGTATCTTTTGTCCTTCCAGGTGCTGCTGTCGGGACTCATAGGTGTCGTCTCCTGGAAGAGGCCTCTCTCCCTTGTGGTAAGTGGCACCTGCGTCTCCAGGTGGCCTTGGAGCAGGGTTCCACCTTCAGATGCGTGAGCAGGTTGGAGGCAGTGGCGAAGAGAATTCCAACTTCTTTTCAGGCAGCGGGAAGCAGAGCTTGATAAAATCTCACTGCTGAATGCTGATGGGCTTGTGAGAAGCACTGTGTTTCTCATGGGAGGTGCTTCTGAGAGCGCTCCTCAGTGTCTTGCTGAGATGCTCCGAGGGCATCCTCTTTGTGTTTGTTTTGTTTTGCTGTCCTCCTGTAAGGACCGAGCGTGAACCAAGGGCTTTTTTTTTTTTTTTTTTTTTTTTTGAGACAGAGTCTCGCTCTGTCACCTAGCCTGGAGTGCAATGGCATGATCTCGGCTCACTGCAACCTCTGCCTCCCAGGTTCAAATGATTCTCTGCCTCAGCCTCCTGAATAGCTGGAATTACAGGTGCCTGCCACCATGCCCGGCTAATTTTTTTGTGTTTTTAGTAGAGATGGGGTTTCACCATCTTGGCCAGGCTGGTCTGGAACTCCTGAACTCGTGATCCACCCACCTTGGCCTCCCAAAGTGCTGGGATTACAGGCATGAGCCACTGCGCCTGGCCAACAAGGGCATTTTAAAAGTGTGGATGCGGCTTGGCGCAGCTGACGCCTGTAATCCCAGCACTTTGGGGTGCCGAGGCGGGCAGATAATGAGTCAGGAGCTCGAGACCAGCCTGGCCAACATGGTGAAACCCCATCTCTACTAAAATTAGAAAAATTAGCCGGGGAATGTTGGCGGGTGTCTGTAATCCCAGCTACTGGGGAGACTGAGGCAGGAGAATTGCTTGAACCCGGGAGGTAGAGGTTGCAGTGAGCCGAGATCGCGCCACACCACTGCACTCCAGCCTGGTGCAGAGAGAGAATCCATCTCAAAAAAAAAAAAAAAAAAGTGTGGATGCATGCATTTCATCTAGACATTAAAGCCTGTTTATGCACTATACATGCATATGTATGATCGCACAAGCAAAATATATGTTATCAGAGTTCAAGAAATGTTAGATTTTTGTGTTTTTGGGGGAACCCTAAAATTCTGTGAGTAAAATAAAAAGAGTTACTTGAATTGCCGTGGCATTGTGCTGAGGAGCAGGCCACGCGGGAGATGGAGAGAGGTTAATGGTTTTTCCCTCGGAAAAATGCCCTGAGCAGATTTGTGTCTATTGATTTGTATGCCTGTTCTTCTCAGTGTATGCATTAATATATGTATGTGTCTGTGTCAGGACTAGAGGAAGAGGTTTTCTGGGTTTTGATAGATAATGAAAAAGACAGCGTGGCATTTTTCTTCTTTTATATTAATCAATTATTTAAAATCTCCTCTTTAAGTGATTAGACTTGGAGATAATGACATGTAGTAAATATTAATGGGAATAGAAAAATAACCCACATTTGTCTATTAAAAACACCTCTTCCTTCATGAGAGTAACCATGACGCCCTGAAATGGTATCAGGGAAGACAGGAGTGGCCTTAGAGTCAGGTGAGGCTCCTCTTCTGCTGTATCTCGGCTCATATAAGGAATTTCCTTTTAGAAAAATATTTTTATTTAGAACTTTTCAAACATACGTAAAAGTAAACAGACTGCTGTCATGAACCCCTGTGTACTCCTCTTCTGGCTTCAACAGATGCCAACATCTGGCCCATCTTGTTTTGTCACTATCTCCCCACCCCCCACCTCCCCCCAGCCCCTTGCTGGATTATTTTGAAGCTGGCTCTTGGTGCCAAGGGGAAATGCAGTGAATAGGCTGACTGTGGGGTTGACATCCTCGGGGTATGCAGTGTGGTGACTGCGCTGCCTTCAGTGACATGGGGACAGCTGCCTCCTCACTCCACACCCACCTTCATGGTGCAGACAGATTAAGCTCTCTAAACAAAGGAAAAGCCGCCTTCCGCAGAGTGGGTGTGTGAATGAAAAGACAAGAGAGAAATGACGTCCATCACCCAATCACCCCCGCGCGCCACCCCCAGCCCTGGCCTCAGCATCAGGAATCTCACAGGGCTGGGCATTTTACCATGCAGGATGCATAAGCTTATAGCTGACGAGGAGTTAGGACCCCTTATGGTGGTGGCTGAGGAGTGTCCCAGGGAAGCCAGGGAAGCAGGCTGGGGTCTCAGGACTCATCCCAGTGGGGGGATGTAGCAGCAGCTGGACCTACAGGAGTAGAATGTTCAGAGTGCTCGCTCCCCAGCCCTGCCGCATAGTTGGAGCAGGGCCAGTCTGCTCTCTGGGAGGTGGTCAGCACTGACCTTCCATGGACTAATTTCTTCCCAAGCCCCAGGCAGAGGAGAAGGGGTTCATGTGGCTTGACTGACTTCCTTGCCTTATGTAGGGAGGTTAGGGTATCATTAGGGTGACACTAATTGCTGGAGCAACCTCCTGACTATCAGTGGCTCAGTTCAGGGCAAGGCTACCCTGGCCCCTGTCCAGGTCAGGCGTGGCCTGTGGCAGGCTTCACAGAGGGGCTCAGGGACCTGGCAAGTCAGTGAAAGGGAATAGAGAACAGAAAAGGAACCCTAGCAGTTTAATTTTCTTGGCCTGAAACTGACATTCATTGCTTGCCTTTCAAGCCATTCAGGAGAGCCTGTCATGAGGCCCATCTAGGAACCTGTGGCAGGCACTGCCTCTCTGGACAGGCACTTCCCAGAGGCAGTTCTGCACTGCAGACGGAAGTGTATGGATTTTGCTGGGTAGTTTTTTATCTGTACCATGAGAATGTTCTTCTGCTGTGTTGACCACAACAGTGCAATCTTTTGGTTCATTAGCAAAAACTCACTCTCTGAATCATGACCATTGAGATAGCCTCGGCTTTGGCTTTATGAGGAGTAAAGGCATTCACAATAGATGCAAGGAAAATCTACAATATAAAGTTCTATTAGGGTGCTTTAGAAAAACATAACCAATGGGAGATATACAGATATAGAGGCAGATATAGATAGATATACACACGCATACACAGATGTATATATATATCTAGGTTATAAATTTTATATATGTATGTATATGTATATAGACAGATTTATTTATTTTAAAGAATTGGCTCACGCAGTTGTGGGAACGGGCAATTCGAAAGTCTGCAGTGCTGGCCCGCAGGCTGGAGATGGAGGGAAGAGCTGAGGCTGCAGCTTTAGCCTGAAGGGAGGCAGCAGGTGGAATTCCCTCCTCCCTGTAGCAGGTCCGTCATTTTCTCTTCTTTCCACTGACTGGTTGCAGCCCACTACATTATGGAGGGTAATCTGCTTTGTTCAAGGTCTACTTAAAACTTAATCTCATCTACAAAAATACTTTCACAGCAACATCCAAACTAGTGTTTGACCACATATCTGGGTACTGTGGTCTAGCCGAGTTGACTAAGGAACCATCAGGAACCATCACCGCAGAGTTTTGGAAATGTGACCAAAGATGTTCTATCCAGAATAATACCAAAGAAAATACTGTAAACAATGATGGTAACCATTCATCGAGTGGGACCTGTATGTCCTTATCCTCACAACAGTCCTGGCAAGAGTAGGTTTTCCTACTCTTTTTTTTTTTTAAGAGTTTTTAAAGTTCAAAAGAGTTTTTTTAAAAAAGGTTTTTAAAGCGAGGCCAAGGCTTCCACACCTTAAGTAATGAGCTAGGACTTGAACCCAAACCTCTCTGACTCCCAAATCCTCCTTTGTTCCAGCCAACTGTAGTCTGTGTGGACATTATCTTTCTTCTCTAATTAGGTATCACATGACTTACATTCCTTCAACCTCATCTTCTTGTCCCTTTGTATTTTCTGTCTCAGTTGATGACACCACCGCCTACCCATTCTAGAAACTGGGGAGACACTCAGACATCCTTCTCCTTCCTCACCCATCATACTTATTCACAAGCTCTCTCCTTGTGGCTCATTTTTTTATTATTATTATTATTATTATTATTATTATTATTATTATTTTTGAGACAGAGTCTCACTCTGTTGCCCAGGCTGGAGGGCAATGGTACGATCTTGGCTCACTGCAACCTCTGCCACCCGGGTTCAAGCGATTCTCTTGCCTCAGCTGCCTGAGTAGCTGGGATTAAAGGTGTGCGCACCACGCCCAGCTAATTTTTGTATTTTCAGTAGAGACAGGGTTTCTCCATGTTGGTCAGGCTGGTCTCAAACTCCTGATCTCGTGATCCGCCCACCTTGGCCTCCCAAAGTGCTGGAATTACAGGTGTAAGCCACTGCGCCTGGCCGTGACTCATTTTATTTGTATGCAGCTGCCCCTGTCTTCTCTCTGCCTTGAGCCACCATTCTAGGGCAGGTCCTTGCCTGGCATCTCATATAGTAGCCTCCTAACAGATCTGTGTGCCAAAAAGCTGGCTCTTCTCCAATCCGTTCTCCACACACACACAGATGCCGTGGGTGGTATGTAAAGTGTCTGCCAGCCTGTGTCACTCCCCTTCGTTAAGCCCTTCATGGTTTCCCAGGGACCACAAAATGGAACTGAGGTTTTCCAGATGACGTGTGAGACCTTATGCAAGGAAAGGAAGACCTAGAAAGCAAAGTACCCTGCCCTGGGACTTAGCACTAGCATGACTTGAAGTCTTGATTTCAATGATTTTTAAAATAAAAGCTCCTGCTTTTATTGTCTGTGCTAATGATTTGTTTTTTTTTCTTCCTGGAGGTGTCAACTAAAGATGCAGCAGTGAGTTTTCTAGTTCATTCCCAGGGGGGCACACTGGCCTGCCCTCCCCCCAACTCCTTCCATAAACACCACACAGTCAGTTGCCCTCTCTGAAAGGGGCGTATCCCTCAGGATAGTGAGAAGAAGCAGTTTTGGGCCCACAGCTCCAAGGTCTTTGCAGCCACTCCATTCGCCCTGCAGGCCTGGCTGGCTGAGTACAGGCATGAGTGGCCCCTGCTGCTGGAGCGTTTTGGTGCTGCCATTGCTCTCCTGGCAGCAGCTTTCCTCTGCAGGGCTCCCAAGCACAAGGCCATCCGGAGCCCTGCTGCAGCTCCTTCTTTTCATCATTCTGCGCTTACAGACACACAGAGCGAGATGAAGGAGAGCTGTACAGTCCCTGCCGGAGTGACTGATGTGCGGGAGGGCAAAGAGAGGGGAGCAGCAGCTCACTGTGAGCACTCAGTGAGGGAGGCCTCCCTTTGTAGGCTGGCGAATGCAATGTCGGAGGGGAAGAAGGGAAATGCTGTGTGTGTGTGTGTGTGTGTGTGTGTGTGTGTGTTTACCATAGTGTTTTATAAGTGCCTTTCTAAATGCTGAAAACTAGCGACATGAATAAAGAATATGTATTTTCACATTACTGGGATAGTTTTTTTTTTAAATCTGTTCTTAGTGTCTTCTATGATTGAGATCATTGTCTTCCTTACATTAAACTATAACGGGTTCTATATTATGCTGGATGCCAATTAGAAATCAGATTATATAGCTCTGATTAGATGATTTTTTGAAAGATTCAGTGAACCATCTTGTGATGGCTTATGTATGAATAATGGAAACAGTCTCCCACAATCACAGGCGGTATAAGTTTTAAAACCTTGAGTACAGTAGCACTGAACTGGATATTAGATTATTCATAATAACTAATACTGTTGAGAAACTAATAACCATGGAGTTGAAAACATTTTTTAGAATTTATTTTTACCAATAACAAATTAGTTACAGTTTAGGACAGTTTTTTTTTTTAAAGCAAAGTAAATCTACTTTAAGAAGCACTAATCTATGGGAATATGAGTACCATATAGATCCAATAATGTGTTTAGTATTGTTTGCATTTTATATTACATTGTTTGAGGGATCTGGCTTTTTGCCTTACTCAGATGGTGGTTTATTTTTATTGCTAAGCTTTATCAACCCAGACAGAAACGTGTATCCATCACGGCTCAATCAGAGAAACAGGGCTTTTCAGAGCCAACACCAAAGATCTCGGTGAGCCAGTCTACTCTGATGGCTGCTTTGGCTCTCTGTGCTTCACAGTAACCACATCCACCATGCCTTTGGCAATTAAGAGCTGCCACCTGGCCCCTGCAACCCTGGGGTCTCATCATCTTCATTGCATTTAGGGACCCTAGTTAGATGGCAGCACAGAAATTCCAACTGTAATTTGTGGCCTCCAGGAAGAGTTCAGGGATGCTGAGGTTCCTCTCGCGTATTTATTTCTCATAACTGTAGAGAAAGGTGTGCCTCTGGATCCTCTGGGGATGGATTGCTGCAGCCTCCTGTTGTGAGAAGGTTTCTAGGCCACAGCACAGGAACCTGGGAAGAGCCTGGCAGTCCTGCTGAGTTAAGGAGGCTATACTGAGCCTGGGAGTCCAAGGTGGCTAGAATTTGCAGAACAAAGTGCCAGAGAGGAAAGACTTACTCAAGTAGAGGGTTCTGGAGATTTGGAGAGGAAGCCCTGTGAATATTCAGCTGCTACTGATCAGCTCTTGCATGTAGGTAGAGAAACTGAGGCCATGAAAGAACTATCTGAGAGGACTAGAGACAAAAGTGCCAGTCACAAAATTAGGGTTTTCCCACCATCCAGATTGGAAACCTCATGATTCACCTGGGCATTGTATACAGCATGCAGAAGAGTTTTACCTCAGTAGTGGAGAATAACTAGCCTTGAGCTAAATGCTGTTCCAGTTCTGCCTAACAGATATTAAAAGCAAGATCCAAAGGAATCAGATAGTTTCCAAGTAATTTACCTGTGTCCCAGAGCAAAGTTTGAGAACGTTCATAGGAATACAAAAGTATCCAGCACCAACTAGATAACATTCCTAATGTCTATCATCTAATCAAAGATTACAGTTATTAAAATTGTATGTTCCAAAAGTTAAGTAGACACATGGAGGTATAAAAAAAACCCAGTTGAACTTCTACTGATGAAAACTACAATGTAAGAGAGAAAAAAATTCACTGGATGAGATTAATGGCAGATTTGAGACAAGAAAAAAGATTAGTGGACTTACAGGCATTGCAATGCAATATACATTCTCCAAAATGAAGAACACAGAGAAAAAACATTTTTTCAACAAAAATATGGAAAAAAATCACAGAGCTTTGTGGAATAATTTCCAGAAACACTAATATATGTGGAATAAGGAGTGAGGGCAAACAGAAAAAATACTTGAAGAAATAGTAGTAATTTTTTTTCAAAATGGAATAAAAACTAGAAACCCACAGATTCAAGAAGCTGAATGCATGCAAAGAACCAAAAATAGGAAAAAAAAATGCACCAATGTATTGTGGGGTTTATAACATTTGAATAAGTAATTGTGTGAAAATACTGTAAAGGAGGGCGGATGGAACTATACAATGTAAGATTCTTAGACTATACTTGATGAAGTCTAATGTCACCTGAAGGTAAACTATGATAAATTAAAGTTGTATACTGTAAAGCTTAAAGCAACCACAAAATAAAACCAAAAACCCCAAAGAGTTGGCTAAGAAACCAACAAAGGAAATGGAATGGAATAATAAAAAATATCCAATTAATGCAAAAGAAGGCAGAAAACAGGAAAAAGGAAACAAAGAATAGATGGGACCGAAACGAAACAAAGAATAAGATTCCATTACCTATTTGAATTTCTTCCATGAATTGCTTGTACATATTTTTTCTGTGAGACTGTGTTACATTGATGTGTGAGATTTCTTTTTTTTAATTTTTAAACTCTAGTATATTAAATATTCATTGTTTTGAATTTAGCAAATGCATAAAAACACAAGACAATTTTTAAAAATCATCCCAGATCCCAACACTTAGAGATAGACAATTATATTTTGCTGTTTTGCCTTCCATTTTTCCCCATGCATACACAGATGCGTACATATTTTTATGAAAATTAGATTCATAGTGCACCTATTTTGTAACCTGCCTTTTTTTTTCTGCTTAGGAGTATTTCATGACTGTTGCTCCATTCACTAATATTTCTTAGTACAAACTGTTTTAAACAGTTGCATATTATTTTGTTGTGTGACTGTATTAACATGTAAGCAATTAGAAAGGGACATTTTAAAAATTGCAAGGAAAGAAGTTGTTTTCGAATACCCTTAAGCAATTTGAAAATAACCATTTAAATCCAAACAATTATATGATTCTTATTTGTCTACAAAAGAAGATTCAATAAAGCAACTCAAGTAGGAGACAATAAAAATAAAAATAAAAGAAAGCAAAATAAAAAAATAATAAAGAGAATGAAAAGAAAGCAAAACAGAAACACAACACAATCTTATAATTTTTCACATGAGGTCTATAGTTTAGTTTTTTGTTAACTCAAATGAATCTGCCTAGTGAGACTAAACTGGAGGAGCCTCCATGTTAGCATTTATCCTACAAGGACCCCAACTCAATCTACTCCAAACCCAAACTAATTTCTTTTTGCTCCCCTATCTCATTAGGAATGTTTCTCCCTTTCCTTCAGTTGCCTTATTCTAAAACCTAAACTCAGGTTCCCTTGGTTCCTTCCTCACCCCGACCTGATTCAATATATTGAACCAAATTATTAATATGTCATTTTCTTACCTTCTAGTCTTTCAAATCACTCCTCTCCTTCACTGTCACTGTCCCTCCTTGGAGGGGACCTCTCCTCATTTCCTTATTTTTATTTTTATTTTTTCTTTTTATTTTTCTTAAGATCATAATACTTTTCTGTTTTAAGTGACTAATATTTTATCCCAGTTTGTCTTGTCAGTTTGTTTGTCTTTTAATTTTTAACAAAGTGTCTTTTTAAAATATACACTGTAAAAGATCTCTCTTGGACCATAATTCTGAAATTATTCACCTGTTTATTTCTAAAATGTTTAATTTTTCTTTTTATGTTTAATTGAATCAAAGCTTATTTTTACATATGGTATGAAGACTCTAACTTTATCTTTTCCTAACGGATGACCATTTTCCCAATATTATTTTTTTTGAACGATTCAGTATTTCTCCTGCCATTTGAAATGTTTTCCACCACCTCACTGCTAGATATGGGTCTGTTTGTTAATCTTTATTTTGTGTAATGAATCTATCAGTTCATTTCTAAGACAACACTACATTGTTTTAACTAGTCCAGCTTTATAATAAGTCAAATGACTTATTTTCACATATTATTTGCTCTTCTGTGCATTCTTCAATAAATTTAGAATGAGTTTGTAAAGTTACACAGTGGCCATGATTTGATTTTGTGATTGCATTGATTTTATAGATTAATTCCTGGAAAATAATATCTATAATATTTAGAGATGGGGATATAGAGTTAACCCTTGAACAACATGGCAGTTAGGGGCACTGACCCCTCATGTAGTTGAAAATTTGCATATAATGTGTGACTCCTCAAAAACTTAACTACAAGTAAGCAACTGCCGACTGGAAGCCTTACTGATCACATAGTCAACTAACACATATTTTGTATGTTAGATGTATTATATGCTGTATTCTTACAATAAAGTAAGCTAGAGAAAAGAAAATATCATTTCAAAAAGTCCTAAGAAATAGAAAATGTATTTACTATTAATTAAGTGGAAGTGGACCATCATAAAGGCCTTCGTCCTCATCGTCATCAGTTGAGTAGGCTGAGGAGGAGGAGGAAGAGGAGGGGTTGGTCTTGCTGTCTCAGGGGTGGCAGAGGTAGAAGAAGATCCATGTGTAAGTGGACCTATGCAGTCCAAACCTGTGTTGTTCAAGAACCAACTGTATTTTCTGCCATAATTTCTGGAAAAATTATGTGTATTGATCTCATACTTGTTTATCACAGACCATAGTGAATTATTAAACTAGTTCTAGTTATTCGTCTATTGGATAGTTCAAGAAAAATTGTTGGGGAAATTTCTTCCATTAATTCTTTGATTGTATCTCTTTATCTATCTATCTATCTATCTATCTATCTATCTATCTATTTATTTATTTTTGCCTTCTCTTACTTGAATTCCTAGTGGATAGATGCTCTACCTTCTAAATTGATCCTATGGGATTCTTAACATTTTCTAATGTTTTCTTTCTCTTTTTCTTTACTTTCTGGGGCACTTCTATTTTATTTTCTAGATAACTACTTTGGATTTCAGCTGTATCCATTCTACTGTTTGATCATTCTGTTGAATTTTTTATTTTGACAGACAGTTATGTTATTTTCTAAGAACTGTGTTTTTCTCTAATTGCTTTTTTTCATAGCAATATGTTCACATTTTATGAAACACTCATTTAATGGGTGCAATCTCCTTCAAGTATATTAATTAGAATTCTGTTTATCAGATATTCTCACCTCCCCCCACAGGTTAACTGGTCTCTTTAATCATCTAGGTCATTATTTATGCTATTTTTTTCCCACTCAATATCAGGCCATCTTTCATTGTCCTATTTATATTTACAAAAGAAGGACTATGTTAATGAAGGTAGAAAGTTGGTGTTGTTGGATTAGTTGGTTTCGTGTGTGTGTGTGTGTGTGTGTGTGTGTGTGTGTGTTTGCGGGGGTGTGGTGGTATGGGAGGGTGGCACAGTTTACCTTTCCTAAACTCCACCCTAGTATGCGTGGTCCAGAATGTGAAGGCCATCTTTGAAAGTGGGAGCTCTGTTGTGCTGACTGGCAAGATCCACTTTAGTCTTCCTGGGGGATGAAGCAGGCTCAAGAGGGAAGAGCTGAGCTTATTTTCCACCAGGTAAAGCTGCCATTTGTCTCTTTCTTCCCCAACTTCAGTGTCCATTGTGAGGGTTCAGAGGTACCTCAAGTTGTGCCTGTCCTGGGCAAATGATGATGATGACAGATGATGATGATGATGATGATGACAACGACAGTAATGGCTAACATTTATAAGTGCCTTTCTAAATGCTGAAAACTAGCGACATGAATAAAGAATATGTATTTTCACATTACTGGGATAGTTTTTTTTTTAAATCTGTTCTTAGTGTCTTCTATGATGTGTTCCAGACACTCTTCCATGATGTGGGTACAGCAAGGTTCAGTCATGTTCAAGGTTTTTTGGAGCGAGTAAGAGGCAGAGCTCAGGTTGAAACCCAGGCTGTATGTTTCAGAGCCCATGCTCTCACACTCTAGGCCCGTGTCTCCTTATCCTGCCTGCACTTCAGAACACCTGGGGCACTTTAAGAAATGTTACTTCAGACTCACTATATCAGGATTTCTTGGCATAGGGCCGGGGTATCTATAGTTTTAGACTCTGTGGATCATTTCAATATGCAGCCAGGATAGAAAACCTGTGGCTTTCTAGGGTGCACTTGATCTCGGTTGCAGTCTTCCGGTTGTCAATAATTTAGGCAAATGACATTTCTCATTTTTCAGTATAGAGCTACCAGCTCAGCTGTTCAGAATGTTGTTCTTTGCTAATTCTTTGCTACTCTGGCACAATTGTTATGTACAAATATGTCTATAATTGTTCTGTATTCTTGAATGATTAAGCCTTTATCATTATAAAATGTCCTTATTTGTTTCTAGTAACAATTTTTGTCTTAAAGATGATTTTGTCTAATACTAGGATAGTTACTCAAACTTCTTTTGGTTAGCATTTGCACAGTATATTATTTTCTACTTTTTACTGACAAACTCTAGTGAATCTCTTATAGACAGTGTGTAATTGGATCATGTTTTTAAAATCCATTCTGAAATTTCTGCCTTTTAATTGGAGAGTTTAATTTTTTAATGTAATTGCTGATGAGGAATTATTATGTCTCCCAGTATGCTATTTGTTTTCTGTATGTCTTACCTTTTGTTGTATGTTGCCATAACAGAATATCTGAGATTGGGTAATTTATTTAAAAAAATAGGTTTATTTAGCTCATGGTTCTGCAGGCTGGGATGTTCAAGATTGGACAATCGCATCT
Source organism: Homo sapiens (assembly GCF_000001405.40). Lineage (NCBI taxonomy): Eukaryota > Metazoa > Chordata > Mammalia > Primates > Hominidae > Homo > Homo sapiens. The sequence goes on along the minus strand of NC_000015.10, from coordinate 29,369,978 downwards.
CCTGCTTCTGGTGAGGGCCTTGTGCTTCCTCCAAACATGGCAGATAAAGGGAAAGGCAAAAAGGGAAAAACGTGAGAGGCAACCTCATTTTATAACAATTAACTCTTATCAAAACTAATCCTTTCTGCAGAGAACTAACCCAGTCTTGTGAGAAAGACATTAATCCAACTTAAGTTAATCATTTCTTAAAGACACCACCTCCAAACACTGTTGCATTGGCAATTAAATTTCAACCTGAGTTTTGACTGGGACAAACCACATCCAAACCATAGCATCCATGTAGTTATCTTTAATCATGCTTTTTATGTCTATGTGAGTTTAATTTACTGTCTATCTAGTTTTGCACACGCTCGTGCACCTGGGTGTGTGTGTGTGTGTGTGTGTGTTTAATTTCAGCCTAAAAGACTTCCTTTACTATTTGTTTTAGGGCAGATTCCATAGAGACAAATTATCTCAGCATTGGCTTATCTGGTAATGTCTTGATTTTTTCTTCATTTTCGAGGGATAGTTTTGCTGGATATGAAATTCTTGGTTTACACTTTTTTTTTTCTTGCCATTTGCTCTGCCTCCTGTCCTGCATGTTTTCTAATGAGAAACTAGCTGTTAATCTTATTTGGACCCCTTGTATGTGGTAAGTCACTGATCTTTTGCCTTCAAGCTTCTCTCTTTGGCCTTGGCTTTTGACAGTTTGTTTATGATATGTCTAGGCATGGATCTCTTTGAGTTTATTCTACTCAGATTTCATTCAGCTTGGATGTGTAGATTGTTGTCTTTCATCAAATTTGGGAAGTCTTTGGCCATAGTTTCTTCAAAGGTATTTTCTGCCCTTTTCACTTTCTCTCCTCTCCTGTTGATATACTCCATTGCATGCACTTTGGTACACTTTATGATGGCTCACACACTTCTTAGGATCTGTTCATTTTTCTTCATTGTTTATTCTGCTGCTCAGGCTGGATAACCTCAATTAACCTATCTTTAGGTTAACTGATGACTCTTTCTTTGGTCTACTCAAATCTGCTCTTTAACCCCTATAGAGAGTTTTTTATTTGAGTTATCGTACTTTTCAATCTATAATTTCTATTTGGTTATTTTTTTTTTCAGACAGAGTCTTGTTCTGTCTCTCAGGCTAGAGTGCAGTGGTATGATCATAGCTCACTGCAGCTTTGAACTTTTGGGCCCAGGGGATTCTCCCTCCTGCCTCAGCCTCCTGAGTAGCTGAGATTACAGGTGAGTGCTACCACACCTGGCTAATTTTTGTGTATTTTTTTTGTTAATGATAGTATCTTGCTATGTTGCCCAGGCTGGTCTCAAACTCCTGGCCTCAAGCAGTCCTCCTGCCTCAGTCTCCCAAATTGCTGGGATTACAGGTATGAGCAACCATGCCCAGCCCTATTTGGTTCTTATAATTTCTATCTCTTCATTAATATTTTCTGTTTGGTGAGATATCATTGTCATCTTTTTCTTTAGTTCTTTAGACAGTTTGCTTTAGTTCTTTTAATACGTTTAAATAACTGATTTAAAGTCTTTGTCTTCTAAGTCCACCATGCCTTTCTCAGGGGTCATATATGTGTGTGTGTGTATGTGTGTATATATATGTGTGTGTATGAGATGTATATGTGAGCTAGATATATATATATATATTTTTTTTTTTGAGATGGAGTCTTAATCTGCTGCCCAGGCTGGAGTGCAGTGCCATGATCTCAGCTCACTGCAGCCTTGCCTCCTGGCAGAGTTCAAACAGTTCTCGTGCCTCAGCCTCCTGAGTAGCTGGAATTACAGGCATGTGCCACCATGCCCAGCTAATTTTTGTATTTTTGGTAGAGACGGAGTTTCACCATGTCAGCCAGACAGGTCTCAAACTCCTGACCTCAAGAGTGATCTCCCCACTTCAGCCTCCCAAAGTGCTGGGATTATAGGCATGAGCCACTGTGCCAGGCCAGGGATCACTTACATTGATTGCTTTTTTTTTTTTTTTTGCCTGAATATGGGCCATGCTTTCTTGTATCTTCATATTTCTCTTTTTTTTTTTTTGTTGAAAACTGGGCATTTTCACTAATATAATGTGGTGCCTCTAGAAAGCAAATTCTTCTTGTCCACTATAGTTTATTGTTGATGACTTTTCTGAATGAATTCTGTAAAGCCTATTCTTTGTCATGTGTGGCTACTGAATTGTCTACCAAGTTAGTTTAGGAGTTACCTAGTTATTGGACAGAGATTTCTTTAAATGCCTGGAGCCAGTACATCTCCCAGTCTTTGACAAGGGGGTCTGTGTGACTCTTGGGGCACACCTTCCACATTCTGCAAGGCAGTTGTCATCTGAGAGCTTAGAGCCTTCTCAGGGCTTTCCTGGGCATATGCACAGCGCTATGCATGCATGTGGCACTCTGTATTCCCAGAGATATATTGGGGCGTTTCAAAAGTGCTATGGGCATCTTATTCCCCAGGATTTTTTTTAAGTGTTTAGATTAATATATTGTTTGCCCCAACTATTATCTACTGATTAGGCAGCTGCAAAGTGAAAACACTTGCCTACAAATGTATTTGACAGTCACCCCCAGGGAAAAGACTGTTCACACTGGGTGAGCTCAGGGTCAGGTCAAATATAACTAGGTTTGTAAGTATGGTCTTCTAGGGAATCACCAGAATGGTCACATCATGAGAATTATTTGGGAATGGGACTTTGGAAAAGATCCAGCTTTGTTCCCTTCCCTCAAGTGGCTTCCAGGCTGCACCAGGCATGTGAGCTTTTATTTTTCAAGGGTACTGTAGAGATGAGGAATGGAGGATGGGACTAGGGCAAGCCAAAATGCCCCAAATCCTACTGTTCTTACCGAGATTCAGCTCTTCATCTTGAAGAAATGCTTCCAAGGTTGCTGCAGGCCTTTGGTTAATTTCCAGAGTTATGAGCAACTTGATTCTAACCATTTCATTCAGTTATTTTTTCCTCTTATGGAGGAGTGAATTTTTAGGTCTTTGCCACTTTTTCTGATGTCATCTCTCTCCAAATATCTTTAAAGGTCTTTAGCTAGCAAGATATTTAAAAAATAAATACATTGTATCCATCACTTGGCAATCTCCTTGCTGTCCTAAAATAGGAATCACTTGTTGTTCAAGGGTCTTATTTGAGAGGGGTGGAATACAGTTCTTAATCATCTTGGAGTGTTTTTCTACAGTAGCTTTTGCTGAATAGTTTTCTACTTTCCAGCCAGAGTATTTCTGGGGTTAAAAAGATTCTCCTTGTTGATACATGTAATGTGGGTGAATCTCAGAAGCAAATGGCTAAATAGAAGAAGCCAGACACAAAAGACTGCATACTGTATGATTCCATTTTTCTGAAATTCTAGTGATGGAGGAGAGATGAGTGGTCACCTGGCGCTGGGGTGTGGGAAGAGAATGGCTACAGGGAAGCACAAGGGAAACTCTGGGGACATGGAATGTTCTGTAGTTTAATTGCGGTGGTGCTTCCATGGCCATATGAGTTTATCAGGCTGTACTTTGTCAGGAACCGTGCATTTTAAATGGTTGGGTTTTCTTTTATGTAAATTATACTTCAATAAAGCTGATAAAAAAATCCTAGTTTAAATAATACATTAAATTTAATGAAGGTCGGATGCAGTGGCTCACGCCTGTAATCCCAGCAGTTTGGGAGGCCGAGGCGGGTGGATCACCTGAGACCAGGAGTTTGAGACCAGCCTGGCCAATATGGTGAAACCCTGTCTCTACTAAAAATACAAAAAATTAGCCAGGCCTGGTGGCATGAACCTGTAGTCCCAGCTACTCAGGAGGCTGAGGCAGGAGAATCGCTTGAACCTGGGAGGCGGAGGTTGCAGTGAATCAAGATCATGCTACTGCACTCCAGACTAGGTGACAGAGCAAGACTTCATCTCGAAAATAATAATAATAGTAATGACATAGAACAGTATTTATTAGCCAAAACAAAATAGGTTTTATCCCAGTAGGTGATAACGGAAGTCATCTAACAGTCCATGTCAATGGCTGTTAGATTTGGGTCTACATCAGAGCACAGGACACGTGTTTCAGCGTGAATGCTGGGTTCTGCTGCACCTTGATTCGGGGGGTTGCTGGGTGGTGCTGGGGCCCTGGCTTCTGAGTCTTTAACAAACAGAACCAACAAAGGTGTCGTCTTCTGGTGTGAGGGTACGGAAGATACCAAGTAAAGCGTGTTTAGGTTGCAGAAATGTCAGAAGCACCTTTATTAGATTCAGTTTTGTTTTTTTTTTCTGCAGACTTTTAAAGGACAAAGACAAATCAGAGCAGCCTTCAGAAATACTAAAAGCGGCTCTGTATTTTTTTTTATAATTTTTGGAAACTATATTCCCAGAGCAGTGGGGTAAAAAAAGCGCAACCTTGTTCTTTACTAGGTGAATGGATATGTAACTGTGGTACATTAGACAATAGAATATTAGTCAGTGCTAAAAAGAAATGAGCTTGTAATCCCAGCACTTTGGGAGCCGAGGCAGGTGGATCACTTGAGGTCAGGAGTTTGAGACTAGCCTGGCCAATGTGGTGAAATCCCATCTCTACTAAAAATACAAAAATTAGCTGGGCATGGTGGCGGGCACCTGTAATCCCAGCTATTTGGGAGGCTGAGATGGAAGGATCTCTTGAAATCAGGAGGTGGAGGTTGCAGTGAGCCGATTTCACACAACTGCACTCCAGCCTGGGCAACAGAGCAAGACTCTGTCCCAAAAAGAAAAAAAAAAAAAAGAAATGAGCTATTTAGCCATGAAAAGACATGGAAGAAACTTTGCATAATACAGTGTGAAAGAAGTCAATCTGAAAAGGCTATAGACTGTATAGTTCCAACCATATGACATTCTGGAAAAGGCAAAACTGTGGAGGCAGTAATAAGATAAGTGGTTGTCACAGGTTGGGAAAGAGGGATGAAGAGGTGGAACACAGAGGATTTTCAGGGCAGTGAAACTATTCTGTATAATATAATGGTGGATACAGGTCATTATGCATTTCTCCAAACCCATAGAATGTACAACACCAAGAGTGGACCCTAATGTAAACCATGGACTCTGAGTGATAATGGTGTGGCAATGTAGGTTCACCAGTTGTTAACAAATGCACCACTCTGCTGGCGGCTGGTGGTAGTGGCGGAGGCTGTGCCTCTGGGGAGGGAGGGAGTGTATGGGACTCTCTGTACCTTTTGCTAACTTTTGCTGTGAACCTAAAACTGTTCTAAAAATAAAGTCAACTAAAAAAATTTTAAATTAAAAAAAATTTTTAAAGGCATCACCCCCAAACCAGGATACATTCAGTTTATTTGAAATGACTAACAATAGGGAAAGGCATGATCTATCTCTGTCTCCCACACCAGTTATGACTCACAGCTTGCACTGTTATCCAAAACGGGAGTAAGTGTTCTGCCTTTCAGCTGGGTGAAGGAAGGCACTTAGACTGAAGCGTTTTACCGCAAGAGAGCTGAATGGAAGGACGTCACAGCAGAGAAATCCGACCATTTCTGTGTACCTTCCACAATAACAAGCGTGGTGGGAAACTGCTATATGCTGGGCCCTGTTCAGATAGATGCCTGCTGCACTTACTTCTTATGACACCCCAGTGAGACAACTCTGTTATCATCCTAGCCAAAAGAGAAGCTGAGGCACAGGGCAGGTGTGTGGCAGGCAAGTGGTGGGCAGGTTTCCAGCCCAGGCCAACTGGCTCTTAATCAGTGCCTTACCTGAGACCTTAAAATATAACCAAAAAAACCTCTTTCCATGCCTTAGTAAGGCATAATCCATTCCCCTCTGCAGCTCATCTTAAGACTTACTGCAGTACAACGTAAGACGTAGTAAAATACGTTTAGGTGCAATTAATTCTTTCATGGATTCCTTTTAATTAGAAGCTACAAAATAGAGGAAAGTTTTTTTCCTTCCATATTTCTTCTCTCAAAAAAAAGAGGGTTCCCAGGGTTTTGCATTTATCCTGCGGATGTTTGGGTGGTTCTTAGGTTATGGAGAGCAATTCTGGCCCTAATAAACCCAGGTGTGTGGCACCAAAAGCCCTGGTAGCTCTCCTGTTATCCTGGACACTAGTCAGAATATTTCTAGTCCTGTGGAGTTTGATTCATTGATGCTGTCCCCGGAGTGGTGGTAATAGGTGTCCGATAATTAGCCCTATTAGAGAAACCAGCCCTTACTTTATGCATAAGTATAAATGCTCGATTCTTGTCATAGCCCCAATTTTATTGGAAACTTATAGACAACTGTTGAAGAAAAATAGCTTTGATTGTCTTTCCATTCTAGTTGGATTCTCTTATTTTTGTTTTTCTCCACTGCAGTATTTAATGTAACATGCAGATATCAAGGAATTGGAAGTGTGTGATGAATGAACTTCAGCCTGGATTAGTGGTTTTTTTATTTCTCTCTCTTCATTGCTATGCTGATCATTTTTCAATGTAAGAAAGCTTAAAATCTTACGCTGCATATATTAACTTCTTTTCAAAAGTGTCTTTGAATTTTTGCACTTACAGAAATGTTTCCTGCTGTGCCCATCAGAAATTCAGTCCCAGTCACACTACAAAGTCATCTGTTTGCCATATTCTGTGGAAAAAAATTTATGAATCATCTTAACCTTTAATATGAGTTATAGAAAGCCTGCAAGGCTTTCTTTCGAAGCCATGAATTGAGCTCAAATATCACTTTATATGCTATTAAAAATATAGGTGAGTTAAAGGTTAATATTTTTAATGTAAATGTATTTGGAGTCATTATTTATTCGGAAAATTCATTATAAATCCACTTTGGGGATTTCTTACAGTCAAGGTCGTGACCTTTTTTTTTAAGAGAATGTATTTTGCTTGGTCACATTAAAGATGAAGCTTTCATTTATTAAGTGCAGAAGAAAAGAAGGAAGTAGGGTGAAAACATATTTGTACAGATCCTTAAAACAATGCAGAATTTTGCTGTGCTCATAAAGCAGCTTAAGTATCCCAACCTCCCACCTCGTTTATGAAAATGGACTAATACGCTTCTTTTAAATTTACTAACAGTATTAAATATCAGCAGGGAAAGATAGTCTAACCAGAAAAACGAGACTGAAACAGACTAAAGTATAACATAAGGAAACCACTCAAGACCAAGTGAAATTAAAAATAGTTGTTGATAAAATACTAATTTTTATTGAAACATGACAATTATTTTTATTTGCTTAAGTCACTTCACTTGGAAGTATAAACTCTTTTAATCCATCAGGCACATTTTTTATTGAAAATATATAAAAACTTAACTTTTTGCAAGTGACAGCGAGCTAGAATAGAAAGATGAAAAACAAGGGGCCGGACGCGGTGGCTCATGCCTGTAATCCTAGCACTTTGGGAGGCCGAGGCGGGCGTATTGCCTGAGCTCAGGAGTTCAAGACTAGCCTGGGTAACATGGTAAAACCCTTTCTCTACTAAAATACAAAAAATTAGCTGGGTGTGGCGGCGTGTGCCTCTAGTCCCAGCTACTCTGGAGGCTGAGGCAGGAGAATCTCTTGAACCCGGGAGGCGGAAGTTGCAGTGAGCCGAGATCGCGCCACTGCATTCTAGCCTGGGTGACAGAGCAAGACTCTGTCTCAAAAAAAAAAAAAAAAAAAAAAAAAGATTAAAAACAAGGTAGACAAAGATACCCAATAAGGTAATTATGTGCTCAAAAATCATAATTAAATGCATCATCTTGAATTCACCTGGAAACAATTGTAATCAACTTTTCCCTGATTGCTGCTTCTGACTGGCTGAGAAGCTTCTGAGAAAGAGTGAGTTATTCTCATAGCCCTGTCTGGGTAATGTTACTCTCTTCCTGTGAAGGTAGAGACTGAGTGGGTGGTAAGGTCTGTGGAACAGCACTGAGTGGGGGCCGTCTCTGGGAGCTCAGAAGCCCTGGGATGTGCCTCTGGATGGAGTCCCAGAGTCTGTGTGTTTCTTTATGGCTGGAGTGATTTTCCTGTGATCCGTGTCTGTTGGTTAATGTGCTGTGAAGTGAGTTGCATGTAGCTGGACCCCAAGACCATGATACATTTCTTGATTACAATAAACCACTTAGTATCCCCAGGTGTGGGCATCAGCAAAGCTTAAGGATGTTTCCAGAAGAGGGGAAGAATTTGTCCAGCTGCTGCTAATGGAGGCTTTGTTACATGTTTCCTGGGGTGCTTCCCCATTGGACCTGTAAGTGTCTAACCCTGGGCTGATTCTGTAACCTGCCTGGTCAGCAGTTCCTTGTTCTATCTGTCCTGGATACATAAAGGACACCATCAGCACACCGTGAGCACAGAGTGGTCGTCAGAATTGCCATGAGATGAGGCTCAGAGCCTGTTGTGCCGCAGTAATGAAATGCATTGCACAGGGCCCTGAGCCGTGCAATGACTTGGAAACTAAGAAGGTTAAGATATGGTATTTAGGTTTAGGTTCTAGGTGAGGTTATGATATGAGTTGGGGAAATAAAAATATCAATAAAATGTTAAAGATACATAAAGTTGTATAAGATAATGGGAGGAAATTGCTGCAAGTTAGAAATCGAGAAATGAATTTTGTATATAATTTTTATTTAGAAAGATAAGAGGAAACTGGTGCCTACCTGGTGCTTTTTATACATTGGCCCAAGACAAGTATTCACAGCTGCATTTGAAGAGCATGTCCTTTTCAAAGGGATTATGTACTTGGGTAGCATAATACAAGGGTAATTGCTAAAGCTTGGATGGAGGAGTCTAGGTGTGTCTGATTTCAGAGGGCATGCTCTTTTCATTGTGTCATGCTGCTTCCACTAAGGTTGAAGTAGGAGAAGACTGATTCAGACTGAATCTTACAGTGAGAATGGGATTCAGCCCAAATATTATTGGATGGGTGGAGTTTGGGCGGGTAGATCAGAGAGTAGACTCCTTGCAGGCCAGCAGAACAACCAAGACAAAATCCAGGAAGCAGGAAAAGCACCAGGTGCAGGGGTCCAGGAGTAAATCGAGCTGTAGAAAGTTTTGGGAGAAAGGGACAGCCGTGGTGGAGCCACCAACAGGTTGTTGAGTCTTCTCTCCAGCCTCAGAGTCATTCTCAGCCTGTGCTCCAGCACTCCTGGCTTCAGGAGATGGGTGACTGCCCCAAGGCGGCTCAGCCTGTCCAGGGAATAGCTTCTCGGAAGTGCTTCCTGGACATACTCTAGCATCTGGCTCTCAGACCAGAGGAGTGATAGGGACTCTTTTTGCCCCCACACTGAATAATCACCTGCTGCTATGTTCCAGGAGAGAGCAAGGCAGCTGTCAGGGTGAGAGGATCCTCGGTCTCCTGTTCCACGTGGTATAAGCAGGTACTCTGGTCAGCTGGAGTTGTCCAGGGAGGAGCTGTGCAGGGTGATGTGTCAACTGAGAGTGGGAGGTGCAGTGAGCAGTGACATACTTGATGTATGTTTTGCTATGTGAGGAATTTAATTCACTGTATTAATGATGAATATTGCAAATTTCATAATCTTGTTTGTACAGATATCAAAATTAATCTATAGTTCACAGGAAATGGAGGATCTCGTGTTCAGTCTGTTCTTGACAAGAATTGTCTGATGTCTACCTTAGAAATTCCTGCCTCCTCTAAAATGCCCCCCTTTCCTAATGGACTTCCTTTGCCCTGGGGTCTTCATGGTCTCCTAATAGAAAAAAGTCATTAAGAAAAAATCTAATATGCTGAGGTAGCTCTAATATAAGAAAAGTAATAAATGAAGTGTCACTAGATTCAAAATGCGTATTCTTTCAGAAAGAAGGCAATTACCGTTATAAAGATATAGCGTTAGAAAAAATTATTATAACTGTGAAGTATGTGATATGTCTGTCTGTGGCACAGTTAATTTAAAAAGTATTACCAAGCATACAAATAAATCATCAGAATAAAATGCTGAACCATACTAATTGAAAGTGAATTTAATATGCAATTCTGAGGAACTCTCTCTACGTACCCAGGTTTTAAAAAATTCTACCTTATAGGCTATTAGTTACCAGATTTTCTTTCAAACATCCACCCTCTTTTAATGAAGAATATTATTCATGAACCTTATCTTTGATTCCTGAATAATTTTATGATATACAATAAATAGTGGGATGAAGTTGAAACAATTTTATTTTACCCTGATTTTCATGTGTATTTAATCAAATTGCTGTAGATCTATGTTTCCTTGTCAAAATATAAAAATTCTGATTAGTAAGGGAAGGAAGACTCAAAGGTTTCAAATTTGTTTTGCTCTTTAGTTTGTGTGGTTCAACAATAGATAGAATAATTGATTGAAACTGGCTGAGCACAGTGGCTCACGCCTGTAATCCCAGCACCTTGGGAGGCTGAGGTGGGCAGATCACGAGGTCAGGAGATCAAGACCATCCTGGCCAACAGGGTGAAACCCCGCCTCTACTAAAAATACAAAAATTAGCTGGGTGTGGTGGTGCATGCCCCTATTCCCAGCTACTTGGGAGGCTGAGGCAGGAGAATTGCTTGAACCCGGGAGGCGGAGCTTGCAGTGAGCTGAAATCATGCCACTGTGCTCCAGCCTGGGGGACAGAGCAAGACTCCGTCTTGGGGTTCAGAAAAAAAGAAGTTTTAAAAATCATGACTTTCAGCAGTGACTTTTGGAGGAAGAAAGGAGTCTGCCTTTCTTAAACGTGTGATATCCTCACCAAAACACAGATCTTTACAGTTATGGTTTTCCTGATAAGTGAGTATAGATGTGTATTACAGAAAACCTGGAAAATGCAGGGAAACAGCTTAGAAAACACTCCTTCGTGTTCTGCCCTGGCCCACAGCTACTGTTAGCTTTTGCAGTTTTTTTCCATAACAGCTTTTTCCTACATGATCCATATTCATGTTCATATTCACTGCGGCTCTTTCTGTCACATTTTGCTCTGTTTGGATGTTGGGATATTACTGTTCATTCCCTGTAGATTATATCTTTTAATAATATAAAGTGGTCTTGTCTCAATTTAGTGTTTTATTGTCTTGAATTTGGCTTTGTTTAAATTAGAGCACTGGGCTTGCTTTCCTTTAGTTTGAATGTGCCTGATATCTTTGCCCATCAGTTTTTCTTTAATTTCTCTCTGACATTTTCTTTCAGGTACATATCTTATAGAAATCAAATTGTTTAAAATAAGGGATTGAGTTATTATGAAATCTCTTTACTTATTTAGGGATTGTTTCAGTCACTCTTTTTATCTTCTTGTTTTTACACGTTTCTTCGGCACTTCTGTCTTTTATTCTGGTTTTTTTTTCTGATAAATACCACGTTGAGAGTGCTTTACTTTATGTAAATATTTAGACTGTAGGAATCTAGCTTTTTTTTCTACTGACAGTTATGTTTAAAATGTATTTCATCTTTTCTGTTTTAAATTAGGAAATATTTATTAATAAAATATTATTAAACATGAAATATATGACACGTACAATGAAATTCATGTATTGCTATGAAGCAGGCAATTGAAGGCCCCACCAACCAGCACCAGAAGTGTAAGCTGCCCACTCCAGGACCCTCCTGTGGGCTCCTTCCCATCTGGTCTCCTGCCTGTCTTCAGAGCAGAGATTCAAGGTTCATCATTCTTTTACACATATGTACACATCCCTAAATAATGTACTGCTTACTTTTGCTTTTGAACTTTGTGTAAATGGAATTGCACTTTATGTTCTTTGATTACTTGCTTTTTTTCATTCACCATGATATTTGTTGATTCATACGTGTTCATGTGTAGCTCTACATCAATTATTTTGATTGTTGTTGCAGTCTTCCATGGTGTGAATAGATCACAATATGTTTGTCTGTTCTCCTTCAGTGGCTGCATGGGCCATGTATATAATATTTTGTTCCTGTGACCTGTGTTGCTGTGAATGTTTAAATGCCCGTCTCCTCAGGTACATAGGCATGGGTTCCTCCAGGGCACTCACTTGGACATGAAATTGCTGGGTCATGGGCAGTGTGATTGATGAAATGATGTCGCATGGTTTTCCCAAAGCAACTGTACTCATGTAGGTGCCCCAAGTGTTCCGCATTCTTCATGGCATGCCTTGAGAGGTTTGCCAGTCTGGTGAGTGTGCCACGGCATCTCCAGTCCCAGTTGGTGCTCTCCTTGTTCCTAATGAGATCAACCAGTTTTTTTTTTTTTTCTTTTCTTTTCTTTTCAGAGTCTCGCTCTCTTGCTCTGTCGCCCAGGCTGGAGTGCAGTGGCACGATCTCGGCTCACTGCAAGCTCCGCCTCCCGGGTTCATGCCATTCTCCTGCCTCAGCCTCCCGAGTAGCTGGGACTACAGGCGCCCGCCACCACGCCCGGCTAATTTTTTTGTATTTTTTAGTAGAGACGAGGTTTCACCATGTTAGGCAGGATGGTCTCGATCTCCCGACCTTGTGATCTGCCCGCCTCGGCCTCCCAAAGTGCTGGGATTACAGGCGTGAGCCACCACGCCTGGCTGAGATCAACCAGTTTTATGTTGTGTTTCTTCTTCTGTAATATGTGAGTTTGTGTGTTTTACCCATTTGTGTCATTTCTCTTTTTCTTACTAATTTATAAAAGTTATTTATACTATATCTTCTGGTGCTGATTTCTTGGTGGAATATGTGAAAATACCCCCTCCGAGGCTTTGACTTACCATGTCATTTTTCTTATGGTTATCTTTATTAATTTATTAATTCCTTCACTGGGGATACTTTCTGTGCATGTATGTGATTATCTTTTATTAAGAAATCCTTCCCTACCTCGAAGTTGTAAAAACATTTGCTTCTTTTTTTTTCTCCCCTACAGAATCAGAAGTGTTGCTTTTCACATTTAATCCTTTAATCTACTTGGAATTAAATTTTGTATATGCTGTGAGACAGGAATTCTCTTTTCTTCTTTTATGCGTGACCAATTGTAGTGGCACTAGAATCTGTTTTTTACCATGACCTGCAGTGCCCACTTTGTTGTAAATACACTTTCTGTATCTCTGTGTGTCTGTTTCTAGGCACTCAGTTCTGCCCCTTTGGTCTGCTTTGGTAGTTCCTGTACAACAAGATACCTGTGAGGAGGAAGGGCCCCCAGCTTTCTCTTCCCTCCAAAGGCATCTGGGCTTTTCTTGGCCCTTTGCTCTACCATGGAGACTTGAGAATCAGCTTGTTGGATTTTATGAAAGACTCCCTTATTGGGATGTTTATTGGAGTTGTGTTTTATCTGTGTATCATTTTAGGGAGAATTAACATCTGTGTGATCCTAAATGGCCTTGACCATGGAATACTATATCCCTCCATTTGTTTTGGTCTTTTCCAGAGTATTTCATTGGAGTTTTAAGATTTTTTCTGCAGAGGACTTGCATATCTTCTCATGCACTTATCCTTGGTACCTTATTTTTAACTTCTATATCAATATGTTTTTAAAAAATACATTTCAGGCCAGGCGCGGTGGCTCACTCCTGTAATCTCAGCACTTTGGGAGGCCGAGGCGGGCGGATCACGAGGTCAGGAGATCAAGACCATCCTGGCTAACACAGTGAAACCCCGTCTCTACTAAAAATATAAAAAATTAGCTGGGTGTGGTAGTGGTCGCCTGTGGTCCCAGCTACTCGGGAGGCGAGGTGGGAGAATGGCGTGAACCCAGGAGGCAGAGCCTGCAGTGAGCTGAGATCACGCCACTGCACTCCAGCCTGGGCGACAGAGCGAGACTCCGTCTCAAAAAAAAAAAAAAAAAAAAAAAAAAAATATATATATATATATATATATATATATACACACACACACATATATATACATTTCATATCTTCTTCACTTCTAGACCATCTTGTTGATTTTTCAAAAGTATCCTCAACCCTACATTTATCAAATTACCAAAACCAAAGATAAAAATCTTCTCATCCTCACATCCTCACATAGAACAAGATGCACTTGTTTTAAGAATAGAGTTCAATGAGCTTCAGCAAATGTAAGTCCCTGGGTGACCACCATCGCTATTGGAACAGAGAACATTGCCTCGTAGGTAAGTGATACTCCCAAAAAAAGTCAATTTTAACATCTTTTCCTTATGGAAAAATGAGTAAATTAGCATTTTTTATTCTGTGCATCTAAAACCCCCTTCACATTTTAATTTTACATAGGGAACTCAGGTTATAAAGCCTCCTCTTCGTGGGACCCCTTATTTAGCTCAGCCATTCCACTCTCCATCATTTGCTTACTATCTGACTTCAGCTCTCTTACGTTCTGAATTTTCATTCATCTCTTCACCATGGGGACATGGGTGATATATATTTCCCACAGTGTATAAATGAAAGTAGCCATCTGTTACTTTCAATGTAAGAGTAATTTGGTTAGATTCAGAATTCTTGAGCAATCAGTTTTTCTGGCATTAGCAATTTGAGGAAAGGTCTGAAGCCAGTGTAAGTTTCACTACATAATGAGAACAGAATGATTTGTTCTGGGCTCTTCTCTGGAAGCATGCATTATTAATCATTTAAATCTCAGCTTCTGATCCTCCAAGTGTGAGGTTTTTTTTTTTTATTTGTATCACTCTGTCCCTTTTTTGGCATTCTCATGAATGCTTCTCAAATTTAAACTTCATCTTTGGTTTTTAAGCTTAAAAAAAAAAAAGCCAATGGGACCTTTAAAAACTCAAATTACTGTCCAGAACCACGGTTTATAAAACAGATCATGATACAGGGGCTCTGTCCTGGGGGATGCCTGGAGCACTTCATACTCAGTATCCCAGCAGGAAGCAGATGACATATTTAAATTGGGTAATGGGGAGTTTAATGGGGTGACTATTTACAAAGGTAGGGGCAGAAATGGTGAGGCTGTCAGGGCTAGCCATAGCTGAGAGCTGCCCTGGCTCCTGGACCTTAACAGCACAGGGAGGGAGTGGCTCTGGGGCCTGGAGTGAGACCTGAATTCGTAGGATTCACCCTGAGACAGGGGTGGCCTTTGGTGAGAGAATGCAGGCACTGGTCCTTTCCAGCAGAGAGGAAACAAATACCCCAGTTGCCATGCCTTGCCCACTCCAGTCTCCCCTCAGTGCTGCCCAAGTCTGAACCCAGTGGAAAACAGGGAAGCCTCATCAAGATCAGCCTCCAGGCAGCAGTAAAGGTGTATGGTGGATCTGGAGGGCAAACAGAAAAATCTAGCAAAATGAGGGGAAATGTAAAATACTGCTCTACAGAAAATATTTTTACCAGTTTTTTCTTTTTTTGCAGTATCTGGCCTGGTCTTAACTATTTCCAGTGCAGAGTTTTAACTGGTCCAGTCTCTCTTTCTGTTTTGGGGCAGTCTCCTTTTCTCTTGGTGTGTTTCCTTCTGGTCGCTAGCTATTCTCATCTCTTCCTTTTCTATCATTGAAACTTGTGCGTGTTTCATAGAGACAGTGTCTGTTTATCACCGTGAGACTCAGAAAATTTCTAAGAATTTACTCTGGTTTCATCAAAATATCTATTTTGGAGCCAGGCCCTCTCCCACCCCCGATCCCCTAGTGTCTTAGAACGTGTCTCCATTCTCTCATGATAGAAGGGTCTTAATTGAGCTGTGAATGTGTGTACACATATGTATGTCTTTTTATACATTCTTAAAAGGAAAGTGTATTAGGAGGACTCTCCAGAGAAACAGAACCAATGGGGTATACAGGACATTGATCATGGGAATAGGTTCATGCACTTGTGAAGGCCAAGAAGTCCCACAATCTGCCATCTCCAGGCTGGAGACCCTGGAAGGCTGGTGGTGTGCTTCAGCCAGAGCCCGAAGGCCTGAGAACAGGAGGAGGGGTGGAGCTGCTGGTGTTAAGTCCTGGAGTCTGAAGGTGGGAGAAGCAGAAGCTCTGATGGCCAAGGACAGAAGATGGATGTTCCAGCTCAAGGGGAGAGAGACGGCGCCCTTCCTCTGCCTTTTTGTTCTATGTGGGCCCTCAGTGGACTGGATGAGGTGCACCCACATTGGTGAGGGTGATCTTCTCTACTCCAGTCTACAGATTCAAATCCTAGCCTCTTCTGGAGACACCCTGACACACATACCCAGAAATGATGCTCAACCAGCTCTCTGGGTACCTCTTAGCCCTGTCAAGTTGGCTCGTAAAATTAAGCATCACAGAAGGTGATCTTTCTCTACTGGGAAGTAGTGTGATGTGCTTAAGGGTACAGACTCTATTTCTTACTGTATGGCCTCAAGTGACTTTCTGAACTTCTCTGTGCCTCAGTCTCCCCACTGGTAACATGGGGATCATAAGAGCTCCTCCATTGGGTGAGTAACTCTATCCCCGTGAGGCTCAGTTCATTCATTTATTTCATGGGGGAAAATGATAGAACCTACCTCCCAGGTGGTGGCAAGGCTTAGAACACAGCCAGGCAAATGAGAACCAGTGAATATGGGTGGCCATTGGTATTTCTATTGCAAAGGTTGTTGTAATGACTAAATGAGCTACTGTGTCTTGGGAGCATATTGCAGAGACTTGCACACAGTAAATGCAGTCAGTGTTAGCCTGCTGCATACATGTGTACTTCCATGCAACATACACACACCCATAGACATAGATTCATACGCTTATGTGTATACATGCATAGACACATTTACCTACCTACCTACCTACCTAAGTGCATACATTCATAAGCAAACAGCCCGTCCAGGTGGGACCTTCAGGAATGAGCTCCTCTCCTTCCCAGGCAGACACACAGGGCTCTTGTCTGGCGGGTGGGTCCTCTTCATGGCCAGTTCTCTTTTGCGTGCAGCACTTAGTCCCATCTTTTTTTCTGGATCCCCATCAAATGCACCAGTCCATAAGAGACTAAAGACAAAAACCTTTTCAATCACCTAGGAGAGAACATATTGCCATTCTGTGCAATGGGGAGAATAAATTATTTATATATTTTTAAACATTAAAAAAAAATGCCGCTGTGTGTTACCTTTTAAAAGGCTGCTGCTATCCCACATTTTCTGACCTGTGAAAGGGAATGTGAGTTTTATAACTGATATTCATGTGCCATAGTGAATATGCTCTAATGTAAGTGTCATCCCCATGCAAATTCTAAGTCACTTGGCACAGAGCAAGATTTGTATGGGTTTAACCTAATAGAAACAAGAGATAGAACTCACATTATGTATGTTGACTAATAGAATCTGAAAAGCTGTCGAATGATGAGGGGTGAATAATATCAGGTGATAAGCAAATGAGCCAAGTGGTTGGCAGAGGAGAACAAGAAGAAAAAATTCTAAAAGATGTCTGAAGGGAAGTTGATAAGCAAAAAGGAATAAAATAATCTGACAAATGAGCTAATAGCAGCTCCTAAGAAAAGTATCGGTTTGGCTGGCAAACAGTGACAGGCGGCGGTATGTCAGAGTGAGCGGCAGCCAGGGTGTGGGGATGAATGCGGAAGGACAGGCTCATCAGTGTCTGCATGATGAGTGAGTTAGTAAATCTGCCAGGTGATGAATGAGCTGGTGATGCACATCAGACAGGTGACAGGCGAGCGGTTACAAGAAAGAGTGGAGGCAGCCGGGGAATGAGACCGAAGGGCTTCAGAATGTAATTTCATAAGCAGGAAGAAACCGTGTACCTAATCACAGTATCTGATCTGCTTTGGCAACTGTCAAAAACAATAAAACTTCCATTGAAGTTAAAACTAAGACTCTGTGTAATGTGCTTGTGGCTATTAATAATGATTTGCCTTATACACCACCCACTTGCTAGCTCTCACCGCCTTCATTCCTGGGGATTTCATCTGTAAAGTGGGGAGAACAGTGTTAACCTCCATCATTCTATATGGGATCTTTTGAGGATTAAATTTCCTATGAAGCCAGGTGCAGTGGCTCACACCTGTAATCCCAGTGCTTTGGGAGGCCAAGGCAGGAGGATTGCTTGAAGCCAGGAGTTAGAGTCCAGCCCGAGCAACATAGTGAGACCACATCACTACAAAAAATTTAAAAATTAGCCCGGTATGGTTGCACACACCTGTAGTCACAGCTACTCAGGAGGCTGAGGTGGGAGGATCGCTTGAGTCCAGGAGTTCAAGGTTATAGTTAGTTATGATTGTGCCACTACATTGTTGCCTGGGCAACATAGCAAGACCCTGTCTACAGAAAGTAAAATTAGTTGGACGTGGTGGCTCGTGCATGTAATCCCAGTGCTTTGGGAGGTGGAGGTAGGAGGATAGCTTGAGACCAAGAGTTGGCAACAAAGTGAAACCCCCTACCCCATCTCTACCAAAAAAAAAATAAAAAAGCTGTGTGTGGTGGCATGTGCCTGTAGTGCCAGCAACTTGGGAGGCTGAGATGGGAGGATTGCTTGAGCCCAGGAGTTTGAGGCTGCAGTGAGCTATGATTGCAATGACTGCACTCCAGCCTGGATGACAGAGTGAGACCCTGTCTCAAAATAAAATAAAATAAATAAATTTCATATGAAATAGTTAGAACATTACCTAGCATGTGATAAGTAACCAAGAAACTACTGTTAGTTGCTATTGATATTGTTAATCATCTTATTGTTATTACTTTTAATTTTTCGTTTCTGTTTCATTCTTGGAGTATAAACATTTATCTTGCACATCCTTAGTTCCTAATTAGCATATCACTCCTCCTGTTATTATTGATCACACACCTGTTATTATTGATTACAAAAATAAGAAGACTCCCATGTCATCTGTGGAATGAATAAAATACAGTTTTGTGCTGCATAATGATGTCTATAATGGTCCATCGATGACAGACCACATATAGGACAGTGGTATTGTATCACATTTTATGCACTTTGTCTATGTTTAGATATGCTTAGATACACAAATACTTACCATTGCATTACAGTTGCCTACAGTGTTTAGTACAGTACATGCTGTGCAGGTTTGTAGCCCAGGAGCAATAGGCTACACCATATAGCCTAGGCATGTATAGTAGGCTATGCCATCTAGGTTAGTGCGAGTGCACTCTCTGAGGTTTGCACAATGATGAAGTTACCATTTGCATTGCTCAGAATGACACATTTCTCAGATTGTATCTTTGTCATTAAGTGACTTGTGACTGCATTGATGTGTTCTCTTATCTCTTATGAAATGTATAAATGTATGTGTATTATATATATATTTATTTATTTATTTTAGACGGAGTCTCACTCTTGCTCAGGCTGGAGTGCAGTGGCGTGATCTTGGCTCACTGCAGCCTCTGCCTCCTGGGTCAAGCGATTGCCCTGCCTCAGCCTCCCAAGTAGCTGGCATTACAGGCGCACGCCACCATGCCCAGCTAATTTTTGTATTTTTAGTATAGACAGGGTTTCACCATGTTGGCTAGGCTGGTCTCAAACTCCTGACCTCAGGTAATCCACCCAACTCGGCCTCCCAAAGTGCTGAGATTACAGGCGTGAGCCACCATACCCACCCTCTCTTATGAAATATTAATAATTATTGCAAAACTTTTGGTGGGAGCTTTAGGAGTTTTTGTTTGTTTTTGCAGTTTTCAGTTACTTTTCACATTTCACAAACACCAGAGATAAACTTAAATTTCTGTTTGAAATTCTTAATCAAAGTAAATGCATACATTCACAAAAAGAATAAGTAAGATTAAAGGAAAAGTAACGAAATGGATATCCAAGAAGCAATAGAGGCAATCAAAAATTCTTTGAAAAGAGTTATAAGTACATACACCTGTTATTGATTACAATAAAAGAGAAGAAACATGAATAATGGAGAAATATGAAAGGAAAATAATATAAACAAGAGATTTCAGACATGATAATCAGCAACCTTATGCCAATATATTTGAAGATTTAGATGAGATGGCTTAATTTATAAATAATATAGCCAAACTTAAGAAGAAATAGAAAACCCAAACAGAAATAGTTATTAAAGAACTCAAATTAGAGTTGAAAAATCCCCCTATTTCTTAATAGACACCAAGTTTAGATAGTTTTGTAGGCAGATTTTAGCAAATTTTAAAGAAATAGCTAGTAGAAACAGGAGTAGAAAGCAATATAATTTATAGCTTGGTTGGTAGTGTTTGTATTTCAGGGTGTGGGAAGCCCTTAAATGGAGATGCCTATAGGCAGGCATAAGATGGTTTTCAGTACCTGCAGAAAAGGGAAAACAGCTCCAATTAATTAATTAATCAATTAATTATTATTTTTATTTATTTAATTTATTTTGAGACAGAGTCTCGCTCTGTCACCCACGCTGGAGTGCAGAGTGGTGCTATCTCAGCTCACTGCAACCTCTGCCTCCTGGGTTCAAGCAATTCTCCTGCCTCAGCCTCCCAAGTAGCTGGGACTACAGGTACGCGCCTCCACGCCAGGCTAATTTTTTGTATTTTAGTGGAGACGGGGTTTCACTGTGTTGCCCAGGCTGGTCTCGAACTCCTGAGCTCAGGTAATCCACCTGCCTTAGCCTCCCAATCCTATTAATTTATTAAAGGTTAGTGTGCTGTCTTCTCCCCCTTGCTATGAATTAGTTGGGTTATCACTATAAGTTTTCCATACTGTAGGAAACCAAAACACTGCCTTCTTCCTATTTCTGGCAGCTTGGGGATGCTCCTAAATTGCAATATCATTTATATTGTTAGTTTACATTCCAGTTTGCCAGTATGCCATGTAAATAAGTCCCATACATGAGATGCAAAAAGCCAAAATTCATTTATTCATGATTGATGCCAATTTGTATGCAATATAGCTTGTACACATTCCTGATTAAACTGTTCTGTTTGTTTCAGCAGATATGTTAACAATCTGGAGTTCACATCTCTGACTTTTGTTTTGTTTTTGCAGTTGTGTAGACATAAAACTGAGTCTTCTCATTTTATTTTTTTTAATGCGAGTAAGTACGTTAGGATTTTGCTTTTCACTGTACCATGCAGGAAGGAGCCCACATGTTTCCTGATGGGAGCTGGTTTTGCAGGGCCACGGGAGTTGTGTGCATGTGTGACAGTCTGTGAACTTTCGGGGGGTCTGGAAAGAAGACACCGCCGTAGAGGCGGCAGCCCCAGATCAGCTGTGAATCGTTCATCATCCAGGCCCTGCTCTGCCAACTGGACTTTTTGTTAATTGCAACTTCAGTTGATGAGATATTTGAGTTATGGTTATCAAATTAGGTCTCAGATGCTGAGTGATCTTGTTGGCCAATGTTAAGTTATTTTATCAGAATTCAGAAGTTAGGCCACAATTCTATGAAAGGGAAAATCATGATTAAATTTTCATTTATACCGCTTAACTTATAGGAGACAGGTTCCCACCTGGTGCTGAAATGGAACTGTGTGGTTTTACTCATATGACACCATGGGGCTGAAAATATTCTTCTGTGAATTCTTGTGTGACTTCTTTATGGCCTTTGGCCATTTTCCTACTGGGGCTGGAGTTCTCAAGGTTGTGCCAAATCGCGGGTCACATTGCAGAAGCCACATAACCCCACTTCTTCAGAGCTACTTTTGCGAACCTTTCAAAGCTCATTCCAAATCCTGTCACTCCTGTAATGGAAATGCTCCGAAGACTCCACATTCTCTCAGGCTAAAAGCCAACTCCTCCATCTGCAACCACCCCTCCCACTCCCGAGCCGGTCTTCCTGGATTCTCCTCTCCAGCTCAGCTCCAGCCACACGCCTCCACACTGCTCCCTGAGTCGGGAACATTGTTCCTCACGTAGCTGCAGCCCTGCGGCCCTCTTCTCGTTCTGTTGACATTTCAGTGAGGCCAGACCCGTTCAACATTGCTGCTCCCTGTCCTAGACCTCCCCCTGTTTCCATTTCCCCCACTTACCACCTTCTAATACCCTATATGATGTATCAAGCCTCTTGCCCTCTCACTGTGTGAAATTTACTTGACAGTTTTATTCACTGCCGCATGCCCAAACTGAGAACAGTGCCTGACACATTGAAGACATACACAGATATTTTTGGACTCAATAAATGCATTCAGGATTCAGCACTTAAAAGTTGATGTTTTTTCAAACTCTAGTGCAAGGTTGGACATGTATTCCTTATAGATTTCCCCTCACTCTGGTAAGCTCGCCCACCCCTTGCACCCTGACGCAGAATCTGACAATACTCCCCACCCATCCCAGATGGTGCCCCTCTATATTTGTTACACCTGACTCTCTGTGCCCTCCAGAATGCCATGACAGTGAATGGAAGTTTGGTCTCCCAATACAAGGCTCTGGGCTGCAGGAGAGAAATTAAAAATCTGAATTGACCTCTGCCTCGCAGATACCGTGTCTACATGCCTTGATCCTGTCAGTAAAAGAGCAGTGAGTGTTGCAGTTGCTGCTGTGTTGGCGAGCCTGCGTAGACTCCTGATGAGCCCTTCTAGGTGCTGACGGACTTCATGTGAATGCTTTGTTCCAGTTGCCCCTTATCTTCTTTTCAATCACAATCACTTTGGTCCATCGTTTCCTAGCACTTTCCTTTCTCCATGGTTTTTAAGGTAAAAACTATTTTCTTGTAGTAGGACATTGTATTTTTTTGATTTGTTTTCTGATTCTGAAGTCCTAAGTCTCTTTGTGACTATGGGTATCTATATTAAATGAAATAATGATCTCCTGTAGAAAAAATAGTGAAAAGAGATGAAAAATTTAAAAATTAAGATGCCATAGGCTCAGCGTGGTGGCTGACACCTGTAATTCCAAGCTTTTTGGGAGTCTGCGGTGGGAGGATTGCTCGAGGCCAGGAGTTGGAGACCAGCCTGGGCAACACAGCGAGACCTTGTCTCTATAAAAAATAAAATAAAATAAAATTAGCCAGGCACAATGGCATGGGCCTATAGTCCCAGCTATTCAGGAGGCTGAGGCAGAAGGACTGCATGAGTCAAGACAGTGAGCTATAATGGTGAAGCTGCACTCTAGCCTGGGTGACAAAGCAAGATCTTGTCTCAAAAAAGAAAGAAAGAAAGGAAAAGAAACCATACACGAGACAGGAAATGGTTCCTTCTTTTAGAAGAAACATGGCAGGATCAGTTTGGATTGCATTTAAACAGGGCTTCTCTGGGACTTTTCAGATGGCTGTGTGTATGAGGCGGTTCTGACATGAATCCAAACTTTTCTTTGGACCATGAATAACTAGTTACAGATCGCATTGGAAGCAAATCAGAAGCTATAGTTTTAACTCTTGGCCTATGGCTTAAAATTCCAATTTATGCCCAGAGAAGCTGGGGAGGACTAGATTTGATCAGAGCTTTCATTTAAGATGTGACTTGCGCCTTTTGGAGGTTAGCTTTAGCTTTAGTGTGTGGCCAAAAATCTTGAAAACAAATAACTGTGAAATTGGAGCATTTTCTGAAGTTTACTGTTATTTATAATTTAAAAAAAGAAAACTCACTAAATAATGTCATAAATCTTCTTGGTTTACACAGAGGATAATAAGCTTTAATTAAAGATGAGAGGGAAGTGAAATACGAATTTGGATGTCAGCAGAAAGGGCTGTTTAAAGCTAAATGAAAGTACTCTTTTTGTGGAACCATTCTGTGAAATATCAAAAATTTAGTTAATGTGGATATTTGACTTTAATGGGAGTAATTTATGGAGAAAATGGGAACCAGCAGGCTTGACTTCCCTAGTAAACCAGAGGCTCTACACTGACCACAGCCCCTGCCTGGGTCCCTTCTCTTCTACTGTCTTGGGGTGGGGCTGAGATCCCAGGCCCTGCGGACAGAAAGAGCAAAGATCCGTGTTTTTGTGCCAGGACTCCTGGCTTGGAGCACAGGCCCAGCTGGATTTCAGCCTGAGGCACCTTTAGAACAAGCAGTCCCCGGCCGGTGAGTGGCAGTTCTCAAACCCTCTCTCTCAGAGCATGTCCCCAGTAATTGGTGACATGCTCTGCTTCCCTGGCTTCTGCCTCGGCGTTTGTCTGACTTTGTTCTTAGCTTTTGGCTTCCTCCTTGCCCTTGCCCTCCCTGATTTCTGCCAGCCTGGACCCTCCAGGTTCTCTTCTTGGCGTCGTTGTGCAGCGCAGCTTCTGCCTTTGAGTGCATGGGCTCTGGAGCTCGTTCGCCGAGCGGGATGCTTGGCTCTGCTGCTCACCAGCTGGGCAGCCTCAGAAAGTTAGCTTCTCTGTGCCCCAGTTTCCTCTTTTGGAAAACAAACTCATAGTAATTTGTGGAATTGGTGTGAGAATTAAAATAGTTAATAATAAGGTGCTTAGGTTGGTGTCTGGCAGGTAATAAATGTCCGCTGCGATCATCATCATCTTGCCTCACGGGGACGTGCTTTTGATGGGCAGTGTGGCCTGCACTCCTGGGGATGTAAATGAGGTGATAGGAGGGGCCTCAAGTCCTTGGTCTCCTCTTTGCATTCCTAACAGCTCTCCCCGCTGGGGTTGTTTTTAGCCCAGAAGCAGAGCCCAGGACAAGGAAGCAGGTGTGAGGAGCTGGGGGGGATGTGGGGCAGGAGAAGGAATCCCTGGGGGGTGTTATCAGGGCTGCCACTGTGAGCCTGGGGGGTGCCTGGAGCCGTACAGAATGTCCCAGAACTGTCCCCCTGAAGAGGGCATGCGGGGCCTTGTTCCCATTCCCCCTAATTGTTTCCTCTGGGGGCATCAACTCTCCTGTGTGCAGGGGGCCAGGTGGGCTTGCAGGGGTAGAAGGGGCCTTGGTGCAGAAAGCAGACAGCCTTGGCGGGGAGCGGAGGTGGGGTGTGCTTGCCCAGCATCCCTGTCTACCCCACCCCAGGGCTGTGCTTGTGCTCTGTCCCAGCCCCATCTCTGCTCCCCGCTAGCCCCACTCGGCTGAGCTGCTCACAGGAAGGACCCTGGCATTACTCCTGAAAGGCCTAAGGGTCACGAGGAACTTCATTCAAGAGATGATCCATGTGATATGTTTCCAAATACAGCCTCTAGAGACAGCTTTCAAGAACTATCCAAAGACCTATATGTCTCCTAATATTCCCATCAGTTACGGAGGAGGAGCCAGCATTTAGTAAGCACTTACTACCTACGGTACGGGCACTTGTAGCCTTAGTGGTCATCATTGCGTTCGGATTTCATGACAGTTCTTTATGGTGGGATTATATTGTTCCCACTTAATGTAGGGAAAGGCAGCCTTGGCAAAGGGAAACAACCTCCAGAAAGTTATGTAATAGAGCTGGGATTAAACACAGACGTGTGTGTGTGTGTGTGTGTGTGTGTGTGTGTGTGTGTGTCTGCGCGCGTGCGTGTTTAATCCAAAACACAGACTCCTCACCATGAGTTTACCTGGCTCTATAATGCTATGCATGCAGTTTCTTTTAGCAGGGCACTCCTCATTTCAATAAATAGCTCTGTCCTCTGCCTCTGTCAGCCCCTGGGAGTCAGGCCTCTCTGTGGACGCTGCACTGTGGATGCTTGGGGACACGCTGTCTGTCCCAGGACCGAATGCAGTCTGAGTGCCCAGTGTTTCTCTGTGGCACTGACCTTCCACCAGAGGACACTCCTCCCCACTCCACCTCTGGTGTGGAGCA
Source organism: Homo sapiens (assembly GCF_000001405.40). NCBI lineage: Eukaryota > Metazoa > Chordata > Mammalia > Primates > Hominidae > Homo > Homo sapiens. Next base: position 29,344,634 of record NC_000015.10, on the reverse strand, counting down.
GTAGCTGGGTCAACTAAGGCAACTTACTTGAAGAAATGTCATCAGGTGCCAGCTCAGCAGTCACTGGAGTGGCCCAGAAAGCCCCATGTGTTATGAACATCAGCAGGTGCATAGCAGGGTGCTGCTAATAAAAGTAAAGACCCTTCTATAAAGCCCCTTCTTCTGAGGGTGAGAGGAATGTGTCCCAGATGGTAATACTTTTCTTCAATCTAGCAGGGAGGAAGTTCCCTGCTACAAACAAGATTACATATGTTTAGGGTTTGAGTTTCCTGTAAAATGGTGTGTACTTCCAGGATGAAGCTCTTGTTATGCATCATTCTTAGTTTTTATTAAACATTTAGATTTGGCTTAAAAAGTGTTGGTTTACCCTGGACATCTCTGAATCCTTGCACGCAGCGTGAAGCGTTTTGGGGAGGTGGCACCTGTTCCCTGGAAAGTCTCCCCAGCCACAGGCTGGCCACTCCAGCCCAGGTCGTGGCCTGGCCTCTTTGCAGATTGCCACAAGTTATGTTTGCCCACCTGGTGGGGTCAGGAGTGGAAGAGTTGGTGAGAGTTAAACCTTGTATCAAATGCTTGGAGGATACACCAGATTTGTAGAATATTATATGGATTTAAATATGGTATATAGGTTCATGTTTAAAAGAATTGCATCTCAGTGCTTTTAAAAATTGTCTTCTTCCTGAGCAGTTCATCTTTTGGATAAACCTGGATAATTCTCTTTTTTTGTATCTTAAATTTCTATAAAACAAATAACCTTTATTGCTTAATTTATAGAGCATTTATTTTATTTTATACCTAAAAGTTGATTTTGCCCCAAATTTTACTTTCTGTTTTGAGTAGGTGAGATATTTACACGGCTTAAAGTTTCTAACTATAACAAGGCCTAAACTGAGAATTCCCATTACCACCCCTCCCTCATCCTTCCCACACACAGTTACTGTACTCATTTTTTGTGGAATCCTCCAAGTGTTCCCGTGTTAATCAGGGTTCTCCAGAGTAACAGAACCAATGAGAGGAAGAGACAGAGAGGGAGAGAGAAAGAGAGAGAAAGAGAGAGAGAGCGCCTGGTTTTTTTTTTAAAGGAATGGACTCACCTGATTGTGGGGGCTGGCAGGCCTGAAATCTGTAGGGCAGCAGGGAGGCTGGAGGTTAGGTAGGTGTTGAGGTTTCATTTGTGAGTCTGAATTCTGCAGGCTGGAAACTCAGCTGGGCTTTCTATGTCACAGTCTTGAAAGGAATTCCTTCTACTTGGGGAACCTCAGTCTTTGCTCTGAGGGCCTTTGACTGATTGGATGAGGCCCCCCGCAGTATGGAGGGTAATCTGCTTAACTGAGTCTATTTATTGTAGATATGAATTACATCTAAAAGGACAGCCACAGCAACATCTAGACTAGTGTTTAACCAAATGACCAGGCACCATAGCTTGGCCAAGCTGACATATAAAATAACCTATCATACTTCCTTTATGAAAATATAAACAAATAAGAACATACGTGCCCACATTCTCTTTCTCAGAGAAAAAGGGGTAGAATATGTACCTTCGCTTTTTCCACTTCACAATGCATTTGGAGATCTTTCTAAATCTGGACCGAAGAACCACCCCCCCCATTCCTTTTTACCAGCTCATATAGTATTCTTTGCAGCTATCAAATTTTGATAAATGTGACCATATCAAAGCAAAAACTTTTACGTGGCTAAATAAATAAAATAAAATTTCTAAGAAAGTATGCAAACTTAGAAGCAAAGTACCAAACTGGGAGAAATATTTCTAATTCAGATCGTGAATAGTTCCTGCATTCTAGAAGTTTATAAGAAAAAGACCACAAATATCCAAAAGAAAAATGGGCGGGGTCAGAGAGCTCACAGAAATGGCCTAATCACATGAAAACACTGTGAACCTCGTGGTAACAGAAATTACAATTAAAACAACAGTAAGATATTGTATGTCACCTGCCATGTCAGGCAAAAACCCACAAGCTGGAGAACATAATCTTTCACTGAGGCTGGGGTGAAACAGACCTTTTCACATTTTGCTAAGAGGAGTGTAAAATGCCCCCCCAACCAGCCCCAGGAGGATAATTTTTCAGAATTAAGACAATTATAGGTTAATTCACGCTTTGACTCAGGAATCCCGGTTCTGGAATTTGATCCTGCAGAGAGACCTGTACATCGGAAGGGAGACTTCGTCGCACTATGGCATGTGATGCAGAAGACTGAGAACAACCAAGAATCTCTGGGAAGCACTTATCTCTGGCATGTGCCCGATGGGAAATCTGCAGTTGTTTCGCATTCCTATAGAGCTGAAAGCTTGCATTAGGGCCACAAAGATAATGGAATCAAGATGCATGGAACGCACAGCAGTCCCTTTCCCTCACCTCCCTGCCCATACACATACAAATCCCACCAGCTGTTCCTTCAAAAGTTACCTGCAGTCCGTCCCCTCATCGCCATCTGTATGGCCACCTCTTTGGTTTCAATTGCCATCCCCCAACTTCTGCAGCAGCCAGAATCAGGGCACCTTCTGCCCTGCATGGCGGCCTGGCCAAGGGTTGGAATCTGCCTCATCACTTAGAGCAAGGGGTGGTCTTTTCTACTTGCAACATTACCCCTCTATGGGCTTGAGGGTCCAACCAGTATACTTCTTTAAAGATGTAAATAGGATTCTGTCAATAAAAAGTCGTCTGAAAGCTTTCAGTGGCTTCTTGACACATATAGGAAAAAATTAAAAAAATTTTCCTCCACCTGCAATGCTTTGCTCAAGCTGCTGACTTCATCTGACAATATCCTGTAGTCCAGCGCCACGGGCCTCCTGACAGTTTCTGTAACTTTCCACGGTTTCTCTCCGTGCTTGTAAGGTGCTTCTCCCGGTTCTTTTCCTGCAGGCTCCAGGCCCAGATGCTACCACCTTCTTTATAGAAGGCCCCCAAGACCCGGGAGTACTTCACTATTCCCTTCCACGGCGCTTGACACAAGATGCAGCCTTTGCTTCCTCGCCACTCCCCCTTTTGACTCTGACTTTCAAGGGGCAGGGGTCCTGTCTGCGCGGCACCTGGAACATGTGAGCGTGTGTTGCATATTATGTTAGTGATCAGGTTTGCATGTTGTGGAGTGATTCACTAGCACTTGTCAGGGCCACTTCTGCAGAGCCTTCATCGAGCTGCCCAGACCAGTTCAGCTTTCACTGGCCAATGTGCCCGTAGCACCCTGGTTATGACCCGTGAGTGTTCATTAGCCTTGTTATGCCTCTGTGCCTTGTAGCTGAGCTGAGACAAGAGGGCCTGCCCTGTGAGTAATTAATGGATGAATAACTGATCGAATGTTGAAAGAATGAATGGGCAGTGAACAAAGGTATAAGCAAATGAATGAGCAAATGAATAAACCGAAAAATGAATGAGGCAGAGTGAGTAGGGTGGAAATTAGGAATTCTAGATTTTAGTTGTAGCTCTGACACAAACGACGAAGGTGTGATGGGCAGGACATGTCTACTCTATAAGCCTTCAGAGGCACCTGGCCTCTCCTTGGGAGTATGTGGCACAGTTGTACTTCCCTAACCAGCCCTGTGGTTATTGGTTCTCTCCTTCACTGGAAGGCGGGAGTGATAGTGTGAGATGGTGCTGGCTCCAGTTAGTTCACTGTGTGTCCCAGCTCTCCCATGGGGCCTGGCATATTTGAGTCATAAATAAGTGAAATAGTAAATGGATAAAGGGAAAATAGAATGGAAATTAAAACTGGGGTTGGGGGGAGGATACAGAGAAACAGGAGTAGACAGTCCATGACTCTGAAGTTCTGGAAAGCTTGAAATGGCACGGATGCTTCTTGAAGGGGTTTGGGACTTTTTCATCCACCCATCTCTCATACATGTGATTTCCTCGGCCACCTTGCCAGATCTCCATTATCTATTTTTATTTTTTCAATGTATTAGTAACAGTCATGCTAACACTGTTGGATGAGAGATGGTAGAAGCTTCCTACGATAATTGGTTTTCTGTTAAAATAAAAAGTTCCAATATTAGAATCATCACAGTTTCACATATGCTTAGCATTATTAGAACAGCTCTTGTTCCAGGTAGTTTTTGGTGTAGGGTCTAACCCAGCATTCCCAGTGAGGCTGCAAACACATTTGGTCTGAAAGGAATGTAGCATTCTTCTGAGTGGTCCCCTCCCCTGCACTGGCCCTCTGTTCATCCCTGCCCTGCTCCAAATCCACCCTCCCTGCTGTAGAACTTGTCACTTCAACACCCTGCTACGTCCCCTCTGATGCTTCCCCATTGTCTACAGAGGAAGCATGAAATTTATCAGCAAACTCCTATTCTTCCTGCAAAAACCCACTGAGATGTCGTTCCTGATACCTCCTAAACTGGGCCAACTTCAGAAGGCATTTCTTCATGCCACTACAAAACCCAGTATATGTATTGTATTGGATACAGGGTGGTTTTGTCCTCATTTGGGGCAAAGTTGCAGAATTATGGCCATTTTGCAGTTTTCTCTGGTTACCATGGTTGCATCTAATTGACAGACTCCTTAAGTCAGTTTTATCTTGCAGCAACTTGGAAGCAGCCTTTAAGATAAACTGTGTAAAACACCAGTGCTTCAAGAGAATCTTAGTGTCTTATCCTAACACAAATACTAATTCTGAAATATACCCAGCTAGAAAATCAGAATACGATAAAATGAAATAAGAACCTTGTATGGCAAAAATATCTATCTGGCGACTCCATCTGAAGGCGGAGGGATGGCCATGGCCGATAACATCAGGTGATGAATCAGTTGAGCCGCCTACTGGGCAGCACCTTCACCCACGTCCCATCTTCAGGACCTCGTTTGACATAAGCAGTTTATTAAACGGGAATGTTTTCATATGTTAATGAGTGACTTTAGAGTGATGAGATGACATGCCTTACAGTGACAGTTCTTTATATCTGGAAATCTTCCTAATTAGACATCTTTCTCGCAAGTCAAACGATGTAATTTATCTCGAAGTTGTACGTAAATTGGAGTGCTGCTGGGGGCCACTGCTGTTGTCATTAAAACGTTATTTGGTAAATTAAATCTGTATTTAGTTCAGATCTAATGATTGAAATATTATGGTGACATATGGTAGAGAGAGCACTGAGCCTGTTACAGCGCACGAATTTTCTTTCTGTCTTCACTTCACAGTTCATCCCCACATCCCGAAGCTGCACACCTGTCCCAGTTAAACACGGATCCTTGGATGGATCTCTCATATCATGCCTGTCTGTCCCCAGAAAGACCTGGTTACCTGTTCCATCTCCACCCCACTAGCCATTAGAATGTCTTTTCAATTTTCCCTGCTGTTTCTCCCTTATTTGACCCCCTTCTCCCTTATGCTAAGAGCCACTCTGAAGGCCTGGGCCCATGGGTCTTGACTGTCACTGGCCCCAGCCCTCTCCCATGGCATCAAAGCCGAATGGAGGGGTGGGCCGCTGGGCAGCTGCCAGGGGCCCTATCTCGTGCCAACTCCACTAGTGCTGGGCAGTAGCACATCACTGGACCAAATCACTGAGGTTTTGCAGGTGATGGACTTGCAGTAGAGCTGGTGAGTCAGGAGTCAGCACCTTCCTGTTGCTGAGATTGGCAGTGCCTTTGAGGGCAGTGGAGAGACACATAAAACCCCACCCCATCCAAGTGTTCCCTGGTCCCTGATGTAGAGGACTGGGCCTGGCACAGGCTCTCGGGCCCTGCTACATTCAGCTGAAAATCTGAAACTGAGTGGGGAGTATTATTTGCTGGGAATCAATAATTCATTGTATGATGTAAATTTTAAATGTTTACTATGCCTCCCACAACCGTTTTATTTGGAAATGGTATTTTTAAAAACCTTACTTTGCAATTAAAAAGAAAGGCATAATATTTTTTATTAAAAGAAAACCAGTTTACTCCCGTCCCTCCTCATGAGTGTTGAAGAGGTATTGAAGGAACATCAAGCTGGGTGGTTGGAGGAGGGAGTGGGTGGAAAGTTAACCCAGTCAGCCAGCCATCTAAGTGATGGCTGGCCGAGGAGCTCTTCCAGACACCAGTGCCCTATGGAGGCGACACAAAGAGACATCCTCTGTGTCCTCCAAGGCAGCTGCCTGCATCCGTGCTCTTTGTTCAGGCTGTGGTCCAGAGCCCTCTCAGGGGCTGACCTCTCCACGTGGCCATCTGTGCCTGCCTGGTTTCTTTTTTTTCTTTTCTTTTTTTTTTTTTTTTGAGATGGAGTCTCGCTCTGTTACCCAGGCTGGAGTGCAGTGGCGCGATCTTGGCTCACTGCAAGCTCTGCCTCCCGGGTTCAAGTGATTCTCCTGCCTCAGCCTCCTGAGCTGCCTGGTTTCTTAGTCTCATCTCCTATTCCAACCCTTGTCCTACCTCATCACCACCCTCCTCTTCACTCCTTATATGCAGAGGGGCTGTGGGACATGCACTCCTCACTCCCTAAACTGTCCCTTATCAGTGGATTTGATGGCACCTTGCCCACACTCAAAAGTGCCCTCCCTGTGAGGTTGGTTGGGCACATAGCTCTGCAGTCTCCTGTCTGCAGGCACTGGGCGAGATGATATACGTACATGTATGATGATATAGATACATATGATAAAGATATGTAAGATTCCTTTTTGCAAAGGAATCTTTGCAAAAAGAAGGTGTTGTTGTCACCTTCATTTGACAGATAAGAAAAATGACCCTCAAAGAGGTTGAATGATTTGATAAAAGTCAACACAACTATGAAGTGTCACAACATAGAGAGCTCAGGCTTTGGGATGCCTGGATGGGAATCCCAGCTGTACCTCTGATCACTTTAGGATCATAGGGAAATTGCTACTGTCTCTGTGCCTCAGTTTCTCACCTGTAACATGGATGACACCTCATGGGGAAGTTGTGAAAACTGAATGACGTAATATAGGTAAAGAGCCCAGGCAGGACCTGGCACGTGGAAGCTCTCAGCATTGCCAAACTCTGATTAGCCTCTGTCTTTAACTTTCTTCCTGATGGGGTTGATCTCAAAGTCTGGGCATTCAGCCACAGGGAATGTGGAAATGTGGACACAGCCTTCTTGGACCACGCTCTCTAGGGATCTATTTCTCTTGCAGTTTGTGTGTTTCCCTTTCTGTAAATTACAAATGTAATACAATCTCACTGTAACCAGTCATTGTGCCTTCC